>NC_000014.9:54763228-55066258 GCF_000001405.40 Homo sapiens
CTATAGCCGGACACGGTGGCTCATGCCTGTAATCCCGGCACTTTGGGAGGCCAAAGTGAATCACTTGAGCCCAGGAGTTCAAGACCAGCCTCGGCAACATAGTGAGACCCTGTCTCTCAAAAACAAAATAATAAAATTTAAAAAGTATATATACTTACAATATTTCTATCAGTACAAATAGCGCCATCTCAAAGTTTTTTTTAAAGATGGCATACTATTCCACTGTATGCATAAACCGTAATGTATTTAACAAAGTCCCAATTAATAGGCAGTGAGGTAGTTTACAAGGTTTTGTTATGACAAACAATGTTATACTGAAAGTGTATGTGCAAAGGCAAGAAATAAATGGGATTGTGTGACCAATCAGCCATGCAGGGTTAGGGACAGGGAGGAATCAAGTATGATGCCAGGTTTCAAGCTTGGTCTCCTTGAGTGTCAGACATTTTTACTCTCTGGCTGACTCCTTTTGTCCACCCATCTCCACTGTGGCCCTGTACACATGACTAAGAAAGTCGGGGAATCGTCACCTCTACAATGAGACCAGAATGGGCCACAGTAACATGGCCGTGAGAAACCTAGTGCGTGTGTATACTCTACCCGCAGACTAACTCTGTTCCATCCTATTTAGCACTGACTTGAGTGTGTAGGTGAGCCTGCGCCTGTGTGTGCATAAATGTGCATATCACTCTGAGAAAGCAACCCTCTGAGGAGTGAGTAGCAGGCCTCCTGCACATGTGCACACCCACACACCTCCCCGTCTCCAGGAGGTGCCAGCTCGTTCCTCCAAACACAAACGCCGCTGTCTCTGCACCTGGCGAGGGGTGTGCGCTCATTCATAAAATCACGGAGGCTGCTCTCTGACAGTGTCAGGGTCTTGGATACTTCTGAAGCCCCTCACACAGAGCCACTTTCAAAGACCAAGCTCAGGACGCCACTATTCACTGCTGTGTTCTTCCTCTTATTGCAGTGTCTTATTGCAGAAGGCTTCATATAGAATGGCATGACTGGAATTAACCCAAGGGGCTTCTCGAGACAAGGGCTCCCACGGTGACCCAGCCTTTGACTTCTGTGGAATGAGGAGCCTCTTGGCCTTTTTTGTGAGCCTTACATAAAGCCACAGACACACATACCTCTCAGAGTGTTGGACCTGAAGGGAAATGAGAGTCAGGTCCCAGAGATTAGAAAGGGGTGCATTTTTCTAATTCATCTTTTCTTTTTAATTACAGTGTGCACACAGCTCTTGGTCTCCAGACCTGATGAGGAAAATATAAGTTCCTATTTACAGCTCATAGACAAGTGTCTAATTCATGAGGTGAGTAGTGACAGGTTTTACAAAACCATTTTTTTTTTATTGCTTAGAAATGGTTCTCAGAGTTTCTGTGATGTGATCATTTTAGCCTCCAACAACTTGTTTTTGAGTGGTGGACAGTTATTAATAATAGGTTGGGCAGAACTAGGCTATGACAGCCTCAAACCCAAACACAGCTTGAACATTACTTTGGTGTCCAAAGATTTGCCCAGACTGAGTGTTCTGATGTGCAGTGAACGCCTGCAACGACTTCTGGCTGGGGAAGCAGCCCCGGGTGGCCAAGCCTCAGAGGGTAACACATGAGCCCTGCTGCTTAGCCCTGGGCATTGTCAGGTCTTTTAAAAATCTTGTGTTGAACTCTTGCCTTTTAGCTCAGGGAACTGGAGAGAGGAAGGGAGAAAGAGAGCCCATAAAGAAATAATGAATGTGTATATGTGTGTGTGTGTTTGGGCTTGCGATTGTTGTAGGAATCGTATTTGCCACATATCCTTTTGGAGGAGGCCTGAGGCAGGCTGCAGGTGTGCCTACTGGACCCTCAGGCACAGTCTTCATATACAGAGTGAGATAGACCCTTTGGCATGGCGGGGCTAGGCAGCCGTCAGCACTGGTGGCTGTCCCTAAGGGACATGTAGGGAGAGGGAGTTGCACCTCAGACCTAAAACTCCAGTGGCTCCTTGGGCACCCCTCCCTCCCCACAAAGAGCTACAGCAGCAAGGCCTAGACTAGAGAAAACTTGGGACCAGATAAACCTAGGATGGTGAAGTCTTTTTGTAGGATTTCGATGTGAGAATAAGATAGTAAGGGGGCCGGGGTGGTGGGTCACACCTGTAATCCCCACACTTTGGGAGGCCGAGGTGGGAGGATCACTCGAGGCCAGGAGCTTGAGACCTGCCTGGGAAACATATCAAGACCCTGTCACTACGAAAAAAAAAAAAAAAAGCCAGGTGTGGTGGCGCACACCTGTAATCCCAGCTACTCGGGAGGCCAAGGTGGGAGGATGGATGGCTTGAGCCCAGGTGGCCAAGGCTACAGTGAGCTATGATCCTATCACTGCACTCCAGCAAGAGCAACACAGTGAGACTTGTCTCGGGGAAAAAAAAAAATAGTAAAGGCCCCAGGCCTCCTCACCTTTGCTGCATGGGCAGCCAGTACTCCAGGAGTCCAGTAGGGTCCGGTGAAGGGAGACGCCCAGCACAGCGGCCAGGCCCCTTCTCCACTTCCCTCTCATGTTCTCACCCTTCCAGCTGTCACATGGGCCCTGTGCTATCGAAGTTCTCACGGCCCTCACCCACTACCCACACTTCACATACAAGGGTACAGTCCCCCTCTGGGATTCCATCCCAGCTCCCCCTTCCCCACTTCCCCAAACCCTCATTTTTGCAGTTTCTCCTCTTGGCCGTATGGATTCTTATGTGCCCAAGCGGCTCTGGCCAAAGTTGTCAGTGTGACTACAGTGACCAGCCGCCTAGGTTGGGGGCTCAGACACGCCATCCTCTGAAATGTTTAACTATACCAAAGTACTAGACTTTTCACTGAAAAAAAAATGGTTTTTTCCCTCTTTAATGGCTTCCCTAGAGCACCCAGGCATTGTCAAAAGCCCGTACTGAAGGCTTATTTGTGACTTTGTTTCAGGGACAAGGCCTTCTCCCCACAAGCCTTGACTAATCCTTTTCTATTTCGAATCCTGACACTGGACTCGTTTTGGCCAGGAAAAAGCGACAAAGGAAGAGAAAGCAAGAACACAGTGAAGAATGTTACAACTCGTCCATTCCCTAGATACTTACTGAGCACCTAGGCAGGTTACAGTAGTGAGAGAATTAGGCAGGTTACAGTAGTGAGAGAAGGGGTGAGACAGAAAGAAACAGGCCATCACAGCCATGATGAGAAAGCCTCTGATAAGGTCATCCCTGAGTGCCCTGGAGCACAGAGGAGCAGCAGCAGCGGGCACCAAACCTGGAGCCAGAACAGGGCATTTCCGTGGAGGAACCCTCTCCACCCTGAGACCTGAAAGGCAAGCGAGAGTCCTGGTGGTACAGACTCGGTTCGTAAGGAGGCAGAAGAGAGTGATGTCTGCAGGGCTCCGTGTTTTGTTGAGAAGTAGGACATTTGTGGGTGGCTTGGGGCAGACGGAATGGGGAGGATTTCAGCCTCTGATAAAAGCACACCGGAACTCTGCTTCCTCTCCCACGCCTGCTCTCAGCATTGATATTGGAGGACAAGGTACTGTCCACCTTGCCTCAAGACAGCTGAGCCCATGAGACAGAAATCGTGAGTCCTCCAGCTACCTGTGCCAAACAATCCACAGGCTTCCTAATTGTCCCTCGGCAGCCCCGAAACTCTGGCCTGACGCTTCCTGCTTGCCTGCCATCCTGCATGTCCTCCCTTGGTACCCTGGCTCTGGTTTTGTTTTTTCCCCTTGACCTCCGTGCAGCCCCAGGTGATCTCCTCTGGTTGCCCAGAGGGGCCTCTCGTGGCTGGGGGCCCCGGTCAGGAAGGAGCTGGTGAGGTGTCTGCTTGCTAAGTTCATGTCAGGATGGAGGGGCCTGCGTGCTGCTTTGGAAGGGAAAATGTTGTTCAGGGCTTTTTATGATTTTACTTTGAGAGAGAGGAAAAGCTGTCTGAATAATTTTCCACAGCCTCCGGTTATTCTGTGTGGGTAGAACACGCCCTGCCTGTGAGGCCCCGTGAAGGCGCACAGCCTCCATCCTGGAAGAAGTTTCACCCGGGCACAGAGAGACAGGACGCCCCTTCATAGCCCGGACACGCTGTTCCTTAGCTGGCTGGGAGCAGGGAAGGTATTGAGTGGGCCAGGACACCTCCCTTCCTTCCCGGGATGGAGGGACCGAGTCCCCAGAGTCATGAATGGAAGGAGAGGAAAGTTCTGAATTTTACTTCTGAGACCAGTCACTTTGACTCCTGAATTATAATCCCAGGCCTCTGGGCACTTCCCTGTGTCTTGAGGTGGCTCTGAGAAGATGAGCTCTTGCCGCTTTATGAACCTTTTCATCCAGCCACATATGCTGGGACACCATAGCCATCTTCCTCCAGACAGATGCATTGGTCTAGGCCTGAGAGGGCCAGAACTCTGGAGTGGTGACTAGGGGTGCCTGGGCAGTTGCTGGGCATGAAGCCTTCCCTTCCCCTCCAGGCCCCTTGGGAAGCTGCTCCCCAGCCCAACCTGGGGCTGCCAGCGGAGGGGGCTGCAGTGAGATTTTGGGCATCATAGCCAATGCAGATCCCCCATAACTGAGCACTCCCCTGTAGGCCAGGAACCAGTGTTCAGAAACTCCTGAAGCCAGCCACAACCGAGCACCACATCCCCAGCTGAGAACCGGCCCCCACTCTCACTCAGCACTGCTAATGGGCTGGCTCCCATCTGCAGCCCTGAAGGAAAGGAGCCCGCTGCCCATTGAGGTGCTCAGGGAATGCGCCGACCTCCCCAGGAAGGCGCCAACATTCCCACCTTCTTGGATGCTGTTTGCCACCAGGGAAGATGTCATGTCTGTAATGATGTCTTAGGAAGCACATCCATGAAATGAGCCCTTTACTCCGTTGTCACTTGGAAACTCAGGCCAGTTGTCCTTCAGGCTGGCACCAGACCAGCTCAGTATTATAGTTTAGAGACCTTGAAGTCATTTGCTGTGTGCTATTGGAGCTCAAGGTCATGTTGAATACTTAACGCGATGAACAGCCGTATACCACCACCAAACGGCCGGTCTGTGCAGTCCAAAACAAAACCCCAGTGTGACACCTGTGAGTGGCATCTATTTGAACCGTTATTAAGAGCGAGGCACGTTCCAGGTATTCTAAGTGTTGTTCATGTGTTATTTCATTCTCACAACATCCTTTTGAGGGAGATATTATTATCCTCAGTTTCTAGGAGGCACTGAGTCTTGGGTAGAGGGGCATGCGTAAAGGCGTGCAGGGATTCGAGCCCTGCCCATCTGCATCCAGAGCCTTCCTCTGGCCCACAACTCTCCTCCCCAGGTCACCCTGACCAGCATGCCCACATGTGTCCTCACACAACATGTGGCTGAATAAGCCAGTCAAAAGCAGAAATGATCCCCTCTCGCTGTTAGTCCAGCAGAAACGCTTGCCTTTTGCCCAGTTTCAGAGGTACTCGTGTGTAGCTGGACATGCAGGGAGCATCACCAACCAATGAGAGGGACTGTGGAGGAGAGCCACGCCCTCGCCTCCTAGCCCACCTTGATGCATATTCTTAATGGCATCTGGCTAAGGTCACCCGGGAAGAAGGGGTTTGTAAGTCCTCAATGACGTTTCTGCCACATGATTAACATCCTTCTGCTTTTGTCCACAGAGTTCTCCTGGTATTTAGGTCCTTAAAGATTCAGCATCACTGGGAGACAACTAAGCTGTCATTTTTTTTCTCCATTTAAGGAATCTGTTTCCTTTATGGGAACTAGTCATTTAGTCTGTTACTGAGTAATATTTTATGACTACTTAAAGGAATTCATGCCCTATTGACAAAACTGCTTCGGAAACTTCTCTCCCTCCTTGTTACTGTGAATCAATCAAATCACATGGATTTCCCACAGCACGTGTTCTAAGTTACAGTTCTAGTCACTTGGCAGGGGATTCATATGTGACGTGGGGTCCTCACCATCTAGAACACCTCATGTTCATGCTCTACCTGCAGCAGAATTACCAGGGCACTTGGTACAAACACAAACTCTCTAGACATCCCCTTCAGATCTACTAAATCAGGCTCTGGGCATGTGGAAGGGAGCCCAGGTATCTGAATTTTGACTGTCTCCTTGGGTGATTCTAATATATCATGAATCTGAGAGTTCCTGCCTTGGAGACTCCTAACCCACATAAAGTCCTTTCCTAGTCTGTGGCAAGTACAAAGGCTAAACGCAAAAGGAAATATAACATAGGTAAGAGTTTGTTACAAGGCAGCAGGCAAAACACACACACCAGTTTTGCTAGAAAAGAGTTCTGCAGGCATCAGACCTACATACTTCCCTAAACTTTAGAGAAGGTTTAAGTCAGGACTGGTACACTGGAATTTTTGTAAGGCAAGAGACCCATTAACTGGAGATGTCTCAGCAAAGCCCTGAAACACAGAGAATATAGTCCATTCTCTGACACCCTGTAGACCACTCTAGGGTGCCCACACACCATCAAGCAGATTGATTTTTGGAGTGGTTGAGAATTTTCATTGATTATGAAAATGCAGGGGGCCTGCAAAAGCCAGAGTATTCAACAATCAATTTTGCAATTCATTCTTGGTTAATAAATAGAGTCTGGAGTGGAGTCAGGAGGGAGGGGGAATGTGGATATGGATCTGCCAGAAATGTCACCAAAAATGAGGGTTGTCAACAGTTTGATGCGTGTACCTTATCACGCACCTCCAATGTCAGATAACTTAAATTTTCAAAATAGGGCAGCTCCCAAATTAAACTGACTACGTTTGGACCAGGTTAGAAACAGGTGAAGAAAAGGCAACTGCAGAGACTCCAATGTTTTCCCCTTATTAATTGCATGTTTCTCCCTCTAATGCCAGGCTGCGTCACCCATTTAAAAGTCCTGTTTGTTTTTGCAGGCATTTACAGAGACACAGAAAAAAAGATTGTTGTCATGGAAACAGCAGGTGCAGAAGCTCTTTCGGTCTTTCCCTCGGAAAACCCTTCTAGACATATCAGGATATCGACAGCAAAGAAAGTATGTTGGGATTTCATTCTTTGTAATGCGTAGTGGTTCCCCTGGCGCCTTGTTGCCTACCTCGGTTCCTGGGGCAGGAATATGGCAGGGCACCATTCCTTGTTCACGAAGATGCCCTGTGGCGAGTTCCAAATTGCATTGCTTAAACAGGTGGGGCTGGGAAAAGGCTGTGAGAGTGAGCATTCCCAGGCGAAGAGCTGAATGTGAGCTTTTGTAACACAGTTTGCATTGTCAAAATGATGGTAATAGTCCGGATGGGTATCAGAGGGGAGAGTGGGTATGATTTAACAAATGCAGGCAAAACACAGGATGGCTTACCCACAAAAGGGGGATCTGAAAGGATAAAAATGGGTTGTTCTATCAATCAGCACCTTAAGTGGTAGTGTGATTTTTTTCCCCCTTCGTGCTGTAGACAAGCTAATTATAGTTGGTGGCAGGGTGAAGAGCCCAGTGCTAGTCTATTTTGGTCTGCAGTCTCATAGTGGAGCAGTACAATTCTTGATTTTTCCATAGTACTTCAGCTTCTTGCACGCAGTTAAAAATAAGCCTGGTTGTACTTTAGAACCCATTACCTTAATATAGTTTTAAATTGAGGAATCCAATTACATATTAAAGATGAACTGCAGTGACAATTTGTGGGAGAAATTAAGGGTAGAGGAAGGGTTAAGCCTTAAACAATGATAGGGAATTGTTGGGACATAAGGGAATGAGAATGTAAACATCCTGAAAAATTAACATTCTATTTTACACTTTTAAAACATGAGCAGATAATTTCTTCACTTGCACCTGAAAGGGTCTGAATTCATTTCATTTCTCGGTGCATGTATAGAAGCTCTCTGCCCGTGGTGTTAAAATTTTGGGCATTTATTTGCGTAAGCGTGCCTTAAAACATCACTATTTTGGATTTAAGGGAGATAAGGCCAGTTGAAGTTTGTGAAAAGACTTCATGAAAGATTAATTTTAACACTGAAGTGTGATCACATTCCAGCATATATAACGGTTATTTATTAAACAAACATTTATTTAGCACTTACATATGCCAAGTGGTATCCAAGCACTTTAAGAATATTAATACATTTAATCCTCATGACAACCATGTGAGGTAGAGCTGCTGTTGTTAACCCCATTTACAGACAAGTTCATAGGCAGCAGCATTGGGGATTTGAACCAGGCAGGCTGGCACCAGCTCCAGCTCCATGCTTTTAACCCTATGGAAGCCAGGCAACTCTCATGGTCTCAGGATGATGAGCAGAAAAGATTGTTCAGGCAAAGCGACACTCTTCAGGACCAGTTCCCTGGCCCCAAGCCCTCTGGGGTTGCCAACCCTTGTGGGTTGGACTAGACTACCTCTTTGCCCTGAGGATTCCCGATGGCCCAGATGAAAGGCAAGGTCTGCTTCCTTGGCCTCCTGCCCTGGGGCCTACCCCCATCCCAAGTGGCTTTTCTCTGAGAGCAGCAATACTTTTCCCAGGTGAATAGAAAAGGTTCCAGACTCCTCTTGCAACACCAGGCCCTTGGGAGACAAGTTCCAAGAGGAAGAAGGCATTCGGAGGTTGGAGATGAAGATGGGGCGGCTCTTTGCTGCTCCTCCCAAAGTCCCACCCTGGCCTCTGTCAGCCCTGTGTTGTCATTGGTCCACATCCGAGAGCCTTCTGGAGGTGGAGCAGGGGACATGAACCTTGACCTCTCCAGGGTGTTTGTTAGTAACACTTGGATTGGGCTAACCCAAGGTTTGCCAGGTTGGAGTCCTAATGGACCCCTTTTAATTGATTAGATAAGAATGAATCGCTTGTGGATGTTCAACTGGATGTTACTATAAGGCTGGAAAATGTTTTATACTCATAAGTATTTCCTCTGGGATCTTTTTGTGCTATTAATTTGCTTTGAAGACCTGTTTCTCCAATAATACAAAGGTAACTGCAACCCAACCCCTGCTTGAATTATCACAAATCCCAAATTAATTGGTTCTTATTAATGTTACTTTATCAAAGACTTTTCATGCATTTCAACATTTCAGTGTAATGAAATCAGATTTAGAAAGGTAAGGCAAGAGAATGAGAAAGGAAAACTTGCTTTTGTCACTTTGTTCTCTCCCCAGAAAGCATTGATGATTTCATTAAGCCTAGCGATCTTAAGTAACCCAAGCATTCACTCTGGTTGCCAGCAGTGGCAACCCTCTGCAAAGCTGGCTTTGTAATAACCCTCGAAGGGTCCCATCAGGAGAGAGAAAGATGGCCTAGCCAAATTCTCCCCTCATCACGTCCTACTCCCCTCCCCTATACAGCTGAGTCCTAAGAGTCCCTGGATCCCTCCTTTCTCCAGTGACTATAAGTATCCCATAACAGAGTCCTCTTCCCACATTATATTGCTTAAGAATTCAGTCTTGCCTTCCTGGAAACACAAATCATTTTAGCATCACTCATTGACTCTGTATTTTGCATATGAAATAACTTTTTAAAAATCCAACCAAAAAGGAAAGTGAGAAAACGCTATCCACGCTAAATAAGGAAAAATCATAGCAGAATACTGAATCATCTACCAGGTGGCCAAAATTCCGACTTCAGAACTCAAAGGACTAGTTTTCGTCATTAAAAACAAACAAACAAAAAAAAAAAACACTCGGCCCTTGTCTCTACCTCACGTAGTCAGATTGTCCTTCCTCCAAAGGAGGTCTCATCATGTGAAACTTATTCTACCCCTCCTGGCCCTGAGTTCTTCCTTCAAACCAAAAAATCTGAAGCCTTCGTAAAAATGAAAACGAAATTTTTAAAAGGGAAAATGGGAGAAAAAAGGAAGAAAGGCCAAGACAAAGATACCAAGAACCTGTGAGTGTCCTCCTCACCACATTCAGATGAGCTTCTGACCAGAATCTAGAACTCCTTCCTTGGCCACCAAAGCCTGGAAGTAGAAAGGCACAAGCCCAGAATTCTCCTTCCTGCCACTTCTCCCCTTAGGAAATTTAAGAATTCTGGGGAGAAGAGAAACATTTTCTGAGATCTGCACTGCTGGCTCAGATGCCCCTCCCCCTACATACAGGCACAGCTCTCTTTCTCAGGAAATGACTGTTCTGCAGGCCCCTATCACCCTCAACTGGTTAAACTACGTCAGCCCTGCTTCCCGGAGTCTCCCCACAGGCTTGGTACAAACCTCCCCTGTGTCGCTGGAAAAGCAGATCTCTTCCATCTTGTGGCCACTGGAGGTAAAACATTTTGACTTCAACATCCGTGAATGACTACAGCTGACTCTTCTTGGAAAGAATGTGCTGGTTCCTGAAACCCTGCCGGCTGCTGTATAACCTCCCGGACCTGAGGCGTGTCAGAGAGGATGCGTTCTTCAGTGCTGAGGTCACCCAACCCAACGGCAGCGCCGGCATCTGCACGTGATGCTAAGGGCTCTGGCAGCCTCCCTGCCCGGACCCAGGAGAAGCATGGACCTGCCCTGGCCCTTATGCAGCCGACTTTGCAGGGAGGGCCTGTGAAGTGAAGGCAGTCTGTGTCCTAGGTCCAGAACACTTGCAAACATCATCTCCGACCTTATATCCCTCGCCCCACAGGTGGCATCAGCTCTCCCATTTGAGGATGCGTCATGATGGCAGAGACTCATTGGTTCATTCATTCAACTGCATTCACTGTGCAGAAACTGATTCAGGCACCGGACATGCAGGATGGATGAGGACAGACATGGAGCTTACATCCTGGTGGGCCTCACAGGCTTCTCCAAGTCCGCCACACAGACAGGCTGAGCAGAAACAATGATAGGATTAAAGAAGGGAGCCCTGGGACAGGAGTCAGACCAGTTGTGACCCTGACTCTGCTGTTTTCTTGCTATGTGGCCTCTCAAAAGCATGTGAGTGTTCAAGACCTGTGTCCTCATCTGCAGCAGCATGGGTTGGAGAAGATGCGGTAGGGAGGCGCAAGGCGGCAGGCAGAGTGCTGGTGAACCTGCTGAGCCTGCGTGCCAGCGCTGCCCCCTGCTGGCTGTGTGACCTGTGCACAAGGATTACGCGCTGTTTTACTTCTCCAGCTACAAAGGAGAGAGCACCTACTTCATAGGGTTGTTGCAAGGATCGAAAAATAATGTCGAAGTCCCAGGAAGTTCCATGTGATACCGCCTCTCAGATGTTAGCTGCTGTTTTAATTATAGTTATTTGCTGGCACACAGCTCCCTGTAGGCTTCATAACTGTCAAAATGTGAGCAGAGGCGGGGTGCAGTGGCTCACGCCTGTAATCCCAGCACTTTGAGAGGCCGAGGCAGGAGGATCACTTGAGCTCAGGAGTTCCAGACCAGCCTGGGCAACATGGTAGACCCTGTCTCCACCAAAAATATAAAAATCTGTAGTCCCAACTACTCAAGAGGCTGAGTTGGGAAGATCGCTTGAGCCTGAAAAGTTGAGACCAGCCTGGGCGACATAGTGAGACTCCATCTCTACCAAAAAAAAAAAGTTAGCTGGGCATGGTGGCACATGCCTGTAGTCCCAGCTACTCCAGAGGCTGAGATAGGAGGATCACCTGAGCCCAGGAGGTCAAGGCTGCAGTGAGCCTAGATCTCACTACTGCACTCCAACCTGGGTAACAGAGTGAGACCCTGACTCAAAAAAAAAAAAAAAAAAAAAATGAGGAGACCTCCAAGGCGACATCCCTTGGGAAGCCTGTGGCTTAAAAAGGGCTGAATAACGACTGATATTCTCTTCCTTCTCTCTTGGCTCTCACAGTCGAGGCTTTGGGCAATCCAACTCCCTCCCGACGGCTGGCTCTGTGGGCGGTGGCATGGGCAGACGGAACCCGCGCCAGTACCAGATCCCCTCTCGGAACGTCCCTTCCGCCCGCCTGGGCCTCTTGGGCACCAGTGGATTCGTCAGCTCCAACCAGCGCAACACCACAGCTACCCCCACCATCATGAAACAAGGAAGACAGGTTTGTTCTGCCCCAAGGAAGGAGGAGGATGGCCAAGCTCAAGGCCCAAGGCTGCAGATGTCCCCCCAGGTGACCCCAGGGTGGGGAGAGAGGCCAAAGGGGACTATGCTGGGGGCAGTTGCCACCATTCCTCAGAGGTAACAGCATTGTTCGCGTTGTTCTCTAGCAGACAGAGCAACCCCATAGCTGTGTTTAGGATGCCCAGAGGACCACTTTAACCTTGGGGACCCTGCACAAGAGGACCTTTAGAAAGAAATGCAAGACCTATTTCTTCTTTGCCCCATGCTTGACCTTCTGCCACCCAAATCTGGGTTCCAGGAGAGCCTGGCATTTAGAGAAGTTTCTTGCCCTTTTTATCCATGGCAAAAAGCTCCTTTGTCTCAGTCCCAGCTCTGGTGGAGCATCCACAGGACAAAGTCTGAGAGAGTGTGCCAGGGGGAGAGTTAACACATTCTCAGCCTGCCCAGAGGTTCTTGCTGTGCAGTTTAGAGCTGACTTCTCTGGCCCGTCGCTCATACCCCTCTAGCCCCAGGCCCCACCCCTGCCCAGTGCCTTCCGCCTGTGTGCCCAGAGCTTCTCGAAGCTCTGTGGGTAGGGATTAGGATCAGAGGGACACAAGTAGGTCTGAGGTTCTGGGGTCTCAGGAGAAACTAAGGGATGACAGATCAGCTTAAAAACAGGAAAAGGGCTTCAGGCAAGACGGGCAGGATTCACTACCCAGGGTACCAGAAAGCCCCATCTTCTGACCATTGTCCCCAGCCCCCAGATCAGTTCAAGAAGACGTCACTGCTGGGACACACAGGCTGAGTTGTGCCAGCTCATTGCCAGCTGAGAGTTTCTTTTCTCTCCCCCTCGCTTTGGAGTACATTGTAAGAATCTTAAAAAAAAAAAAAAAAAAAAAAAAAAATCAGAGCCCTGAAATAGTTTGTGCTCTTCGTTGCATACATTTATAGAACTCCCCCATTTCCTAGAAAAGTGGCAGGGAAAAAGCAAAAGCAACAAATGCGATAAAAAGAGTTCTGCAGATAGGGAAAGAGGTGTCCAGATGAAGCTGAGGCTTACAGCAAGGCCACCACTGAGGAGGTGAAGAGAAATTACAGTGAATGGAATCTAAACCCTCTCTCTATAAATAAGCAGATGCTAGCACTGGCCTGCAAGCCCCTTTTCTAGAAGTTAGAGTTCTCCTGGGATCTTTGCCTCCCAAATTCTTGCTGGCGGCTCTGCTCTCCACCCCAGTGGGGCTGAACTAACAAGTTCCCCTTTTGCTTTTCTCACCAGAACCTGTGGTTTGCCAACCCCGGGGGCAGCAATAGCATGCCAAGCCGCACCCACAGCTCAGTCCAGAGGACCCGCTCGCTGCCCGTGCACACTTCCCCACAGAACATGCTGATGTTCCAGCAGCCAGGTAGGGCCCGGCGCTTCATGTCCCCTTGACACAGAGGGGAGGCCAAAATAGATGCCCTAGCAAACCCAGCCAGAAAGTGCTTAGCCTCGACTGTCACCGTGCATTCTTTGGAGCTTATAGAAGCCTTTCCTTTTTTAAACTGTGCCTTGCCAGCATGAATAGCGGCGGCTTGGCTGAGAGCCAGCATGTGGAGCCCCAGAGTTGGTTGCAATCGGATGGGGATATTTTTGATACTAGTCATATTTCTAGATTGATTAAACCAGAGATAGCACAAGAGGGCTTTGGTGGTGGGGAGGTGGGAGGGCTCCATGTGTAGTGTGTGTGTGTGTGTGTGTGTGTGTGGAAAGAGAAAGTGAGAGTGAGACAGAGAAAGAGAAAACTGTTGATGCTGAGACCTTCCCCCTGGTTTGGGCTTTTCTTGCAAAGTGATGACTGTTGTACCAGCCATCTTTCCTTTACTTGGTTAAAGAGCAACTTAGCACACTTCAGATCAATTTCAGCTTTCACTATGCTTCCTAAAACAGAGTGGTTGGAATTATGCACAGCTAATGAATACTTGAACCCTTTCTCTATGCAGGCAGTGATCTTGTAGACTTTGTAGACTCCATGAGTAATAACAAGCCACACAGGCAATTACACTGCACCTATCTGGATGGACCCCCCCCCACCCCCACTGCCCCAAGGCAGGCAAACTGGAGATGTGTTGTACCTGTAGGAAAATGCCCTGGACAGTAGAAACGCTCTGTCCAGTAAGTCCTATCTGTAGGAGTTTAAAGAAGAGAAGTGTTACTGTGGCCTGGAATAGGCAAGGAAGCTTCCTGGAGTTGGAGCTGAGCTTCAGGGCACAGCAGAGGGTGGAGAGAGGGAAGGCAGAGTTACAGGCAGAAGGAACCCAGGAGCAAGACTGCAAAGGTCCAGAATACCACAGCATGGCCCGGAAGCCGTGGCTGGGCCAAAGGGTCTGGCTGAGGTAGCAGAAAGTGGACCCAGGGAGCTGTAAAGGTCGTGGCCGATGGTGGGGGACTTTGAATCCAAAGCTGAGGAGCTTGGACTCTGGCCACTCTCCCTGGGGGGATTCCTCCACATGGGGGATTCCGAGTAGAAGTCAGGCAGGAGGGTGCAGGATGATGGGGTGGGGGGGTAGGCTGGAATTGGGAGGTCAGGGAGGAGGAGGACGCTGGAGGACACACTGCTGGGAACGGCATGTCAGGGAGGGGAGCGACAGCTACCCAGTGCAGAGGCCTGCTCACATTGCTTCTTGACTTCCAAAACTCTGCTCACTTTTGTTTTAAAGCTCCTTTTCTCTATATTTATGCACCAAAATATAACAATATAATTACACATATTTCTATATGCTTAGCTATTTTTCTTCCTGGGAAGAAACATGATAAAATTTGGGGGTTCTGAAGGCTTTATCCCAGGGTCCTTTCATCCCATCCTCTGTTTTCACGCAGAATTATGTATAATCCATTCCCAATAAAAAAGAATCTGGACAAGATTTGAAGAGGTCCTGCGCACAAGGAGATCTGTCACCTTGAATGGGTCTTTCACCCTGGCCTCAGTCTCACCAGCAGAGTGACCACTGTCTTCAATTCTGTATACCTTCTCAAGGCCTTCTTGATTTTTTCCCTTCCTGCCACTCTTTTGCCAGTTCTCAGCCTTCCTCTTTGTTCATACTGAATCTTCCCTGAGCTTTCTCCATCTTAACTGGGAAGACTAGGTCCAGACAGTCCCCTTTCTAAAAGCTGGGTTGTCCCGGAGCGCTTCGGGTTTGTTGATAGAATCTTCCACCTATACCTTTGTTTCCCCTCCACTATCTCACAGCAATGCCAAGTGGCTGGCTTGTGCTCAGGGCAACTATGAACCTAATATCATTTTCACTCTTCATGCAAACCCTCTTGTTCCTGTGGTTAAAGAATCAAATAATACAGAAGTGCTGTGAGCAAAAAGTGACTGTCTCTCTCCCCTCCCCTTCCTAGCCCACAGGCACAACCCCTTTTAGCAGTCTGTAGTTACCTGCAAGTCTCTAAATAATATGCTTCGCACACTGGACTTAAAACTCTGGAACGCTTTGAGTGTTTTTTTTAAAATCTCTCAAGTATTACAAACCCACTTCCAGCAAGGTCTTAAAGATCCTCACATGGCATTTTTAATAACAGCCAAAGCACAGGAAAAAGCCCGCTCTAAATTTCCTGATTGCAAATAAACCATTGAACGCTGGACAGGAGCCACTCCTAAGTCCTGCCCAGCACGCTCAGCACCATGCTGGGTGGCTCTTCCAGGACATGCATAAAGGGCATGATAGGGCAGGGCCTGGCCAGGACCCAGGATCCCTCACTGAAGGGGAAGGAGGCTGCAGAAGGCCCCTGCTTAAGGGCACAGGGTTGAGGTTCCTCAGCCCTTGCCAATCATTGTCAAGGCCACAGGTCACTGTAGTGACTTTTCCTTCCTCCCAAGGAGGCAGCCTCCTACCCAGGGACGACACCTCTGACCTCCAAGCAGGTCCAGACGAAGGCTCATCCTAGAGTCATAGAGTCAGGGTCCTCATCCTGGATTCAGAGCCGCTTCTGCTCTTCCTGGATTCAGAGCCTCTTCTGCAGATGGGCCTTTCCACACAAAGCAGTGCAATCTGGTTCGCTATGGAGACTTCCCGGGGCTTGTGGCCAGGCGTTAAAACTAGACTACAAATATCATGTCAGGACAGCAAAAATCAGGAAGTCAGAAAGTGGCTTTCATCTGTACATGAACAGGAGTAATAGTGAACACAAAATGAAATTGAGATGTGTAACTAACCCAAAAGTAGATACTCGGAAAACTGTTATCATACAATGCAGTGTTTTCCTCCTGGCTGTTAGATGTCTTCAGAGAATCCATTGTAAACTGGGCAAATCTTGAAGACTACAATGCATTTGAAGGATGCTTTCATTCTGTAAACCTAAAATAACTCTACTGATGGGAGACTTTAAACGTCTCATACAGAGAAGACAGAGGGCTAGAACCCACCAAGTTGCGGATCAATTCATCAGTCACCTTGCTCGGGTTTACAGGACTCATCCCTCGTTCCTGGTTCTACACAATTCACGGGCACTTGGAGGCCCCTCAGGAGTGGTGTTTCATGTTATTCCCACATGGACAAGCTTTTTTTTTTTTTTTTTTTCGAGACGGAGTCTCACTCTGTCACCCAGGCTGGAGTACAGTGGCGCAATCTCAGCTCACTGCAACCTCCACCTTCACATGGACAAGTTTTAGCTGTTTCCTGGGACCAGCCAGGAGACCCTTCAGGTGGCTATTGCCAGTGATGAGTAAGAAACACTACGAGGTGTAATACGCTCACCAGAAAACAAGTGTGGCGCCTGTGCGAATGGTCACGTTCCTCATGGAGGCAGGGCGTTTTCTCAACTAGATAACTGGTTTGGAAATTGCTTGGAGAGGGATCCTTTATTTTGGAAGCAACTAATTTCTACTGACCCAGGCTTAGTTGTCCTTGGGATCCAGTCAGAGAGGATCTTGGAGTGGCCCTGGCTCAACAGTAGGAGATCATGGAGGTTCTTTACCCCCTGGAGGGCCTAACAGAAAAGGGCAGGGAACCCCATAGCAGGCTTCAAAGGAAAACCTTCAGAAGGGTAGGCTGCACAGCCTTCTGAAAATCTCATTCTTCCCTTGCCCAAAGCCACATGCAAACTACCCTTGGTTGTGAACCAGCTGGATGTGAGCTGGGTCCAGTGGCACCTCACATGGCAGCATTTCATGGTGTGACTTACCTGATCACCACAGCAAACCTCCTCTAAGTACCAGCTCACAATTGGGATTCTTCTGCCATAAGCACGCTGCATATATCTGGGAGCACAGGGCTCCAGGCTGTTATTTTTCATTTCCTTCCGGAGAACTGCCTTTAGAAAGAATAGAGAGTTATTGGTGCACTGGGTCCAGTGGGGTGTGGAAGGGGCTGCCATGCAGAGGCAGAAACCAGAACAGGGACCCAAGTACAGTACTGGATAAATATTTCCTCCATGTCTTCTAATAAATCAAGGCAGACATCCCTGTTCAGGACTGGCAGACAATGGGTAGGGAGATTGATAAATAAATCAATTCTGTCATAGCCAAGAACCCAGCTGGGCCCACAGCCTCCTGCCTCTGAGCATCAACTTGGGGCAAGATGGTACAATATCATCTTATACCATGTTGTACCCATCACTTTTTGTGAAAGCGTTGGTCCCAGAGGACCTCCACAGGCACTGACCTTCTGCAGGCTTAGGAATGTTAGGAGGCCACCAGAGAAAAGGTGCGTTCCCATGGTCAACTCAGGGATGCTATTCATTACTCCTGCCACCCTCCATGGCCATCTCTGCCATCCTCAGCTTGCCTGCTGCCCCACCCCTCTGTTTCCCTGCCTGTGCCGTTTCTTTCCCTTTTGTTACCATCCTCCCCCTTTCTTCTTAGTTCTCTTGTCTTCCTTTCTTCTTTACTCATCTCATCACAGCAGACCAGGTCCCACTGCTCTGTCCCTTTTTGTCTTCCCTGCTTTCTCTCCTCCTAGCAACCCTGCTGCTCAGTGAACCAGACTCCACACCTTTCTAGTTATCCAACAGAGTTGCCTCCGCTGTCATTGGCAAAACGGGATTCTATAGATTTTTCCTGGAATGCCCCAGCCTGTTTCTTATTCTAAAGTCCTAAAGAAATTGGCTCCTTACCCTCAGTGCCTTGGAGAAAAAGCACTGCAGAATTGCACCGTGGGTGCCACACATGTGAGACCCAGCAGGGATGGACGGTTACTGCCAAGGACAAGCCCTTTGGGCTCCTCAGGTGGATGCTGCAGCAGCACCTCATTAGGGATGGGTAGCATTCTCTTCCGGAATCTTCTTGACCCTGGGCCTGAGCACAGGACTACTCCATACGTGTGGGACTTCTGAAAAGATACAATTAATGTCTCAAGTCAGCCTAGACCTTGGGGATTCCAAAACTAGCGATCCTTACTGAATACTGGAATACTGGTCCTCAGAGATGCCATCTGAGCTGAAGAAACATGCCTCCTTTGGGAAAGAGCAGAGGAGGCTCAGTTAAAGAGGGGTCTTTCCTTTTGCCTTCCTGAAGACTCACATCTCCATCTGCCTGGTCTGTGGCCACGAGGGGCAGGGGCCTGGGATAAATGAGATGGGCCCTCAGGGTTAACAGGAGCCACAGCAAGGGTTGGCCTGGTGGTTTATGTTGGTCTGTGGGGCAAGAGCTGCCCGAATGCCCCTCTGGGGCACCTAGCCCCATACAGCTGAGGGTTCCTAGCCTGAGATGGAAGCTGTTTTCCACCCAACTGGTCTTTCTGTCTTATACGTGCGGCGAGATGGCATGGATCTGTTTTTATCAAATACACAATTAAAAAGTCACACTATTAGGAAACTCTGCAGTGTGAACATATGGGCTTCTCCCAAGACTTAGAATTTTTCAGAGCCACTCGGAGTGTTGGGGGTCACGGCTCCCCAGTGCATGGAAGCAAAGAGCTGGGGAGAAGAAGCGAACACCCCCACTTCCCACCTAAAAGAGCAGCCACGAAGGTTTGGGGATTCTGGAGCGGAGAGCCCTGCGTTTCTCAGCCCCCTTTTTGGAACACGCAATCCCAGGCTTGGAAAATGGCATTTTGCTGCGTGTTGGCAAGAAATCCTGCAGCTGAAACACTTCTCTCCAAATGTCGAGCATCTTTATTTATCCAAATCTCTCCACAGTGTTTGTTTAAAGGGGAGCGCTGGAGAGTAAACTAAATCTTACAATGAGCATATGGATGGCTATAATTGCTGAGGTTTGTTTTTTTTTTTCATATTTGCTAACTCGCTATATATAAAATTGTGTTTCTATTTTATAGATTTCACACCCTGAAGACTGCTAATTTTTGCATGCATATGATTTTCACATGAATGGATGAAAATACTAAAATCTCTTCCCCCTGGAATTGTCTAATTGCCCCGACCCTACTCTAACAGCAACTAGTGGGTGGGGGCGGTGGAGACTCCTGCCATTCTCTGTGGCACCCCACTTCCCTGGAAGCTCAGTCGGCCTCCGTCTGCTCACGTATTGGCACGGTTGTCTTCCAAACCCATCGATGCCGGAACATGGGTCAGGAAGAACACAGTCAGCTCTCTGGTGCTTTCCATAGCGTTCCTTTTTGCCAGGCTTCTGAGATTTTTAAATAACGGAAGCAACATCTGCCTCTGAATTAGCTGACAATGGGAAACACACATTGCAGAGATTATCTTAATGTATAGCAAATCAAGGAAAACAAAACTTTGACTTAACCATTGGTTTCAGCTTCCTATCCCACCAAGCCACCAACTTCGTTTCACTTCTCTTTCTTCTCTCTCTGGCCCCATGTGCTCCCTTGGTGGAGACATGAAGGAGCAGGCAAGTGGCCTGCAGGGGGACCCCGGGATGCTTTGCCCACTTGACAGGTAGAGGAGCTAAGGCCCTCAGCATGGAACAGGTTCCCAGGCTCACAGAGGAAGGTGGTGGCAACACGGAGACTTCTCGGTCACCTGGAACACACCCCGCTGTGGACACCCCCTCTGGGACTTTTTTTCTGCCTCTCCCCTTAGGATTTTGCAATTCTTTTCAAACCAGTGTCACAAAACTTTAAAAAAAAAAAAAAAAACAAAAAGGATTTCACAACTCTTAGCTGTCAGAGTTTCCTTCTACTTCTTCTACTTTCTCTTTTTCTTCGCTCAGTAGACATGTATGAGGCAGAAGGCCAGGGCTGGGCGCTGTGGGAGATTCAGAGAGATAGGGAAGCATCATCACTGTCTACAAGGCACTTCCAGGTAGTTGAGGACATTTAAAGTCGCCACTGGATGAGGCCTGCGGAGGTGCTGACAGTGAGGGCTCCAGCAGGTGAGAGGAGGTGGCTCCCAGACACTGCCTCCTGCTCACAAGAGGCGACATTGGAACCTGGGGAGATAGAGGGGTTCCAGGTGGTAGAGGGGAGATTGTGGTGAGAATGTGCACAGCACTGTCGGTCAGTGGGAGCCGAGCCCCTACTGCCTGCAGAGTGGGTGTCTCAGCCCTTGATTCTAGAGGCCCTCGAGGCTGAGTGTGTTGACAGTTACCTGCAGTTGCTGTGGCAGGTGGCTGAGCCCCGGCTCTGGAGTCAGAGAGGGTCTTGTCCCAGCTTTGTGTTAGTTGGCTAACTTTGATGAGTGACTTCACCTCTCTGAACCCCACTTGGGCTTGTTGGGCAGATTAAGGAGCCCGCACACCTAAAGCCCCCCACGTGGTCTCACACTAAGAGGTGCGTGCTGGGCCCTGGCTTTCCTCTCCCACTCTAGATGCATGCCAGGCCCTGCTCTAGGCACAGGGGGCAGAGCCATGTTCTGCTCCAATGAGGTGAGCACTCAGCGGGGTCAGGGGAGGGGGACAGTAGAAAGTGAATACAAATATCAAATATGACAGCTGTGGGCGAAGGCTATGAAGAAAAATAAAGCAGGGGAAAGGGATAGTGTGGGGGCATGGCTCATACAAGGAACAAAGTCCTTTCCAAGGAGATGATAGAGCCAGAAATGTGAAGGCAGGGAGAGCCATGGAAACCACCCCAGGGAACAGCGGTGCAAAGGCCGTGAGGTAGGAGGGGGCCTGGGGCAGAGCAGAGGAAGGAGAGAGCTGTATGAGGGTACAGAGATAACAAGGGCCTGGATCATGCGGGGCCTTATGGGCCAGGGCAGGAGGTTGGCTGTTACTTTGATGGGAGGCCGCTGGAGGGTTCTGAGCAGAGGAGGCACAGACTGTGACATGACCAGCTATTTTTAGTCTCCGTTTTGTTCCAGGTTCCCAAGTTCACAGTGGACTGTGTTTAACAGACCTTAGAGGTTGGTTGAGCCTGAGTGGAGCCCCTTCCATGCCAGCGCTGACAGTCCCCAAGTCCTCCCAGGGAGGTACACCAGACCTTTCTCCTGAAGGTGGAACCAGGTGGCACCCTGCTTATCTCCTCCTTGTCACCAACATAACCCTTTATCGCCTGCAGAATTCCAGCTTCCCGTGACCGAACCTGACATCAACAACAGGCTGGAGTCGTTGTGCCTCAGTATGACCGAACACGCCCTGGGAGGTGAGTGTGTTCTTCCTGCATGTCCCCATGTCCCTGTTACCGTGTGCCTGGGAGAACTGGCCATCTGCTGTCTATACCGTGGCAGGAGCTCAGGAGAATTGGGGGAGGACAAGGAGGGGTAGGCAGGGGACAGGGAGAAAGAGTGGCCTTAGGGTACTGTTGGACCATTTTCCAGCGGCACCATGCCAAGTGGCCAGTGCCCTGTTTCTCCTCCTTTTCTGGGAGGTGAGTCAGGGACCTGGCAATCAAAGCTGTCCCTCTGTCCCCAGAAGCTCCACCTCCCAGTGCACATGGGAATCACACCACAGCAGTTGTCCCAGCCAAGTGCCAGGCCTGGAGGAGTCAGGGACATGAGACATGGCTTTTAGTAGGAATATCCCGCACAACACTGGATGCTTCCCTTCTCTGCACTAGATCCCCCAGCCTGGTCCAAGCATAGCCCAGCTTGCCTTAGAAATATAATTTTTGAAAAACAGAAAACCCAGCTTGTTTGTGTATCTCCCAGTTGCAAACAACTTTCTTGACACCTGGAGCCCAAAGCAGGCTGAGGTGTCCTTTCCTGTGTGACAGGGACAGGTTGAGTTAGAGGCGCCTGCACGTCCACTGCCCAAGCCCAGAATGGGGGCTGTGCTGTGCAGGGCTGTGGCCCCACAAGCAGCTCACAGAAGCATCTGTGCTCCCCCGTGTGTTTGGCTGGAAGCCATGCTTGGTCACAGCAGCCCTGGGAGGCCTTCAGCTCCCTCCTGGTACTAAGCGGGCACCTTTCTCTGGGCCTGGATATTTATGATGCTTGGCAGGCAGAGGAGAGAAGAGATGTCTGCCATTTCCTGCCAGCTTCCTGGGAGGCTCTGTGCCACAGAGACACAGAGAGGCCTCCTGTGAGCCTTTCCAATAGCCCTATCCAGTCTACACTTGCTCTTAGCCAAAAGGCCGAGAAGCGATAGCCCTATCCAGTCTAGACACACTTACCCACCCAGAGAAGGGCTGTCTGCACACCTAGAGCCAAGACGTGCGCCACCTGGCAGTGGTGGGGAAAAGACTGCCATCCTCTGCTGCTTCAGAGAGCCTTGTCCTCCAGACCTAAGGTTGTTAGATTTTTAGTCTCTGCAAACACAATCTTATCCTGAAACCAAATATGAAATAGATCAGTGCTCTGCATGGAGCAGAGTGGTGGGCCCGGGACCACACCCACCTGACCTTAGCATCAGGGGGAGCTGAAAGCCTTCCAAGGGCATCACAGAGCTTCACCAAACAGATGGTGGGAAGACACAGCCCCTTCTGTGACTTCCCCCAGAGCTCTATAAAGAGCCTCATTTGCGAGCCACTGCTCTCTGCCTTGGCCATTCAGATCTCAGGAACATCACTGGGCCATCCCTGGTACCTCTGGCAGGAGGTGCTGCCAGCTCATCTTTACCTCATAGAGGAGACTGGGTCAGCAGCCCCCTAATGAGAAATGGGAGACAACTCAAATGTCCACCAAAGGATGAACATGGCTCAAAAAAATGTGGTGTATCCAAACAGTGAAAGAGCATTCAGCCTTTAAAAAGCAAAGAAGTACCAACCTATGCGATGCAGTGGATGAATCTTAACATTATGCTGAGTGAAACAAGCCAGGCATAAAGGACCACAGAGCGTATGATTCCATTTATGTGAAATGTCCAGGATAGACTAATCTACTGGGACAGAAAGTAGATGAGTGGTTGCCAGTGGCTGAAGGGAGGAGGATGCAAATATTCTGGAATTAGATAGTGGTGAGGGTTGCACAGCTTTGCAAATATACTAAAAACCACTGAATTGTATACTTTCAAAGGGTGCAATTTATGATATGCAAATATTTCAATTAAAAGTAGTAATGACAGTCTCCCTGGGGCCAGAGTTAGGATAGCAGCTGGTGAGTGAGTCCCCTGAGCTGGCACCTGCCAGAGCTCTGACATGGGGAGGGAAGCCCCTGTGCTCCCCTGCTCGACAGTGGCCAGCTGGGTGGGGGACTGACTCAGTCTTTCACTGCTTTTGACCAAAGAAAAAGGAGAACTGACCTTTTCCCCCAGGGCTTGATACATCTCAGACAATTGGCATTTTGGAGGCTCATATCAAACTGCTAAGTACCAACATTATCATCATTAGCAGCAAGAATACCAAATGCTCTTTATTAAAGGAAGGTTTTCATTGAAAAGACTTCGTTTTTTTCAGTCTGTTCTGTTTTTACAGAAAACCTCTCTGAACCGATGGGTTTTTTGCTAATGTTTTCATCTTGTTAATCTCCTAAGCTTTTTTAGTGCTGTGTTTTTTCCCAATGATCTCCTCTGGTGGGAAGCCTCGTAAGCAGTTTCCTGAGCAGAGAATGCAAATTAAGTTCAGGGTGGCCTAGTTGGGCACAGTGGCAGTGTGCCCTCCCAATATGACAGAGCTTCTCTGCTGGCCAACCCCTTCCAGGTGCCAGGAAAGATGGCCTTGCTGGAGACAGTATGCTAATGAGTCAAGTCCTTTTATGGGAAGAGGAACGGGCAGGGAGAGGAAAGCACAGTGAAAGAGGTTCCAATGCTTGCAACTCAGGAATGGAGAAAGAGAGGCTCACATCTGTTGGCCTCTAGGATTGGTGATCTGACACCACTGACACACTCAGGGACCATTGCTTCCTTTCTTTAAAATCTCCCCTAAAATCATACAGAACTTATATACAAGTGCACTGGGTCTGTTTGGACTATTACTTACAACAGCATGTGAACCTACAGTTATCTCAAAAGTTTCAACTGAGGAAGTGCTTCTCCTCCAAGGCCCCACTGGCAAGAGTTGCCAGCCTGGCTCCACCCACAAGGAAGCCAGGAACCAACCCCCTGTGGTGGCCTCAGCACGCCTGTCACTTGGGTCCTCCAGCTTTCCCTGGAACACACTGCCACTCCCTTCTCACACCCAAGTTCTGCCAAGCAAATAGAGATGCTGCATCTGGTGGACCAGTTCTGTAATATTGGGGCTTGGACTGGGACATCAGCAAAGCCAGGGAGGCACCCCACAGCCCTGTCTCACCCACATTTAGTGGTCACTGAACGCAGTTATTCCTACCGCCTGTGATGGCTAATCCATGCCTCTCTCTGCTCACTGGAAAAAATCCTTGTCAGTTCTGGCACAGACTGTTATAGGGGCCTCTTAACTGGTCCACCTGCCACCAGCCTTATCCTTCCTCAGGTTATCTGATGCAGCTGCCAGAGAAACCATTCTAAAATTAAATCTCATTACTCTACTGCTTATAATTCCCCAACTACCTACCTCTAAGCTCTTGTTCATGGTATGCAAGACCCTATGGTCTGCTCCTGGGGACCGTTCTAGAACCCACGTGTAAGCAGACAGCCAAAAAGGGGCCGGGCAGGCCTCACACCTCTGATGGTCATATCCCCTGCCTTCTCTGTAGCCTGGGTCATCCACTTCTCCAAAACGTAGATGTGGCAGATTCTGGGCGGCCTCAGCACTCTCCCACCTCCCCAAGACTGTTCAGTTCTAAGTGCCCACAACACCTACCTCAGACATCTCTGCCTTTGATCAGATTCTCGAGACAGAGAATCTGGATTTGTTTGGGTCAGATGTGTCCATCCCTCTGGTCTGCTCAGCTGTGGACAGGGTCACAGCCACCTTGTCCCCAGTGTCTCATCAGGGACGTGGGTTGAGAAGGAGAGGCTGCCAAAGAAAGGGATGTGAGCTAGACAGGTCCACCTGCGTGTCCGTTGCAGCCCCTGCCTGGCTCTTCCACCCCATCTCCTCTACTGCATTCCCCATCCTTCATCCTAAACCTCCAACGCACCCTCAGCTCCACCACCGGATGACCTATCATCCCACCTATGCATGCACCGCACACCATCCCCACCCTCCTCCTCCTGCCAGCACCAGCTACAAAAGTCACTTTGTATCTCTCTGAAACTGTCCTTGACTTCCCAGGCCAACCGGGCAGCCATCATTCCTTCCTCCACGATCCTGCTCTCTTGGTACCTACTCCATTACAGCAGTGATCACATATAGCATTATTGTCTGTCTACATGTCTGTGTCTACCCTCAAATATAAGTACTTGGGAGGTGAGGATTAGATATTTTCATCTTGGTTCTCAGGTTCAATATGGCTCCTGGCAAAAATAGCTGTTCCCCAGATATCATGTGGGTGGGTATGTAAATGCGTGAACACATGAACGTAGGTGCCCTTCTCTGCCCTCAGAGGCTGGGAGGCCCACCGTGCATGGCGTTGGCATAGGTGGGCACGAACTGGATTGTTTTGCTCACCTGTGCCCATCGTTTGCTGCTTTCTCTCCCAGACGGGGTTGACCGGACCTCCACCATCTAGAAGCTGAAGACGAGAGTGACCGCGCTGGCCGTGAAATCGACTGCTGCGGGTCCAGTGTCCGCCATCTTCAGGGTTGCACAGAATCCTCCAAGATACTTTGCAGCCTTTTTTCCCCCTGGTCCCTCTCCCGTTTTGATTTTGTGAGAGCGTAGGTCATCCTCGTAAACATATCAGTAGACCTGGGGTTGGTTATTTTGTCATTTGTTTCTGTCATGGGATGGTTTGGTGTGTGGGGTGGGGAGGGGTCTCTAGGGAATTATGAGACTGGGAGGGGGGTGGAGGGAATGCAGGTAGCTCTCTGGATGGAACGGGGACAGGGGAAAGAGTACTGCCATGAAAGAGATAGGAGACACATAAGAGGACAGCAGAAGCCCTGGCCCTGGGGAGGCTTCTCGGAAGGCCTGGCTTCACAGGCAGGCCACAGAAGGATATCGCGGGCACGTGCACCCAAAGCAAGATAGTGGCTTCCCTTTTATATCCAATCTAATCCTGATTGGATGTCCCTGAGGCCCCTGCTGGAAACAGCCATAGGAGAGGGCCCATGGCAGTAGGGGAAAGAAGGAAGAAATTCCCTGCAACAAAACTTCAGCTAAACTTTGATTTGTGTATTGTTTACATAATAATTTTAAAGGGTACATAATGTGTAAAGAGTTTGGATAGAACCTCTCTTCATACTATGGTTTTCGTAAAGGATCTGTTGTTGTTACGGATTCATTTTTTCCCTCTATTTTTATAAGAGCAGCAGAGTTGTCTTCTCAAAACGGCTGCCAAGCTCTGCTTCTTGGGAAGATGGATGCAGTCATGTAGGCCTGAGCTGTCCGTCTTTCACCGTTAGGTGGGAGGAGCGTATGGGTGGACTTGAAGGACATGGACGTGGCTGGAATGAGCACAGCATTGGGTGAGCGCACAAGGATGAGGACATCATGTGATCAGTTATGGGTTTGCTCGCAGGGCACCCAGAGATTCTCAAAGAATCCTGCAGCCTCTTTCTGTGCTGGATTTGCTTGTCACGGAGAGGCCTCCCTCCCTTTCCACCCCACCCATGGGGCATTATCCTGTCACTCCCAGCCTTGCTCCACACACACACAGGTGGGTACAAGTTCCACTGGAGGAGAAAAGGCAAGGATGGACTTTTTCCCCTTGTGAGAGGTTTGATACCCAGAAAATGAGCTCAAAACCTTTACATTAGGGTTGCTTGTAGGAACTGGAGCCTGGAGGCTGCATCTACTTCACCTGTCACTGCTGAGGGAGAGGAGGGGAGAAAGGCCCAGCAACAGCGTACAGAGGGGTCAGTCAGCAAGTCCAGAGAGCACATGCAGGGAGATGTTTGGCCCACACCGCACAGCCCCGCCATCTCCAGTGGGCGATGAAAGATGTAGGAAAGGTTGATTTCAAGATGGAAATGACAGCGCTATCCGCACAGTATGAATTAGGGATTTGCTGTGTTAGTTGATTTATCCATCCACACAGAGGGGAGGAAAAAGACACTCGTTACTTGGTGGGAGATTGAGAAACTGTGGTACCTACCACAAAGTAATAGCTCTGTTTATGAAGGGCAAGAAAGGCTACATTTCAGAATTTGACACAGTGGAGGGTATTAGAGGAAATCAAAGAGGAGTTGTGTGGAAAATCAGGTTGTGTAAATGAAGGTATGAATGCTCAGCCAGAGGCAAGATCAGGGAGATGGTACAAGGCCTGTTTGTTACATGGATGAGTCGGGTGCCTGGTTGTGTGTGTGTGTGTGTGTGTGTGTGTGTGTGTGTGAAGTCAGAGTTGAAATTCAGAAGATCAGACTATGGAAATCACTGCCCTTTTTTTTTTAAAAGCTAATGAACTACATACAGACCTAAAAGGCCTTAATGAAATCCGAACAATTTTCTTTTACTTTCAAGATCAAAAACATGCACCCAACCCAGCCTTGGATGCCACCACCAGGTTTTTGAAGCCCTTTTGAGTCTAAGAAGGTGAGAACAATGTAACCATAGAAAGCCTTTCGTGAGCAGAGAAGGCTTGAATCCACAATTTCATTCGCTGAATTAAAAAAAAAAGGTTCAGACCTCTCCTTGGGTGACTAAGTTCTAAAGATGCAAATCCATGTGCAGAAAGAGATGGCATTTTTTAGTTGATTATTTTTAACCAAGTGCCATTAACATTCATCCCCCACATCCCTTTTCTAAACAAGCTTAGTGTTACTTGGGGAATGTGTTGGGATGGACGATCACATGTAAGGCAGGAAGAATAGGTCAAAGGTTGAAGGCCAAAGGTAAGACCAGAGGGTTTGCGAATGTGGGTTTGTAGGATACTGAGAAAGTGAATAAAGAGGAGAAAAAACCATGGTATTACACATCTTGCTGAGAAAGGAAAGCATTCGGATCTGCTGCAAAAACACATATATCCATAAAGACTCATGTTATTCAGAAAACAGATTGTGAACACAATCACATTCGCATGAATCCTTTAAAAGGAAGAAGACCTTAAAGTATCTGCAAATCTGAATTTCTATTTATTCCTTCACTGAATATAGAAACAATGGTTATCTGATTATTAGAGATATTATTTTGGATATGTTACTTATTAACTTGCTATGGCTGGTAACCATGATAAAGTCTGTTATTAATAACAACATAATTCTTTTTTTAAAGAAGAAAAGCTTATTTTTCATTGACAGTGTATAGATTTATCTACTTAGTTGTGTTTTGCTATTAGTGTTTTAATTTTTTTTTTAAGTTGAGTGTTTGATAAATTTTAAGACCCTGTCCCCACCTTGTTTTGAGTCCTGTGTTGACTACAGGTATATAGCTCAATTTAAAAATCCTAAAGCAAAAGAATTTTATTTATAAAAGAATCAAACAGTTGCATGCATGAGGCTGTGAAGTCAGATATTTAGTAATAAAAGCAGCAGTGCCTTTTTTTGTATTTACCCATTGACCCCCACCAAATGCAACTGTTTTATATTAAGAAAATAGTAACAATTTTAAAATCTCAGAGTAAAATCTATTTCACTACATGCTTTTCCCCCCTTGTTCTGATTTAAGCAGTGTGTACTTGGCATCTCTACATTGTCCTAGGGACAGTGGTGTTCTACAATATTATCATGTATGATGTTTTATTGGTGCTTTTTATTCATAGTGGCTTCTTACCAGAAACAGTAGGAAGAAACACATGAACTGTGTACAAGACATGAAACATTGCTGCTGATATGTTGTTTTTTCACATGCTTTTGAGTTTTCACTTTTTAAACGAGAGCCAGCAAGCAAAATAGATGTGGCTGGGTCTGCCTGTCCGGGCGGCTCTTTGCACCGAGCTCTCAAATCCTGTGTATTGAGGGTTCCTTTTTGGTACTCAGGATTGGAGCTACAGCTGGGCCCCCCTCTCTCCCATTCGTTTGAAGAGACACTGAGGGAAACAAGGGTTTCTTTTGAGGTGTCCTTGGCTGCCTTTTACGGGATGGGAGCCTTCTCCGGATCTTTTGTTCTTCTGCACCTCTTGTAGCTACTGCCGGTGCAAGGTTGTAGATGTTATTCCCCAGGAGCCTGGGCTTGGGGGCTGAGCTGGGCTGAATGCAAAAGCATGCAACCAGAAGGCGGGCAAGGGGAGGAAAAGCAGGCCTGGCCTCATTGGTCCCCTGGAGATGTCTGTAGCAGTCAGCTCCAGCTTGGGCCTGGGGAAGCAGCCTGACCAAGGCGCTCAGGTGTGCCTGTTACAAGAAGAACCTGCAGAAGGATAATTTGCACATGGAGCTGTGATAACACTAATGTTGATTTTTTTTTTTTTTACAAGTCATCAGAGATGTTTGCAAAGTGAGTTTTATTTTTTTGTAATTCCTTTATCTTTACTTAAAGGTGAATGTGTATTCCTCTGGGAGGAATAGGAAGAAAACAGGAATGTTAATAATGTCGAACAGAAAACTTCCTCCCTTATTAATATATAATCCTCATGTATTTATGCCTAATGTAAGCTGACTTTTAAAAAGCTTTCTTTTGTTGCATGCCCTGTGCAGGCATCTGTATTGTACATGCATGCCTTTCGTCCTGTTTTCCTGTATAAAGTTAGTGAACAAAGAAATATTTTTGCCTAGTTCATGTTGCCAAGCAATGCATATTTTTTAAATTTGTCATATATGGAAAGAGCATGTTTGTTACATGTAAAAGCTTTACTGATATACAGATATACTAATGTTTGAAGATGCTGTTCTTTGCAAGTGTACAGTTTTCAAATGTTGTTACCAGTGAAACACCCTTGTGGTTTAAACTTGCTACAATGTATTTATTATTCATTTCCTCCCATGTAACTAAGAATCATGGCTATATTTCATATCAACGTTATATTGAAAGTGAAGGGAAATGATTAATACAAGGTTTTGTAACACTGGTGTGTCTTTTTCTTTTTTTCAACATACATGATTGAATAGAAAATAAGAACTGAGGCCTGGCGTGGTGGCTTATACCTGTAATCCCAACATTTTGGGAGGCTGAGGCAGGTTGGTCACTTGAGGTCTAGAGTTCGAGACCAGCTTGGCCAACATGGTGAAACCCTGTCTCTACTAAAATACAAAAAAAAAAAAAAAAAATAAGCCAGGCATGGTGGTGCATGCCTGTAATCTCAGCTGCTTGGGAGGCTGAGGCAGGAGAATCACTTGAACCTAGAAGGCAGAGGTTGCAGTGAGCCAAGATCGCACCACTGTACTCCAGCCTGGGCAACAGAGGGAAATTCTGTCTCAAAAAAAAAAAAAAAAAGACGACAAGAAGAAGAAAAGAAGAACTGAGTCAAATAGCCCCCTCAAGGAAAAACCAGAATGGGATCTCTGTTAACTATTCCCACCTGGCCATTCTGCACATGCCACATCTTTAGCTATGAGCTGCTTTTTAACAAAAATATGGAGAGAGGGTTTTAGAAATGTTTGCAGTTTGATCTGTGCCCAAAACAGCCAATAAATTTGTCACCAGACTTAGGGGCATGTTTCTAAATACAAACTCTAACTTTACAGACATTGTTGTTTATAGCTTGTTCCCCTCATTGTCTTTGAAATATTTCACACCTTAATCATGGCATCAAGAAACAGCCTCTTTGGAGCTTACCTATCCATGGCTTGAATCTCATTCTAATATTTCTAATTCCTGTACGATATACATTCTAAATATTGTGTCAGTTAAGCATATGAGTGGAGAGATGCACCTGGTTTTGAATTCTGGCTCAAGCATTCTCTAGCTGTGTGATCTTAGACAAGTTACTTATGTCTCTAAGCCTTGGGTTTGTTTTTTGGCTTATGATATTCAAAGTTTATATAATTAAACCTCTAATAAAAGGTGAAAACAAAAGAAAACATATGATAGAGAGGTTCCTGCCACCATAGCCTAGCAACCCCAGAGTTCTGAGAGGCAGCCACAGCTTGACATTATGACAGTGACCACACAGTGACTCCCTTTTGATCAGGCTCAGCTGCTCAACTGACATGTAAAACCGAAATTGGTCCCTGGAAGCAAAATTTCTCACAGGCTGAGATGTAAAATGTAATTCCTCATAAAGTTGAATCCTTGTAACCCAGATGAGCTATATCTAGTATGACTGCAGTATTATAAAGGAAGGAGAGAGGAGTGTGCAAGAGAAAATTTGAGCCTCACTTTGAAATGCGTGGAATGAGGGTAAATGTAAGAGTTGTGAGCTTAAAGGAGAGGGACCATGAAGAGCTCAGCATGGTGTCTGAAGAGGGGTTGCTTAGTGATTTTTATCAGCAAAGCTGTAGCTCTTTGCCAGTGATCTTTGTTATAGAATGTTCATTCCTGGAGAAAACATTACCCATAGAGGAAAGCAGCTAGGACGCCCCTCAACAGCCTCCCTTCCAAAATGAGATTTAATGCCACTTGTTAGAGGGGAATGAACATGTATATAGCACAATGGTTTGGAAGAGGCTGCAGGGGATTTGAGCCGGGAGTCCAGAAGTGGGTCTTATCTGCACATACTCTATGTGCTAACGCAGACAGGAGCTAAAGAGGCAGCACAAGCCAGGAATTCAAACTCTGATGGAAGTTTCTTGTTCCCTTGGACAGTCACTACATCTATCACTGGACCTGACTCACAATCAGCCCAAGACCTACTGTCCCCAGTGGTTGTAGGGAAGGTTGGGGGACAGCGCCTTCATCAGTGAAAATGTCATCCACAACCAGTGCTTAATCCTTCTCTAGGAAAACATGGAGCCTTTAGGGTGGCTCTGGCCCACCCAAGAGCACCATTGTGGCAGCCCACACTTTGCCATTTTCCCCCATAGTGCACCCCAGCACCAGTCTCACAGATGTCATTCCACAGGCTTCTGTAAGCACTTCCACGTTTGCTATTTTCCATCCATACCTCTTAACACTTGAAAGCCACCCCTTCACTGGGCCCTTCAGCCTCTGGACCCTTAGCAGTAGCTCTAGGTCCTCCTAGCTTATCCAGTGAGTCTCAAACCATCTGTGAATTCCAGTTGTGATACTGGTTGGTTTTTTTCCAATTTACATAGTCCAATTATTTTGTAAAATACAATAAAAATAAACTCACAACTTCCCTCCCCCAATATCTTATTTAACAGACAAAAGTATTTCATCCAACTGCTATAAAGTATTTCTATTCTGGCTCCCTAAGTTCTGAGGGCAACCTGCAAAATTCAGTATGGGAGACTGCTCTCAGGATGAGATGATGGAAATCCTGATACCAACATACCCCTAACCAGGCCAAGAATGCCCTCAATACAATAGAGAGGGACGCATCAGGTCAGAGGGGTGCCTCAAAGTTGGCCCAAGAATGGCGACTGATTTGTTCACTCATCATTTCTAAAAGCTGAAAGCAAAATAGTTGGGAAAGGGGACATGGGGAAAGAAGAGGAAGGTCCAGGAGGTAACGGGACTGGTGGTGGGAGGTTAGAGCCTGAACTGGAAGTCTTTGGAAGTGGGTCAATTTTTAGAGCGCTGTTTCCAGAGCAACCCTTAGACCATGGCCTTTAGACTTCCCACTGTCGGTTTCTGGCCTCTAGAGATTAAGAACAAAGAATGATGTGTGTGTGTGTGTGTGTGTGTGTGTGTGTGTGTGTGTGTGTGTGTGTGTGTTTCTGTCTATACATTTGGGAGACATGATTGGGAAATTGGGACACTTTGGCAAAACTTAAGCCTTATAACTCAGTCATCACTGAGGAGCCTGGAGCCCCATTGGAGCAAATGATTATTCACAGTGCACACTGTCCTCCCAAACTTCAACCCAGCCCACTGGCTTCCCACAACCTGCCTTGCCCATGGGGCTCTTGTCCACAGACATTGACTTCTCTGTGACGTAAACCTGGGAATTCAATGTCCAAGAATTTCCTCCATGGAATATTTTTCACTCTTAAGTGGTTTCTACTTCAATTTTTGAAACCAACAGAGAAATGTTCTGGCAACCTTATAAAGCTTGTGCTTTATAAAATATCCCTTTGTGTTTACGTTTGACTTGGAGTGCATGTTTTTAAATAGTGTGTTGCACAGTTTTTTGAGGTTTTGTTTTTTAAGTCTAATCCAGGAGAAACAAAATCGGAGCTTTGGTGAGTGAAATGGTCCTACCAGAGCTGTTGTTACTTGGGACTGCCAAAAAGCTCCAGTTAAATCTTCCTGTGGGAACCACAGCCAGGCCTGGGTGTCCCTCGGCTTTCTCCAGTGTTGGGACATATTTCTGGTTGTCCATGTCAGAAAAAATTTTTGAGAGGGTCTCTGTCACCCAGGCTGGAGTGCAGTGGCACAATCACAGCTCACAGTAGCCTCAATCTCCCCAGGCTCAGGTGATCCTTCCGCCTCAACCTCCTGAGTAGCTTGGACTGCAAGCAAGCACTATTACACCTGGGTAAATTTTATTTTCTGTAGAGACAAGGTTTTGCCATGTTGCCCAGGTTGGTCTCCAACTCTTGAGCTCAAGAAAGCCCCCCACCTCAGCTTTTCAAAGTGCTGGGATTACAGGTATAAGTCACCACACCAAGCCCCATAAAACAGCCTCAGTTAAGTGAGGTCAGGAGAACCTACAAACCCAAATCAAATCTGTCCAACTGGACCTCAGCAATTTGCTTTGTTATATTTATCCCAGATCTCTTCACTGAGAAGAGGCTAAACATTGATTTCCTATGATTGTTACTCATCCAAGATGGATGAGTATAAAGACAGCAAGTTGTGGATGAGAGAAAATGCATATATGATGAATCATTCTCCTCCATCCATTGTCAGTTGTGCCAATCCAATTCCAGGGCAGTGAGCACATTCTACACACTTTCTCTTGTTCCTGTGCTCTGGGGTCTGGACTACTTCATCTTTTAGCCAACTCCATTTTGCTCTTGTAAGACACAGAATCCAAGCCCTCATTCACCTGAAGTTCACTGAGTTTACCCAGTGTGTGCCTTTTTAAGAGAAAAAAAGAGATGAGGGTCTGCATTCCCAGGCTGGTCTTGAACTCCCAGCCTCAAGCAATCCTCCTGGCTTAGCCTCCTGAGTAGCTGGGATTACAGGAGTGAGCCACCACACCTGGCCAGATGTGCATCTTAAGTGTTTATATTCAACCCATCCTCCAAACCACAAAGATTTAAGGGGACAGGCTGTCTTCCTTGTACACAGGCTTGATGAGGACAGGGTGCTAACCAACTGGATGTCTGGAAATAGGAGATACCTTGCAGGACACAAGCACCAATTTCCTTCTGCAAATGGGAGGTGAAGTCCAGAGTTACAGTGAGGCGACTTCCCTATGGCCACTTGGGAAAGCACGAGATGCCTCTGCAGGCCCCTGGGGCTCTTTCAGTCTCTTAGCCTGAATGATATGAGCCCAGGAGTAAGCATGCCTAGAAGAGGGCAGGAGGGAGAATAAAGCCTGCTATGCTGCTCCCCAGGCAGGAGACGGACACCCCCCAGAGGGGGCAGAGCTCTGCCCTGGTCCTCGGGTTCCCTGGGGAAGCCTCCTCACCCATGGCCCACTGCCCGGAAGGTAGACACCACCCAAGCCACCCAGGTCCTTCGGAAGAAAGGAAGCAACACCAGAAGGACTAAAAGCAGGAATTCCTGGAGAGGGCCTCAGGGACAGTCCAGATTTAGGGGCAAGAGAGAACATGTGAATTTGAAGAACTGAAATAAGTAAATACCCAGCCGGAATTCTGAATGCAGGGAATGTAGAGTTGGAGGTGTGGGGTGGGTAGGAGTGGGGACTGGGGATGGAGGCAGGGCCGGTCCTAAAGGGCCATGGCAAAAAGCGTAGGCTCTCCCTGAAGGGCAGTAGCTGTGCTGCCGGCAAGTGGCATCATCAGCTGGAAGGGTTTTTGTGGTCTTGTGGAAGAGAGGGGCATAAGTGAACAGTCTCCCTTCTGTCCCATGTCCCAGTCACTCAGTTCCCCTCACTGCAGGCCCCCAGTGTAGGCTTCCTGTGTACCTGCCAAGAGATATTCTCTCCATGTGCAAACATGGATCTATATTTTGTTCCCCCTTTGTACACACACAAAAGCATACCATGCACGCTGTTCATCATGGTGTGGCATTTTTCTTTTCTCACTAAATCAGTTTTGGAGACCATTCTATATTGACAGCGACACAGTGTTCCACGCTGTGGATGAACAGAACTCCTTTAACCAGCTCTTTACTGATGGACACTCAGGTTTCCTTTACCCTATTACAGACAAGGCTCTGATGAATAAATTACGTGTGTGTCATGCAAGGGTTCCCACTGTGAGAAGGCGGGATTGCTGGATTAAAGGAGATTGTATCAGCCAGGATTCTCTGCAGGAACAGAACCAGTCTCAGGGAGGTGTGGAAGGGAGAGGGAGGAGGGAGGGGGAGAGATACTCATTTTAAGGAAAGACTCAATCGTGAGGGCTGGCGAGTTTGAAATTTGTGCAATAGGCTGGAAACTCAGCCAGGATTTGATGTTTCAGCCTTGAGGTAGAACTTCTTTCAGAAACGTCAGTTCTTGGTCTTAAGGCCTTTAACTGATTGGATGAGGCCCACCTAGGTTATCAAGGGTAATCTCCTTAATGCCAAATGGTTGTGGATGTTAATCAGATCTACAAAATACCTTTACAGCAACACCAATTAGTGTGTGATTAAATAACGGTATTATAGCCTAGCCAAGTTGACGCATGTAACTAACCATCACAAGTATCATTGCTCATCCTGCTAGTTATTGCCAAGTCATCTTCTATAGATTTATACTTCCAGCAGCAATGGATGAGAGTGCTTTATTTCCTATACTCTCAGCAATTCATAAACCAAACTTTTGTATATTCTCCTATCTAATATGTGAAAAAAATGCTATCAGCACCCTTTTTATTTATTTCTCGAGTGAGACTGAGTTTGAGCATTTTTATATGCTTAATAGTCTTTTATATTTTCCTTTGAACTGGGTGTTCATATATTTGCCCATTTTATCATTGAGTTGTGGGTCCTTTTCTTATTTTTGTAGCCGCTCTTTGTATATTGTAGAAATTGGCCTTTGGTCTGTGATATAAGTTACAAATATTTTTCCCAGTTGGTCTTTTGTCATAAAGAACTTATTTTTATTTTTATGTGGTTGAATTTCTTCATCTTTTATGGCTTCTGGATTTCAAATCATATTTTAAAAGGCCTTTTCCACTTTGAGATAGCTATATTTTCCACTAGTACTTTCATGGATTCATTTTATATTTATATATATTTGAACCATTTTTAGTATAAAATACGAGGTTTGGAACCAATTGTATTTCTATGCAAAGGTGGGTACCCAGTTGTGTCTACACTATTAATATATTTTTCCTCCACTGATCTGATATGCCACCCCTTTAACAAAGCAACTTCCTCTATGTATTTAGATCTCTCTCTGCACTTCCTATTTTTCTTTTCATCAATACATTTGTCTATTCATGTACTAGCACTCCCACTATTTTAATTATTAATTTTAAATTTTGGGATAATGTCTAACAGGGAAATTTATATTTTGGAAAAGTCACTCCGACTGCATTTTGGGAAATGGATTAGAGGAGAGCGCAAGTGCAGGAGTGAGGATGCCCCAGGGGACAGATGATCCAGACAGTTCACAAGCTCAAGGGTATGGCAGCAGGGACAGAGAGAACTGGACAGATCTGTGAGATTCATAAGATGTAGCCTCTCCTATTCAACATAGTATTGGAGGTTCTGGCCAGGACAATCAGGAAAGAGAAACAAATAAAGGGCATTTAAATAGGAAGAGAGGAAATCAAACTATCCCTGTTTGTAGATGATATGATCCTGTATCTACAAAACCTCATTGTCTCAGCCCAAAAGCTTCTTAAGCTGATAAGCAACTTTAGCAAAGTCTTGGGATATAAAAGTCAATGTGCAAAAACCACTAGCATTCCTATGTACCAACAACAGTCAAGATGAGAGCCAAATCACAGATGAACTCCCATTCACAACTGCCAGAAAAAGAACACCTAGGAATACAGATAACTAGGGCGGTGAAAGATCTCTACAAGGAGAACTATAAACCACTGCTCAAAGAAATCAGAGATGACACAAACAAAAGCATTCCATACTCATAGATAGGAAGAATCAATACTGGTAAAATGGCCATACTGCCCAAAGCAATTTATAGATTCAATGTTATTCCCATTAAACTACCATTGACGTTCTTCACAGAACTATAGAAAACTATTTTAAAACATATGGAACCAAAATAGCCAAGACAATCCTAAGCAAAAGAACAAAGCTGAAGACATCACATTACCCAACTTCAAACTATACTACAGGGATACAGTAACCAAAACAGCATGGTACTGGTACAAGAACTGACACATAGACCAATGGAACAGAACAGAGAACCCAGAAATAAGACCACACACCTACAACAAGCAATGGAGAAAGGATTCCCTATTCAATAAATGGTGCTAGGATAACTGGCTAGCCATATGCAGATTGAAACTGGACGCTTTCCTTATACCACATATAAAATTAACTCTGGATGGATAAAAGACTTAAATATAAAACCCAAAACTATAAAAACCCTGGAAGACAACATAGGCAATGCCATTCAGGACATAGGCACAGGCAAAGATTTCATGGTGAAGATGCCAAAAGCAACTGCAACAAAAGCAAAAATTGCCAAATGGGATCTAATTAAAGAACTTCTGCACAGCAAAAGAAACTATCAGAGTAAACAGACAACCTACAGAATGGGAGAAAATTTCTGCAAATTCTGCATCTGACAAAGGTCTAACATCCAGCATCTGTAAGGAACTTAAACAAATTTACAAGAAAAAAAAAACATTAAAAAGTGGGCAAAGGACATGAACAGACACTTCTCAAAAGCAGACATACTATGTGACCAACAAACATATGAAAAAAAGCTCAACATCACGGATCATTACAGAAATGCCAATCAAAACCACAATGAGATACCGTCTCACACCAGTCAGAATGGTTATTATCAAAAAGTCAAAAAAAAACAAATGCTGGTGAGGTTGTGGAGAAAAAGGAGTGCTTATACACTGTTAATGGAGTGTAAATTAGTTCAACCATTGTGGAACACAGTGTGGCAATTCCTCAAAGACCTAAAGAAGAAATACCATTCAACCCAGCAATCCCATTACTGGGTATATCCTCAAAGAAATATAAATTGTTCTATCATAAAGACACATTCACGTGAAAGTTCATTGCAACACTATTCACAATAGTAAAGACATGGAATCAACCTAAATGCCCATTAATGATAGACTGGAAAAAGAAAAAATAGTACATATACACCATGGAATACTATGCAGCCATAAAAAAGAACAAGATCATGTCTTTTGCAGGAACATGGAGCTGGAGGATATTAACCTTAGCAAACTAACACAGGAACAGAAAACCAAATACCACATGTTCTCACTTATAAGTGGAAGCTAAATCATGAGAACACATGGACACATAGAAGGGAACAACACACACTGGGGCCTATCGGAGGGTGGAGGGTAGGAGGAGGGAGAGGATCGGGAAAAATAACTAATGGGTACTTGGCTTAATAACTTGATAATGAAATAATCTGTTCAACAAACCCCCATGACACACATTTACCTATGTAACAAACCTGCACCATGTACCCCTAAACTTAAAAGTTAAAAAATACAACGGACTTTGGGGACTCAGGGGAAAGGGTGGGAGGGAGGTGAGGGATAAAAGACTGCAAGTTAAATTCAGTGTGCACTGCTCGGATGATGGGTGCACCAAAATCTCACAAATCACCACTAAAGAACTTACTCATGTAACCAAACACCATCTGTTCCCCAAAAACCCAGGAAATAAAACATTTTAAAAATAAGAAAGCCAGATATCAACGAGAGAAAAAAAAGACGTAGCCTCATTGTGCTTGATGATGGATCAGACATGGGCTGTAGAGGAGAAACTAATGAGTCCAGGATGCCTCCCAAAGCGTCTTGCTTGGCCAGCTGAGGTGCTGGGGAAGAATTGGGCTAGGGGTAGGGACATGAAATTTGTTATGTTACATAACCCACCTCCTCATCCAGACAAAATACTGTTTTGCTAAGCTGATACATTTGTTGTTAGATTATCCCCCACTTTGCAGATGGAAAAACTGAGACTCAGAGATGTTAAGCAACTTGTCCAACATCACAGAATTGTTATGGAATGAGGCTCCACGATAAGACTCAAATCCAGGTCTGTCTACCCTAAATATTGCTAGGAGATGGCAATGGCTGGTTGTCTTAGGCTCTGGAGACCCCATATGAGCACACACAGTAAGGAGACTGTGATGAACCTCCAGGCCTTCCCTTTCCAACATCTGTTGCAGCCTGAGACACGAGGTTACTGGTAGGCAGCAGAATTCTGCAAAATGACCATCCTATTTGTTTAAATATAGCCCCTAATTGAAAGAGAAGAGCCGACATGGCTGTGGTTCTCAATCTGACTCCATATGGGAGTCACCTGGGGAGCTTTACCAACTACTGATGCCTGGAGTCCATCCTGAGAGACTCTGACTTAGTTGTTCTAGGGCATGGCCTGGGCGTGAGGTTATTAAGCTCCCAGGTGATTCTAATGGGCAGCCAAATGGGAAAACTGCACATCAAATGAAACTGCTTCTCCTAGCTTACTGGTCTATGAGGTTAAGTGCATCTGCAGCCTTGGTAGATGAGGGTAAAAGGCAGCTGCTTCCACGGACTCATTACAGAACTAAGAGCAAGCACCTGATCCACCCTGTTCCTTGGGTGCCCTACCTATGGGAATCATCTAAGCCAGGCAGCATTAGCAGTGGGGTTTCAGCACACTCCCAGTCACTTCTCAAATTTCTTCCCCATTGGCTTCAATGGTGCTTGCAATGCCTACCGCAAAGACTCAATTTTGTAAGCTATGTGTACTTTAATTAGGTTGATGAATTGTTCCCTGGGATACTGTCATGCCAGACACCTATCACCTCCAATCGGGATGGCACCAGGCTCGAGAGGCTAAAGAAGAGACCCAGAGCCAGCAAACGAGACACGGGGCTTATTGAGGGGAACTTACGGAGCAGCCCAGTGGTGGGGACTGGACAGGAGAACCACCACTTATAAGAGCATGCAGTTTATACAGCGTTCTCACTTAACACCCTCCCCCTAGCAACCATCACCTGGCAACCTTCGTTTAACCCAAAACAAAGGGCCTCAATACTCTGTATGACCCACATTTTATGGGACAGGGCAGGATGGGGGCTCAGATATGCCTCACAGATAAGGAATGAGTCCCCAGGTTGGCCACGCTGGAACTCTAAACACACATTCAGGTGCGTCTGCCATACAGGGTGATTCTCAGAAAATGCTTAAGTTATCGCTGTCAGGTGTGTCTGCCGTGCACAGGTGCATCTACCATACAGTTGCATAGCATTAACAGCTGAGTGATCTATTAACCAGAATTCATCAGCCTGATTATCCAGGTATCTGCCAGTATAGTTTCGGGTTGTCTGTTAATGCAGATTAGGTTACACTCCATTAACAGATACTCCCCAAAACCTCAATGCCTTAAAACCACAAAGACTGGCCTGCATGTCCATCACAGGTCATCAGGGACATCTGCTCTATATGGCTTCCTCTGGAATCCAGCTTCTGGCACAGTTGCCACCTACTGGAGTACTGATATTTGCCACAGCAGAGGGAAAAAAAGGACATGCCTTCCACTAGAAGTGAAATGTGTCACTTCCGCTCACACTTCGTCAGCCGAAGCCAGTCACATGGCCACATCTAACTTCAGTGGAGCTGGGAAGCACAATCCTACCCTGCCATGAAGGACTCACAGACAGGGCTGGACCACAGCACTAATATCTCCCACCCGGTCACCGCATGCTGCCTCCCAGCAGAGCACAAACGAATGTTCAAGACGGCTAAGGTCTTGGGGTCCCCATCCGGCCAATGTCCCTCCCCACTTTTGAGGAATGTGAGCCTGTTACAAAGACAAACCCTGGTCACTTTACCTGGGTTTGCTGCTTCTCTTCAGGACCTCAAAGTCTGGAGGAGCTTAAAGTGGCGTCATCAGACGAGGTCATGTCCTGGGTGGCTGGGTGACCTCCTGTTACGCTCCCAGTGTGCTGCAGGATCACTAGGGTCCCAGGGCCAGGCCCAGCCGCGCATTCATCAAACTCTCCTTCTCTGTTAGCTCCCACCCGACTCTGAGCGGGCCAATTTCTTTCATCATCCACCTCCAGCTGGGCTGCAACCTGTGGATCACTCCTGGTTCAAAGACTCAGAAGCAGGGAAATGTAATGCTCTGAAAGGTGCTTTCACGCACAGCGGCTCTCGCCTTCAGGGGATGTTTGAGGCTGCTCTGACTCAGTCTCCCATTCAAAGGCTGGGTTCAGTGGAGAGCCCGCAGGAAGCTAACAAACCGGACTGTCTGAGGGACTGACTCAAAAAAATAAAAAGAAATAGATGATAGAGTAGCAGAAGTGCCTGCAGCGGCCTCCCGCCCGCGATGTGCCAGGAGTGAGGCAGCTTCTGCTCCACCCTCCCTGCTGCCAGCGTAGCCGAATGGGCTGAGGACGCCCCTCTCCTGGCCCTGCCTCCGCGGTCTCACTGCACCTGTATGGAAAGGTGTTGGGCCCTGGCTCCTCAACAGAAAAGACCCTCCCCCACATCCTGCTTTGCCACTCCTGCAGCCTTCGTTTTTAATATTTATACTGAACGGAGCATTCCTTGCCCAGGAGGCTGGGGAAGAACCTCAAAACTGGAAGCAAGGGCTCGTTTTGAAATCTGTCTTCCTTCACGTTTAAAACAGGCAGCTCTCCCATCTGGGTATCTTGAAAATGTGTTGCAAGCCTGAATGCTCCGGCTTCAAATCCCTGGGGCTCTGAAGCCCAAGCCTGCCTTTCCTCCACTCACTTCCCAGCTCTGCCACTTACCAGCTCAGCTATGTGTCCTTGGGTGCATTACTTTGCCTCTCCGTGCCTCCATTTCTCCATCTGTGCAATAGGGGTGCTACCCAGTGGCGCGTTGTGGAGGGTTAAGTGAGTTGATGTATGCACAGCACCTGGAACAGAGCCTGATACATAGGCTGTGCTCTTGAGTGTTAGCCGCGAGTATTGTCATGGTGATTACAATCCTCAAGCACTGTCCATTCCCTACCTCGTCAGCCGATGACAGGAGTTATTAGCTACAAAGTCTTCACTCAGGCCATTCCCAGCACTCTCCCCAGCCTGGAAGCACCCACAAAATCAGGTATCCTGTAGACAGACTGTTCTCCATTCCCCTTGGGACCCACAGCCCTTGCTGTAGCACCCAGTATGAAGGCTGGATCCAAGACTCGGGAGCCATGAGCAACACAGGGGCTGCTGAGAGAAGATGTCCTCTAGCCACACCACACACCCTGATATGTACACGTGCACACCACACACTCATCCCCAGGGTGGTTATGCCAGTTGTGCAGCACTTTTGGTGACTACAAATCCCTCTAGCCCTAAGAGGAACCAATTAAGCAATGTATTTAGTGGCCTTAGCAAGGAGGGAAAGAGTCACCTTAAACATTTTTCCCCGGCGAATCTGACACATTTTGGCAGCCCAGGAGGTTCCAGAAGGGAAAGGGGAAGCCATGCGCAGCTGGCGCCCTCTGGTGGTCAGTGTCTTCCCACTCAGCGCTTGTTCTGGGGAGGCGGCACCAGAACAGCCCTATTCAAATCAACATAAGTCCCTATGCCCCGGGTCACATGCGGTGGAAGGAACCAGGATGAGAAGGATGCCATCCTGGCCCTCGAGGTGCTCATAGTCTCTCAAATCACTGTGTCTTCTAGCCTGGGATTGTTCTCCCGCCCTGGTATCATGACGTTAGTAAGTCGCGCTCATGGAGCTCCGACTGCTGAATCCCCGCTAAGTCCACGTCCTGCGCAAGGCACTTAGTATCCACTAGCTGTCACCTTTACAGCAACACTGTGCCTTCATCTTATCTGGTTTTATAGATGAGGCTCCAGCAACTAGGTGACTTGCCCAAAGTCGCACAGCCCATTTGATGCCAGAGATTTTATTTAAATTTAGTTTATTTTAAACACATACAAATGACACAAAACTCAAATTTTCTGAAGGATTCTATAATGAAAACATCTCCCTCCAACCACTGTTCTGCCAAGTTGCCACACTGTTTGCAACCTTCGTTTTTAGTTTCTCGTGAACTTGTTCAACAATATCCCATGGGTATAAAGGGAGTTTTTTTTTTAACGCACAGAGGCTGCATACCATACACTGTTCCCAGCCTTGCATCCCCGCACCTTCCCTGCGCCCCTTAGGTTAAAACGCAAAGTTGATTTTAAAAATAAATATGGCCTGGGCGGTGGCTCATGCCTTGTAATCTCAGCACTTTAGGAGGCCGAGGAGGGGTGGATCACTTGAGGTCAGGAGTTCAAGATCAGCCTGGCCAACATGGTGAAACTACATCTCTACTGAGAATACAAAAATCAGCTGGGCGTGGTGGCGGGCACTTGTAATCTCAGCTACTTGGGAGGCTGAGGCAGGAGAATCACTTGAACCTGGGAGGTGGATATTGCAGTGAGCCGATATTACAACACTGCACTCCAGCCTAGGCAACAGAGGGAGACTCCGTCACAAAATACATACATACATACATACATAAAAAGGCCTGGACGACAAGATTCTAGATAATGGCCCTACTTAGGACCCAAGCCCCCTTTTGCACCACAAGTGGTCAGGCCAACTTAGTGCTGTTTTTCTCTTATGAGCATGGATTTCCAGAAGTAGAACTGCACTCTAATATCACTGACAATCGTTTTGTAGCAATGAATGCATGGAAATGCCTCATTCTTTTTAAGAGGTATTGTATGAAATAACCACAGGTTATTAAACTTGCCCACTACAGATGGGCATTGAGATGTTGCCAGTCTTCTGTGGTTACAAATATACTGCAATGAACCTCCTTGTCCACCTGCCCTTTTGCACAGGTGAAATTGCTAGGTCAAAGGATACACAGGTGTGTTTGTGATTGTAAAAGATGCCATCAAACTTCCCCCTATTATGGTTGTACCAACTGACCCCCCATTGCAGGGAGTAGAACCCAGGACCTCCTAACTCTGAAGCTAAGGCTGTCTTCCCCTGTCAGTTTCATGACTATGACAAATGTCATGTTGAGGTCCAAAGGGAGTGGGTGGATGAGCAGAAAGAATGCTCAGGGGGCCGTAGGCAGGTAAAATATGATTTTACTCAGCAGCCGCTCTCATCAACAGCTTTCTTACACTGTCTGCCCTGTCTCGGCTGCTTAGTCTGGCTCCCACGCACAGCTGCACGGCCAGCTCTCCCTTGCCTTTAGGGTCAGCAGCTTAACTCTTTCTCTCTCTCTCTCTGGGCATGAGTGAGCCAAGCTGTGTCCATCCAGCCAGTAGGCAGCAGCTCCCGGACAGACTGGGCCCTTGTGGAACACTCCTCAGCCCCCCAACCCCCAGCAGCTAAAGGAGGCATAGTAGCTTTGACTCCTAGGCCTTCAAAGATACAACCCATCCTTTGTCCACTGTCCAGCAATCTGCACACGCTCTGGCCTCCACTAGAGGAAGAGGTCCCATTATGGAGGAGCCTTTAAGACTTTGGCCCCACTGCACTGGGTGCAGCCCCGATGAGCCCACCTTCCTGGCTGCTTCTTACTGAGCACCCTTCAGCCCTGAGGATGGACAGCAATAGGAGAGCTTGGCATCCCACTGCTCCCTGCGCAGCCTCCTCCACCAGCAAAGCTCCTTTTCCTATGTCCCTGCTCCTCCCCGGAATCAAGGGACACCTGGTCAGCCAAGGACACAGCCATCTCAATTCCGAGGGGCCTGGGATGTGTGGGAAATGGTGCCCTCAGGAGCAAGGGCTGGAAGACAATCAGCCCAGGAGCGCCTCGCTGCACACTGCAGAGGATTCTCCAAGGCAGGCAGCTGGAGCAAGAGCTCCAGCAGGGCCTGCTCTGCCCACCAGCCTTGGGGGCTCTGAGTGCTGGGAAGCCCAGCTGGTTCCTGTTTGGCACCTGCAAAAAACCATGAATCCAGCTCTTGGGATGAAAGTAGGGCCTGAAAAACCATCTGGATGGGCCCCTGGGTAGGCAGTGGGCACACAGGGGATGATGGGTGACCTGTGTCACCACACACTCCCAGCATCCAGCCTGTTTATCAGCATGTCATCTACTGTCATTATCTCAAAATACTCCCCTGCCAGCCGATTACAGCAAGTGTCAGCTTCCTAATGCACAGTGCATAAACTGCAGAGCCACACATCAAACCCAGGGGGTCTGACTGGATATTCAAAGTCTGCCCAGAGTGACATCATACTGGTAAGCCCCCAAGAACTACTCCATAGGGAACTCGACTGTGGCTTCCCTGCACCCCTTAGGTTAAAATGCAAAGTTGGCTTTAAAAATAAATAGAAGGTGTGGACAGCAAGATTCTAGATAATGGTCCTGCCTAGGACCCAAGGCCCCCCTTTGCAATACAGGTGGTCAGCCCAACTTGGTGCTGTTTTTCTCTTATGAACTTGGATTTCCAGAAGTAGAGCTCCTGCCGGATTCCTTTCAAAATGCACACCCTCTTGCAACACGTGTCAGGCACGCAGGCGCGGCTCCCACTACAGGAGGAAGTGACCTCCCCATTGGCTGAGAGAGCTTAGGACCATGGTCCTCACGCTCAACTATGCACCAGAAAGAAATTAGTGCTCATTTTTAGGTGGGATAATAATATTGTGGTTATGTCTTTAAAAAGATCCCCTTATGTTTTAGACAGGGGGACCTGTCTACAGATGAAATAATTTAATGTCTGGGATTTGATTCAAAATCATACTAGGGACAGTGAGTAGGAGTAGAGATGCAACAAGATTGGCCATCTATGGGTAACTGTTGAAGCCGGGCTGTGGGTGCATAGGGTTCATTATACTATCCTGTCTACTTTTGTGTATGTTTAAAGTTTTCTATAATAAAAAGCAGAATGAAGAGGAGAAAGAAACACAGAGAGCATGGTAAAAACGCAGCTCTTCAGGGTCCTGGCCCAGGAGTGCAAATGAAGGTTGAGGGCCCAGGAATCTGCTTTTCTCAGGCTCCCTGCTGGCCGGTGAGAAACCTCAGCTTCAGGGTCCCAGAGCCCACAGAGGCCAAGAGGCTGAGGCCAGAGGTCCCCCGGAGCAGCCCCTGTAAATGGTCCCTGTCTATAGTCAGCCATCATTTAGGCTGCAGTGGGCTCGTCAGTGCCAGGAATATGAACGGCCTCACGGTCTATTCATTCTCGCCCGGCATCACTGTCAAGATCACAATAAGCAGCATGGCAGGATCTATGCACGGAGCTGGCTGAATCTTTATTAAAATCTTTTTTTTGTGCATGATGTTCCCAATTTGTTTCTTTGTTCCTGGTATCTGGAGTCACGCAGTTTCTGATATTTGTCTTGGAGATGGAGGAAGTTTGACTGACATGCCACGGTGGTGGAAAGGTAGTATTGATATCCTGAAAAACCTATTCTATCCAGCGAGAAATATCACCCCATAGCCCATGCTGCTGTGTCCGGGCCGCCTCCAAGGCTCGTCAGTTTGGAGGCCCCAGCGAGGTTCTCAGCATGGCTGGCAGGTGCTGCGGCCCAGAACTTAAGTGAAAGTCAAATCTGACTCATGCTTGTCACCTAGAGTGGGTGTTCTACATGTATGTGTTCCTGGGGCCCCAGAGCTGGAAGAGGTGGCCCAGGGCCTCAGGTGCCACACGCCTCCTACAACCCTTCAGCCAAAGCATCTATCTCCTTATGCACTTTACTCATGAGGGGTCTAGGTATGGCCTTTATTTTTTAAGGTTTCTGCTTCTAAAACAAACAAACAAAAAATCAAAACAGGCTAGGCAAGGTGGCTCGTGCCTGTAATCCCAGGACATTGGGAGGCCAAGGTAGACAAATCCCTTGAGGCCAGGAGTTCGAGACCAGCCTGGGAAACATGACAAAACCCCATCTCTACTAAAAATACAAAAATTAGCCAGGCATGATGGTGCACGCACCTGTAGTCCCAGCTACTCGGGAGACTGAGGTGGGAATATCACTTGAGCCTGGAAGGTGGAGCCTGCAGTGAGCTGAGATCATACCACTGCACTCCAGCCTGGATGACAGAGCAAGACCCTGTCTCAAAAACAAAAACAAACCCAAATTTTTTAAAGTTTGAAAAGCACTAACTTTGATATATGGGGAAGAAATGAAAATATGGCCAGGGAGTATGTACAACTAGAATCAGTGGGAATGTAAAATGGTACAGCCACATAAAAGAGTTTAAAAATTCAATATATTCCTACCCTTTGATCCAGCCATTCCACTCCTAGATATTTGTCAGGATGAATGAAAGCATATGTTCGTATAATGACTTATACACAAATGTTCATAGCAACTTTATTTGTAAAATCCCCAAACTTGACCCAAACAACCCAAATGTCCACAGATGAACTGATACATAGTGGTATATTCATGCAAGAGAACACTATTCAGCAGTGAAACAGAACAAACTGTTGATATACACAACAACAGACGAATCTCAGAGTAATTCTACTGAGTGAAAGAAGTAGGACAAAAAAATACAAACCATACGATTCCAGTAACAGAGGATTTTAGAAAATGCACATTCAACTGTTGTGACAGGAAGCAGATCTGTTTTGGAGTCTGTTTTGGGGGAAAAGGGAGGTAGAGATTACAAAGGGGTGTGGGTACTGCTCAGGGGTAAAGAACATGTCTACTATCTCGATTGTGGGGACGGTTTTGCAGGTATATACATATTTCAAAATTCTTCCAATTGCACACCTTAAATACTTGCAGTTTACATCAATGATACCTCAACAAATTTGTGGGGAAAAAAAAATTTAATAGGAAAAATAGCTTTAACAAAATGTGATCAGGAAAAGAAAATCCCTCTCCAGGGTCTGAGACAGAAATTCATCCCAAACCAGGTTTTTTCCAGTGATCTATGTCTCCTGAGCCCCACAACATGAATGGCACCCTGCTAGGTGCTGGAAGAGGCACAAAGCTAATGGTTTAACTGGGGAGATAAGAGACACACCAACTGCCACAGGGCGACGAGACAGGTGTCTCATGAATATCAGCGAGAGCTGCAGGGGTTAGGACTTGAGATGATCAAAGAAGGCTCCTTGGAAGAAGCAACATTTTAGTTGTGTCTTGAGTATATAGAGTTTTGAAAGATGAAGATGGAGCCAGCCGTGTTCCAGGCGGAGAGGCCAGCATGAAGAGATGTACAGATGGAGAACGACCACTGTTAAAACAAGGGGAGTAATGGAGGACACTATGGAGGCCGGATGACAGAAGTCCTTGAGTGCTAGATGACAGAGCCTGGATTTACGAGGCAGGCATGGAGAGCAGAAGAGAAACATGGCTCATTCATTAATTAAGACTTTACTGCGAACCTGCTATGTGTCACATCCAGTGTTGGGGGCCTTGGGATTCAAAGATGACCCCTGCCAGCAGAGTGTGCATCTGGTGAGAGATCTTGATATGTAAACACATAAACAAAACCAAATGGTATTGGTGCCTCAAGCAGAGCCTCCAAGGGCACGTATTATCCAAGATTCTTTTACTTGAAGTGATAGACACCAAACACCAACTGGCTTAAGTAAAAAGGAAAATGTACTGGCTCACAGACATGAAAGTTCATGGGATCATCAGGTACAGCTGGATCCAGGAATTCCATCCATGTCATCAGCACTGCTCCCTGTCTCTCAACCCTGCTTTCCTCTGGGTTGGGACCATCTCAGGTCAGCTTTCTTTAAGGGGTAGCCTAAGGATCTCAGCAGTTTATGCCATACTTAAATCCAAATGAAAGATTTTCTCTTTCCCAACAGTTTCAACTGAAGTCCTGAAATTGAGTCTCATCATCTCTAATTTTCCTAGCTTAGTCACATGCCCTTTCATGAAACAATCCCTGTGGCCAGAGTGATGCCATGCTCTGACTGGTCATCAGTGACACGCCTGGAGTGGGGGTCAACTCCACCACATGCGCGGAGACTGGGGAGAAGTTTTGACAGCGCTGGCTGCATAACCCCACACCCCCAAGCTCTTTCTCTCTTTTTCTCCATTTTGGAGGCTAGAAAAATGAAATGCTAGCCTTCCCCATCTCCTTTGCAGCTAGAGAGAATCTTAACACAGCTCTGGCTGATGAAATATAAGTGGAAGTATGGTGGAGACAACTGGAAAAACTTTGGCTTTTCTGATTAAAAAAAAAAGAAGAAGAAGAACAACTTCAAATTATTCTTCCTCCTTCCCTTCCTTCATCCTGCCTTGAGTGCAGATGTGATGCTTAGAGCTGCAAGCATGAGGAGAGAAACGCTGAATCAAAGCAGGCAACCACCTACCTTCAGAATTAGTGCTATGTGAATGAAATAAATCTTTACGTTGCAGCCACTCTGCATCAGCTTTCTTATCATTTACAGCTGAACGCATTCCTAATGTATCCATCCCCATAGGAAAGTCTGGTGCTGTCATCCGAGGAATGGGGAGCCGGGGCTGGAGAGGCAAAAACAATTCCAGGGAGGGTACAGAAGAGGGCAAAGCCAGAGGAGTCTGTAGGCAGGGAGTGAGAGGCAACTGAGGCCATGGAAAAGAGGGACACGTTCAAGAGAAGCTGAGAAAGAAGAATTGTTAGGTAGAGGGAAAAACCTATTAAGGAGGTAATGACAAGGAAGGTTTGAGTCTGGACACCTCAAATATCCTCAAAATCCCTGATCATGCAATAGGAGCCAGGAGCTATTCCCCATTCCTAGGGCTGTAGATACACACAGAGACCGGATGACTTAGACCCAGCCCTTGTGCAACCAGGAGGGCATCACCTTCTCCCAATCTTCACATGGGCAACCACCAAGGCCAGAAGATAGGTCCAGCCAAGGTGGGGGAATCCCGATGAGTGCTGTTGACATCTTTCATGGTGAGGAAGAGAACTATCACAGGACAAGTCCTGTCATGAAATAACCTGTTTCCTCAGTTGTAAATCATAAGCTGTAAGGTAGCTTGTAATAAGAGCATTTGTAATAAACATAATAATGAGCATAATGATTGGCTTTTACTGAGCCTTCACCTGGCTCCAAGAATTTAACAACTTGCTAGGCATTCTACAGATATCACCTGATTTAGTAACTGCAACAACCCTATAAAATAGTATCATTCCCATTGACAGATGAGGAAACTAAGGTGCAGAGAGATTAAGTAACTGGCCCTGGTTATACAGCTGGTAAGTGCCAGGGCCAAGAGTTAGAGGGCAGCACACACTCTTTCAGTTCTTAGCATCCCACGAGAGAAGTTGCTTCTCTGCTGCCTTTGATGTAGTTGAAGAGGTTAATCAAATTCTCTAGGTCAAGTTCCCCATTTTGGCTTGCTATTTCATAAAAGCACAGTACTGGTTATCCTTCCATCAGCACCTTCCTGAAGAACCATAGCTCCTCCCCTTTATGCTTGTCACCACGTCCCTGGCAAGGCCACCCAGGTAGAGAATGGGGATTTGTTAGATTTGTTAAAACCTTGCTGGGAGACAGGCAAGCTCTCCAACCAGCCTGGGCTTCCTCCATCTATGAAGTCCAATATGAGTGGTCATTAATACTCTTGTCGTCATAATAGTTAATACCCATTGAGTGTTCTCTCTTTTTAAAAATGTATTAACTCAATTAACCTTCACACAATTCCCTGAGATCGATGCTATTATTATCTCATCTCACAAATGAGAACTAAGGACTGGAGAGCTTAAATAACCTACCAAAGATCACACAGCAAAGACAACAGTTCTCAAGTAAAAGGGTCTCCTGCTCTAATTACACATAGATCCTGGAACAAAAAACAAGGCCTTGACACCTCCAAGGTGGAGTGGGAGCTAAGCTTCCACAATGGCATCTACTGTGGTCTCACGTGGGACTATGACTGGGCCACATTCAGCCCACCATTGCCCCACAGCGCCCCCGTCAGGACTGGAGGAGTCCATGCCTGACTCTTAAATGTGCTACCACGGCTTGTAAACACACTTAGCTTCCTCCACAAGCTTATAAAACCATCCCTCCCATGAGGCTGAGCAGTTGTTCAAACACTGGCAAACACTGCCAAAATTAAAATTCAATAAAGTCGTGGAAAATATTTTATATTATGAAAATCAAGTCAGATCTACAAGAATGCACTGTGAAAAACACAAAGCAGAGTCACCATGATTAATAATAAATGCAGGCACACCACTAAATCCAACCAAATGCCTCCAGATGCTTCCAAAGGCAGTTCTCCTCTCCATGGCAGTCAACTGTGTGTGCCGCTGCCCCCACCACATCCTCTCCTCTGACTCCACTGTGCACTCAACGCCAAAAGGCCCAAGTTCCTTCACAGCAAGGAGGGCTGACATAAACCCCATTCTCAGATTTTCTTAGCCTCCAGCTCTCAAAGAGCTGTGGAGAGTCCAGGTTTACCACCTCAGAAGAATTCACAGCTCACCGGTGCCAAACCTGATTTTTCCATTGTGAGAAATCTTTGTGGCATTACATTACCTTCCAGGGCCTTTCATCAACTGACCTCAGGTGGCTTTGGCCAAGTGACTTCAGAGTGAATACCCAAAGTGAAAGATGTTGGCAACTGAACTTCTTCTCAGTCTCCAGTGCCTCAGTCTCGATGAGCATTCATGTTTAATTCTCCCGCCTATAGCCTCTCTGGGCTTATTCATGCCCATAATGGATTCTAAGGACTGCAAATTACACATTAAACCTCCACTCTCTTCCCCACATTCCAGGGAATGAAGCGGTTTCTCTCACAGCCTGACCGCTCTTCCGGGAGCACCTGCCAATTTGGATGACGAAGGGGCCGTCCAGGGAGGAGCACACACTGCCAGCTGCCTTCCTGACTTCCGACGTCACCACTTCCCAGACCGTCCTCACGCCGTTTTCTCCTCATAAATCCAGTTATTGAAACTGGCAGAACACTTTGTGATATTGTCCTCCTGGTATCAGATCCATCCCTGGACCTCTCACTGGAAGGTCCCAGCTCTGACTTCTCTCCCCACCTAGAAACGAGAGCCTGGCAGCACTGACAGTCCTAAACCATCCACTCAACAGATTCACCACACACCTCACACTCAAAATCTCCCACCCGCACCAACTGCTCTAGCTGCGCTTTCATGGAAGGTAGCAGAAGCCACAGAACCCAGTGAAAGCTGCTCATACCTGATTATCTTCACGACGGAGGGGAAAGCAAAGGGGAAAGCCTGGAGGTGTAGAAAATCAATCTAGGAGGTAGCCAGGCCCATCCTGCTTCCTGATGCCACCCCAAGCCTCCTGGGTCCCGCCGCCTACTCCTCCCAGGTCTGGGCTGCTGCAGGCCTGCACAAGCCAGATACCTCCAGATTAGGAGGCCCACTCAAGGAGATTGAAAACTGACGCCCAGGAAGATTGGCTTCAGGTTCTGAAGACTAATAGCCACTACTTGAACTGCCCTCAGCTTCCCAGCAGCATGCTTCAATTTCATCTTCCTAAGTGATCACTAACAACACTTAACCTCCCCCATCTGGAAGCAGGAGAGCGCAAAATATCCCTTCTAGCAATTACCCCCAAGGAGAATGTTTAACCTCCCATGATCCAAGATATTAAAATTAACATCGAGATGCCCATTCTTCACATATTGAACTGACAAATATATTTTAAATTGCAATAAGAAGAATCCATACACAGCTGGTTAGAAATATGCACAGCCTTTCAGAAGGAATGTAGCAATATCAATTAAAGACTTAAAAATGCGCTTCAAAAAATGTTGCTGCAAAGAGGAACCTCAAGGATGTTCATTACAGCAATGACTATAATGGCAAAAAAGAAAATTGGAATTAACCTAATTGTCACGTAACAGAGGATTGGTTAAATAAATTAGAATGCATCCATATTATGAATTATAAGCAATGAAAGTGATGATGTAGAATAATTTAATGACATGGGAAAATGTTTATAATATGATGTTAAATGGAAAAAGCAGGGTACAAAATTGTATGATCCCATAAAAAAAAAAAAGCTTATGTTCCCAGTTGTATAAAAGTACAGCATGTACAGTACAGAATTCTTGACAATAAATGACTATGTTGCTAGCTTATATATATATATACACACTATACTATCATTTTTATCATTATATTAGAGTGTACTTCTACTTAAAAAAAAAGTTAACTGTAAAACAGCCTCAGACTGGTCCATCAGGGTCCATTCCAGTATTATTGTCACAGGAGATAACAGCTCCATGCACTTTATTGCCCGTGAAGACCTTCCAGCAGAACAAGATATGGTGATGGAAGACAGTGATATGGATGATCCCAACCCTATGTAGGCCTGGGCTAGTGTGTGTGTTTATGCCTCTGTTTTTAATAAAAAATTTTAAGCCAGGCATGGTGGTTCACAACTGTAATCCCAATGCTTTGGGAAGCCAAGGCAAAAGGACTACTTATGCCCAGGAGTTGGAGACCAGCCTGGGCAACATAGTGAGAGACTTTGTCTCTACAAAAAATTTTAAAAATTAGCCAGGCTTGGTGGTGCGTGACTGCAGTCCCAGCTACTTGGGAGGGTGAGGCAGGAAGATTGCTACAAAAATAAAAATTAAAAAAAAAATTTTTGAAAAGAACCAACCAAGGAAAAGCACATATGCAACCAAGCAAATGATGGCCCTCCAAGGAAATGAAATCGGCACTCTCTAAATCTGGCCAGCATTTCCTTCCTTGAATGGAAACAGTGGTAGAGGGGATAGAAGTCATACAGCTTTTGATTGAATTTAGGAGCGAAAACACTTGGTAAAAATAATGATATGAAAAGTAACCACTAGGAGCCACGCACCACAATACACTTACATGAAATAAATCATAGCTCACAACTACACAAGATTTGCAAGGCACTACAAAATGGGATGTGTTGGTGGCTTTGACCCATGCTTGGTCAAGTGTTTCATGGCATGACATGTGTCATCCTCCCTGTGAGGATGGTGTGTGGGGATGTAGGAAATACAGTCAGACCAGTGGCCAGCCTGTGAGTCCCCACACGTCCGTCCAGTTCCAGCAGAGCACAACCCTTCCTTAGGGAGAGAGGTCCAAGCCTGCAGCAAGCTCACAAAATGCAAAGAATGCACTCGATTATGTAGAGTTTGATTTAGAAACATCCCCAATCTAAAAGTACTTGTCCCCTTTGGGGACAGCCATGTCTCCCATCACAAAATGAATGCCAGAAAGCAGCTCTGGAATTCTCCTCCACATTCTTCTTTTCATGAAGACTGGGACTGGCTAGGCCAGATTATCAAAAGCTCCCAGCGGATGAAGCTCAGGGCTCGCTCAGACCTGGACAGGACAAACACACCCACTGTACCACAGGCACTGTTCTCCAGGTGGCCGGTAAGCCCCATACGCGGGTCACCATGCAGAAGTGATGTGAGACCCAACCCACCTGAATGAGTCTTGAAAAATAATCATCAGCATTGTAGAGAAGATGCAATGAAAGATACTAATTAAAGGGGAGGTAATTCACTCTCCCAACCCATCTCAGGAGCCCAGAGCAGAGAAGGTAGAGGGCATCCTTTCAGAGGGGAGCTGGGGCAGACCCCAACTCCCTGACCACGCAGCCGCAGTGTGTTGACTTACTAAACAGCTAACTGCCAGCACAGCTGTGGAGCTTCAGAAGAGCCACACTGGGCTAGTGACACACATGCTCAGTCACTATGTTAGTGAACTCAGGGGGCCACATACAGCCACTGCCTTACTCGCTGGGGCTGTGCCCCAGGCTCTAATCTTTGTGGGTCCATGAGGAACCAAACTCTGAAATGGACACGGATGGCCTGACTGGAAAGAAATGGGAAAATGAAGTCCACTTCCAGGTCTAGCTCAGCTGCCCAAGCATCCTGGGGGCCAGGAGCCCCATTCATGGCTCTAGGACTTTGTTGTAGAAACAGAAAAGCCCCCTAAAGAAAAAAACTGTCCCAAGGAAGAAAATGCCAGGAATGCCGTCATCCCCTGCTGCCCCATATTCCTAAGAAGCTTCCCAGATTGAAGCCAGTAGGCACTCAGCTAAAACCGCCTGAGTGCCATTGGCCAGGCCCCTCCTGGCCCAGGGTCAAGGGGTCCAGGGAGGGCAGGATGGCTGTCTCTGATCTCCCCCCAACCCCCGCCACTTAGCCATGAGACCACAGAGCTCCAATATGTACCCATAAACACACACACCCCTAGCATCTAGGAAGGGAAATTCTATCTCTTGCTTATAACCGAGTTACCCCACTTTCTGACCTTAAAAAAGAACAGCAGGTTTCCTTTGAAGGATTCAAACCTCATTAGCCACAGCGGGAAATGATGCTTTAATGGGCCCGTGATGGTCTCAGCTTCGGGTGTCTGTGTACGCAGCCATATTACTTAGCAACACCATAGCCATTTAGGTTTAATTTCCTAGCTTGCCTGATAAGGAGGCTGCAAGTGTAATTTGTGATGCCGCAAGCTGGGCAAACTCACAGGGCTATTAGATGAGTCACTGTGTGATCCAGGCCACTGTGCCGAGCTCTGCAGAAGAAGAGAAATTAACTCTGATTTGTGGGGCTGATACCGCTCAGGCGGACGCAATTTTCTGTGTCTGGGAGCTGTGCTTCCGTCTCTCCTGCTTTCTGGTTTGGTGCCATCATTGATTAAGGGAAGCTTCACTCACCTCTCAATCCCTGTTATGATCATCTTCCAGCTTTCTGAAATCCTCACACAAACTCAAAGCCTGGCAAGGTAATAATAATAACAATATCAATAATAACAGCAATAACAGTAATAGCTCACATTTCTGAATGCTATTCGAGTGCTACTCATAAGTTATCTCTGTTAATTCTCCTTACAACCCCAGGAGGTAGGAACTACTATTACTCCTATTTTCAAATGAGGAAATCAGGGCACAGACAGGATAGCAGTTGGCTGTAAGACAATGAGAAAGTAGGGGACTGGACGGCCCACTGAGCACGGCACACTTTACCGAAGAGCCGGACTGTTATTCATCACAACCCAGCATTGCCATATCTTTCACTTTTCCAAAAGATGCCACAAATCCAGATTTTGATATAAAATCCCATGAGTTTTAAACATCAACAACTAATTTAATTGTTTAGTAAATATCGTGAGAACCAAACCAAAGAGATCGGCCAGCCAGATTCGGCCCCTGAGCCACCAGTTTGCAATCTCCACCTCATTCAAACAAGTAAGCATGTTCATCAATAAATACACTCCAATTTTATAGCTTGGCTTCTGTGAGTTGCTGGTGACCCAGCTCTTTGTTCATCCCTCCCTCCAGCTGCATTCCTCCCAGAGCCTCAGTGAGAGTTCTAGTCTTCCAGTTGCTCTAGCTACAAATCTTAGGGTCATCTATGGCTCCTTTCCATCTCTCACACTTCACATAATCTGTCAACAGATCCTGTCTGCTCTACCTTTAAAATTTATTCACAATCCCTCCACTTTTCACACCCCTATGCCACCCTGGTTCAAGACACCAGCATCTCTTGCCTGGATATCATGAGCCGCCAGCTGACATCACTTTCTCCCTTACCCTGTTCTCACCAGAGGAACTGGGGTACCCCTGTAAAACCTAAGTCAGATCCTGCGCTTCTCTGCTCAGCCCCTCCAATGGCTCCCATCTCACTCAGTGAAAGTCAGTGTCCTAAATGACCCACAAGACCCTTCATGACCTGGCCCCTTCCCACCTCTCTCTGCTTCCCTCCCTGCACTAGAGACACTCGACTTCCTCCTTGCTGCTACTCAGATACATCAAATGTGCTCCAACCTCAGGCCTTGGGCACTCACAGCTCCCTCAGAAACTCCCCTCCGCTGTCTTCTTGACTTCTGCCCTCTTTTGCTCTGTTCAGTCTCCACCGAAGTAGAAACATCTTCCTGGACAACTTATCCAAACTAGTAATCTCCCAATCACTCCCCCTCCCCTTTCCCTTACCAAGCATCTCTGCCGCACAGCATACATTTACCTATTTGTGGTCTCTCTCCTCCAACTAGAATGTATGCTCCATAAAAGTAGGGAATTTGTTTTCTTCTCTGCTCTATCCCCGGTATCTAGAACTGTGCCTGGTACATAGCCAAAATTCATTAAATATTTGTTAAATAAAGAATGGTCCACACAATCGTGCCTTATGATAGCTCAATTCTCCGAATGTTGCACACGCCTTGCCCTCACTATTTCCTCTTTACTCCATCTGCACCTGAGAGAGAAGAGCACTCCCCACTAGCTATTATCACCTGCACTATGGCCATAGCTTAACAATGCGAGTGCAGTATCATGCTGTATTGATCACTGGCTGAAAAATGACAAGGAGACAGTCATTTCTCTCACCCACCTGCTGTGTCAAATAGTAGCTTATGATTTTTGGGTGTCTTGCCCTTGATGGATACAGCAACAGCTCATTCATGAGGCTGATGACTTTTATAATTAGTCTTGATAGGAGGTGGCAGATTTTGTGTGAGGGTGAACCATTTTAATCCTTAATTATAAGGCTGGATGTAGCTGGATGTGGTGGCATGCGCCTGTAATCCCAGCTACTCAGGAGGTTGAGGCAGGAGAACTGCTTGAACTTGGAAGGCGGAGGTTGCAGTGAGCTGAGATCATGCCCAGGCTGGGCAACATAGTGAGACTCTGTCTCTAAATAAATGAATAAATAAATAAATACAACTGGATAAAAGTGCTTTACTCGGCTGGGCGTGGTGGCTCACGCCTGTAATCCCTGCACTTTGGGAGGCTGAGACGGGCAGATCACAAGGTCAGGAGTTCAAGACGCGCCTGGCCAACATGGTGAAACCCCGTCTCTACTAAAAATACAAAAATTAGCCGAGTGTGGTGGCACACACCTGTAATCTCAGCTACTCAGGAGGCTGAGGCAGGAGAATGGCTTGAACCCGGGAGGCAGAGGTTGCAGTGAGCCAAGATCGCGCCACTGCACTCCAGCCTGGGTGACAAAGCGAGACTCTGTCTCAAAAAAAAAAAAAAAAAAAAGAAGCCTTACTCATTTATCTGCAGATTTTGTATATTTACTCTTTGGCCTTATTTATTTACTTATTTTTGAGATAGGGTTTTCTTCTGTCACACAGGCTGGAGTGCAGTGGCACAATCACAGCTCACTGCAGCCTCACCTCCTGGGCTCACACAATGCCCGTTTCAGCTTCCCATGAAGCTGGGACTACAGGCACGCACCATCACGTGTGCCTAATTTTTGAATTTTTTTGTAGAGACAGGGCCCCACTATGTTGCCTGGGCTGGTCTTGAACTCGTGGGCTCAAGCGATGCCCCCGCTTCAGCTTCCCAAAGTACTGAGATTACAGGCATGGGCCACCATACCAGGCAATTTTTATTTCTGTATTTATTTGAAAGCACATATATCCTAGGAAGGTAGATATGGTTCAGTTCCTCGTGTTTTTTTCATGTAGACAGAAACAGAGAAATATTGGCTATATGATCTCAACCCCATCCAGATCCTGCACAAAATCTGGACACAGCTGCAATGATTGAGTGCAAGTTCCCTCCATGGATACCATGGGTCTCTCCCACCCAGCACAGTATGATCAGCTCCCAGCAGGATCCAGACACACCTTGCTCTAGGGCAGGGCCTGCCTGATTAGCCACAGGTAATTCCCTGGATGCTTGTCCTTTCTTAGCCACCAAATACTCCAGCTCAACAAAGAGGGTAAGCTAGGATGCCAGGATGGCCCATTCCAAAGCTGAATACCCAGGAAGGGAGGACAGCCACATGCAAGGGAGGGAAAAGCATCCAACTAGAAGTTCCAACAAACACTAAGGTTGATAGAAGAGGCTCTAGGAGTGTATTCAGAGGTGTAGTCCGGTTCTATGCAAGGGGCGGGGAATGCAGCTGGGCCATTTGTCATTTGCTGAGGGATCTAGCACAAAAAAAAAGGCATCTCCATTTGACTACCTTCTCTGTATGCCACCGAGTCTTGTTCTCTCAACATCTTTTCATTATTGTCACATAACTCTCAAGTTGATATATTTCCATGAGTGCTTGTTGGAAAAGGTATTACTTTTGACACGCCTTTCACTGCTACTGTCTCACCGTCAGCTATCCTTCTGAGGATGTGACACATCATTATTATGGGGGTGTCCATGGCCTTGCCTCCTTGGCCAGCCTGCCAAAATGAAGCCTGTAATTGCCAGTCTAATTTCCCTTTCTTCTTCCTCTTCCCAAAGAGGGAGGATCCTTTCTTCTGAAGAAAGACAGGTCAAGTGACATAATAGAGAAATGGAGTTGAGGGGAGTGAGAGACAGGCAGCAGAAAGTGGGTATTTGGGGAGAGCTGGGATTATGAAGAGGTACATTCTGGGGCAGCTGGAGGTAAAATAGAAGTGGGAGACAAAGGCAATAGGTTTTATCATTATTTCTGTAATTTATGGAAGAGGATACTCTTTATATTTTTAAAGAAGTCTAAGCAAAAGTGACACCAGCAAGATGGCAGAGTAAGATGCCCTGGACCCTCCTTCCCCTCATAAACATACTGATTCAGCAAAAACTCACAGATAAATTCCATCTGTAAGAAATCCAGAAACTAACTGAAATGATCCTGGGCCCCAGGTAAACATGAAACCAAACTCACTGAAGCCAGCAGGGAGATTTGAGACACCTTCTTGCCAGAACTCTTATCACTGGCACAGTGCCATATGATCAGGGAAAGACTCCCTTCCTGCTCCCAGATTCTCCCAGGGGAAGGAAAGTGTTGGTTCACATGTCCATCACCCCAACTTTTTTGAGGGGGCTCCCCAGAGGTCTGGCTTTTATCTTGCCAGTCTCGGAGTTCTGACAGGTCTGGCACAGTCTAGCCCCCTAGAGAAGAATGAAGATGGCTGTTTTGACTGGTAGATGCTCAGCACAGAGTGAATGGACTAAAAATCCCAGCTTTCAGCTTCCCCCTGGGGAGGGAAACAGCGGATCCATGCATTCTATGCCCCAATTTCTCTAGGGCTTCTCAAAGAATTGGCATTTGTCCTGCCAGTCCAGGGGCTCTGATGGGGTCTGGCACAGTCTTGCTGCCTGGGGAAAAATAGAGATGGCAGTTTGGCCTGGTAGATGCTATAACTGCCTTCTCTCCCCCACTGGCTCAGCACAGAGTTAGCAGACAAAAACCACAGATACCTGCTTCTCCATAGAGAAGGAAAGAGTTGGTAAAGGTCCCCAGAATCTATGACTGGGCTAATTGGTATATGTACCTCTGATCAGGCTGTTTCTCCTGTACAAAGTCAGTCTGTGAAGACTGAGAGAGGTGCCTGCTTTGTCTAATGCCAAGACACTGACACAGAGTGTTAAGGAAAAATGAAGAGTCAGGCAAAGATGTTTCAAAGTATAATAACAAGGTAAATCTCCAGAAACCAACCCTAAGGAAATGGAGTTATATGATTTACCTGACAGATAATTCAAAATGACTGTCATAAGGATGCTCAGTTAGGTCAAGAGAACAATGCATGAACAAACTGAGAATTTCAACAGAGATAGAAAATATTTAAAAGTACCAAACATAAATAATGGAGCTGAAGAACATAACACTTGAACTGAAAAATTCACTGGAGGGATTCAGCAGCAGACTAGATAAAGCAGAGGAAAGGATCAGCTAACTCAAAGACAGGTCACTGGAAATAATTCAGTCAGGAGTAAGAAGAAAAAAAAGAATGAAAAAGAGTAAAGAAAGTTTACTGAACTTATGGGACACTATCAAGCAGACTAGTGGATGCATTATGGAAGCCCCAGAAGAAGAGAGAGAAAGGACCAGAAATATTACTCAAAAAATAATGGCTGAAAACTTTCCAAACTTGGGGGAAGAAAATGGACATGCAGGTCCAAGAAGCCTAAAGGACACCAAGCAAGATGAATCCAAAGCAATTCACACTGAGGTATGTTATTATTGAATTGCCAAAAGCCAAAGACAAGGAGAATTTTGAAAGCAGCAAGAAAACAGTGACTTGTCACATATAAGGGAACCTCTATAAGATTATCAGTGGAATTTTTAACAGAAACATTGCAGGCCAGAAGGGAGTGAGATGATATATTCAAGGGGCTAAAAGAAAATACTGACAATCAAGAATACCCAGCAAAATTGTTCTTCAGAAATGAAGGAGAGATAGAGACTTTCCCAGACAAACAAAAGCTGATGGAGTTCATCACCGCTAGACCCGCCTTAAAAGAAATGCTAAAGGGAATTCTTCAAGTTAAAGCAAAAGAATGCTAAACAGCAACACAGTGTTATATTAAAGTTTAAAACTCATTAGTAAAAGTAAATATACAGACAAATACAGAATACTTTATTACTGTAATGGTGGGGAGTATATCACTTTTAATTCTAGCATAAAAGTTAAAAGATAAAAATATTTAAAATAACTATAACTAAAAATATGTTAAAGGAGTCATGATATGAATAGATGTAAACTGTAACAGCAATAACATGAAATGTGGGAGAGGAATTAAAAGTGTAGGATTTTTGTATGCAATTGAGTTTAAGTTGTTATCAGCTTAAGATATTCTAGATAAGCCCCCAGGAAATACCTATAGAAGTTACAAAAGAGAGAAAAGAATCAAATCATATTGTTTTAGTACCAGTTCTCCAGAGAAACAGGATGACATATGCATGCACACACACTCATATACATGTAATACACATTCATGTGTGTGTGTGTGTGTGTGTGTGTGTGTGTAGAGAGTGAGAGACTGAGATTGATTATGAGGAATTGCTTATGCAATAATGGAGGTTGAGAAGTCCCATAATCTGCCATATGGAAAATAGAAACCCTAGAGAGCCAGTGATATAATTCAGTCTGAGTCTGAAGACCTGAACACTGAAGATGTAAATCCCAGTTGAGGGATAAGGGATAAGCACACATTCAGGAAGCAAAAGAGGCAATTCCTCCTTTCATCTTTGTTATATTCAGGCCCTCAATGAGTTGGATGGTGCCCAACCACATTAGGGAGGAAAATCTACTTTACTAAATCAATTTTTGTTTGAGTGGGTCATGGGGTACCCAGGAAGGTGTAGGACTTCTTAAGCATTTCTTGTAGCCAGTCTTCTTCAAGGAAAAGTCTAAACTTGTGGTTTCGAGAGGAAGTAGAAATATTACTCAAAAAATGGAATGGGAACATTCATTCCTCCAGTAGCTTTGGCACTATCAGGTTAATGATTTCCTAAATCCAATGGCATTTCTATGGTATTTTCCTACCTACTTAGATGGGTTTTCTTACCAATATAATGCAAGCTCATTGTATAGAATTTGAAAAAGAGAGAAGGCAAATAAGAAAACTTACATGACTACTAAATAAATATTAAATAATAAATTTTCTTTTGTTTTCTTTTCTTTTCTTTTTCTTTTTTTTTTTTTTTTTTTTTTTTGAGATGGAGTCTAGCTCTGTCACCCAGGCTGGAATGCAGTGGCGCAATCTTGACTCACTGCAACCTCCACCTCTCGAGTTCAAGTGATTCTCCTGCCTCAGCCTCCCAAGTAGCTGGGATTACAGGCGCCCACCACCATGCCCAGCTAATTTTCGTATTTTTAGTAGAAAAGGGGTTTCACTGTATTAGCCAGGCTGGTCTCGAACTCCTGACCTCATGATCCCCCGACCTCAGCCTCCCAAAGTTCTGGGATTACAAGTGTGAGCCACCACACCTAGCCTAAAATAGTATTTTCTATTGCTCATGCATTTTGATGTTATTTGCTGCCATTGATCTTTGTTTGTTTGAGACAGAGGCTTGCTCTGTCGCCCAGGCTGGAGTGCAGTAGCACAATCTTGGCTCACTGCAACTTCCACCTCTTGGGTTCAAGTGATCCTCCTGCCTCAGCCTCCCGAGTAGCTGGGATTACAGGCACCCGCCACCACGCCCAGCTAATTTTTTGTATTTTTAGTAGAGATGGGGTTTCACCATGTTAGCCAGGCTGGTTTTGAACTCCTGACCTCAAGTGATTTGGCCTCCCAAAGTGCTAGGATTACAGGTATGAGCCACCATGCCCAGCCTGTTGCCATTGATATATATATATAATTTTATTATATACATACATAGTTTTATTATGTATATATAAATTATTTTTTATATATAATTATTTTATATATATATATAAAACAATGTATACACACACACACACACACACACACACAATTTTGTAATAAGCACCACCTAACATGGTGCCTGACAAAAGTAGTGGCTAAATAAATATTTTCTAAATAATAAGTGTTTTCACTAATAAATCATGAGTATTTTTTTGCATTTTAATGGCTGCGTAGTATTCATTCCTTCACATGGACATACCATGATTTATTCCAGTTGTTAGGTAAGTTATTTCAACTGTTAAATATTATGAACAATGCTAGAATAAACATTCTCATAGGTACATATGTGCACACACATCCACTTTGATTTACCCACATTCTCTTTCTGGAAACAACACTCTTGACATTGGGCACACCCATCTCTCATGGCTCCCCAAATTCTGATTGTGGGTGGTCTTTGGAGAGTTATCTTTTCTCCAATCTTCTCACTCTTCACTCTCTCCTTAGCTGACCTCAGCTCCAAGCACCATGTGTGTACTAACTGGTCTGCAGCTGACTTTCAGATCCCTGCCTCCAGCCCAGACCTCTCTCCTATGCACTGGCTAATTACTGGATGTCTCCACTTAGGTGTCCCACAGGGACCTCAAACAACATGTCTGAAACCGAAGGCTCCCCTGCTTACCTTACTCCCTCCAAGACCTCCCACATGACCATTTATCTCATTAACATTATCTCAGTGGTCAATGCTGCTGTGATTCCCAGACACCCAAGCTCCCAAACTGGGGACTGTCCTGGACCAATCTTCACCCAGTTGTAGACAAACCCTTCAGCTTCTCCCTCTTAAATCTCTCTGCTGTTCCCTTGTCTCAGCCTCCACTGCCACTGACCTAGTTTCAGCCTCATTATCCCCCCTGAATTAATACAATAGCCTCCTAAGCTGTCCATCCTCCAACTCTGATTACAACCCACAATCCCCTGCTTGACATCTTTCCACCAGCTTTTCGCAACTTCAATATCAGTTCTTGGGCAGGGCATGTCTGTGGTATGTCCTCTGCCTATCTCTTCGGTCTCTATCGCCACTACTCCCCTCTCCAACATGGGATCAACCTATAATAGAGCTTTTATTCAGTGTGCTTCAAATATTTGTTTACATTACATATATCTCTCCCTAGACTTGAGGACGGGGAAGTCTCACTCATATTTATACTCCAGCATGCAACACAGTTAAACCTAAGGAAACAAAGCCTTAACAAAGGCACTTGGAAGATCTGCGTTCTCCCCATCAATGGCAACTACTGGTGACAAGGAAGGAAGCTATGGGTGCTGTCTTCTAGGGAGTCTTCTCAGGGCAGGCAGGACCTCACTTCCAGGACTCACCTGGCCTGGTCACCTGTGGGTGGAGACAGGGCCTGACATTCATGAAATCTCCTTTATGTCCAACCCTTCAGAAGCTTCTTTTGATGCCAAGGGGCCCAACTCAGAGCCCACATCTCTATGTCTATGACCTCCTACATTATTTTTGTCTTGGTAATGAAATTTCCAACAATGTAATACTCACCGAAATAGAGCTTCATAGGGATGTTCCTATACTTAGACAGTAAAAACAAATGAGAATAGGGTAGAGGAAAAGGAGAAGCATGAAGTTTAACTCCTTAGAGCCCATCAAGACCTTGAAGCCCTTTAAGACAAAATTTCCATAGTTGCAAATGCTGGGGGAACTGATGCTTACCTGCTCCATGTAAATTCCTCTTTGCAGCCCAGATGGCTGGAGCTCTTTGCTATGCATGGGAGGGAACCACACAAATGTGTTAGATCTGAAGCAGGGGTTTGCAAATTATGGCTTGCTGGCCAAATCCTACCCACCATCTGTTTTTGTATGGTCCATGAGCTAAGAATGCTTTTTACATTGTTAATGAATGAAAAAAAAAAAAAGAATATTTCACGGCCACAAAAATGGCATGAAATTCAAATTTTGGTGTCCATGAATAAAGTTATATTGGAACACAGTCACATTCATTTACATATGGTTTATGGTGGATTCCACACGAGAATGGCAGAGTTGAGTAGTTATAACAGAAACCATGTGACCTGCAAAGTCTAAAAGTTTTACCATCACGCATTTTCCAGAAAAAGGTTGCCAACCCCTGATCTGAAGTACCAAACACCTGTGAATAACAGAAAACTAAAGATGCAAAATGCAGGCCAAATAAAGTTAGTGAGAGCAGTGATTCCTTTATTTCATCTAAGAATTCATTCATAGTCATGTGCCACATAAGGACGTTTTGGTCAATGATGGACCGTATATACGATGGCGGTCTCATAGGGTCCCACACCCTATTTTTAGTGTACCTTTTCTACGTTTTAGTAAGTTTAGATACACAAATACTTACCAGTGTATCACAACTGCCTACAGTATTCAGTGCAGGTTTGTAGCCTAGGAAAAATAGGCCATACTATACAGTTTAGGTGGGTAGTGAGCTATACCATCTAGGTTTGTGGAAGTAAAATCTATGATGTTCACAAAATGATGAAATCGACTAACGATGCATTTCTCAGAAGGAATCCGTGTCGTTAAGCAACACATAACTGTACTTCACTTGTATCCTTTTCTCCCAAAACATCACTTTAGTTGTAACACTCAAGGATATTTCAAATAATCATTACAGACATCCTGCTTACCCATATTCTCTTGGCTCCATATGTGTAGATATAGATATATTTTTTCACTTTTAACATAGTAAATACAGGCACCTAATTTTAAAAAATCAAATAGTGACAAACAGAAGTTTTATAATCTAAGCAAGAGTTCTTTGTCTTTCTCCCTCCCACCTCCTCTCTTAAAGAGACAATCACTTATGTCTTTTTGCTATTTCTTTGGTAGTTACTTGATAAAAAATTGTGCTTAAATTGTTCCTTCTTGATAGATGAATTTTGATGTTATCTAATCTTTGTTATGACAGATGAAGATTTAACTCATACTTCTCCTTCCTCCCAAGATAAAGGTTATCTCACAACAATTTTTAGTTAACTGAGTAATCAGTACTTACATTATGATTATGCAAATAACTTCTCACCACAGGGGCAAGTGGTAGCTCACGGTGACCTTTTTTTTTTTTTTTTTTTTTGAGAGAGGGTTTCACTCCTGGTCAAGCGATCCTCCTGCCTCGGCCTCCACATAGCTGGGACTACAGGCACATGCCACCACACCTAGCTAATTTTTAAAATTTTTTTGTGAAGATGAAATCTCATTACGTTGCCCAGGCTGGTCTGGAACTCCTGGCCTCAAGCAATCCTGCATTCTCAGCCTCCCAAAGTGCCACGGTTATCTTTCTAATTTATACTCCTTTTTGTTTTGTTCCATGTATCTGAAAGCTTTAGAAGGGGGAATGCTGTCCTGGTACCATCAGAAGTTCTAGGTCTCCAAATAATGATCTTCCCCAAATTCAGTACATTATCAGAGCAATTACATATTTAGAAAAGAGATTATGCAGCACAGATATTGCTTTAAAAATAAAAGGTCTGTTCAGAATTATAGGAATGTGAGTCTGAACTTTCCTTCCAAGTCGTAATGCCTCACTGTGGCTTTTACAGAAGGCAGAGTCTGGAATTTTTGCTTCCACTCCTAAGGGAAAGAGTAAAAAGAAAAGGGTGAGGCAGGCAGTTCTGCATCCCTCATTTCGTTGGCTTACACAACACTTTATCAAGAACAAATTCCCCCAAATGTCCATTCTCCAGTCTCTAAAAGTAAGAGAGTAATGAACGCTGTGACTCCCAGTCCACATGTATCCCTAGATGTGATGCTAACTAATGCTTTGAAGGATTCTCAGCCAGAACCAACCAACTGCTCCTGCCTAACCTCAGAACTTTGATCAGCATGAGCCCAAGAGATAAAAGTGGACAGTGGATCAGAATCTGATCTACCTAAGTTGGGTGCAGTGGTGCATGCCTGTGGTCCCAGCTACTTGGGAGGCTGAGGTGGGAGGATTACTTGAGCTCAGGAGTTCAAGACCAGCCTGGTCAACATAGCAAGACCCCATCTCTAAAAAAAAAAAAAATGAATCCAATGTACTCTTGGTGGAAAGACTCTACAAATTTATTTATTTATTAGTTTGTTTATTTTTATAATTTCAACTTCTATTTTAGATTCAGGGTGTACACATGCAGGTTTGTTACATGGGTATATTATGTGATGCTGAGGTTTGGGGTATGATTGATCCTGTCACCCAGGCACTGAGCATAGTACCCATCATTAGTTTTTCAACCTTTGCCCCCCTTAGTTGTCCCCAGTATCTATTGTTGCCATCTTTATATCCCGAGTATCCAATGTTTAGCTCCCACTTATAAGTGAGAACGCAGAGTATTTGGTTTTCTGTTCCTGTGTTAATTTCTTAAGAGAATGGCCTCCAGCTGCACTCATGTTGTTTCAAAGGACATGATTTCATTCTTTTTTATGGCTGTGTAGTATTCCACGGTGTATATGTGCCACGTTTTCTTTATCTAATCCACCAGTGATGGGCATCTAGGTTGATTCCATGTCTTTGCTATCATGAATAGTACTGTGGTGATCATATGAGTGCATGTGTCTTTTTGGTAGAATGATTTATTTTCTTTTGGATATATGCCAGTAATGGGATAGCTGGATTGAATTAGTTCTGTTTTAAGTTCTTTGAGAAATCTCCAAACTGCTTTCCACAGTGGCTGAACTAATTTACATTCCCACCAGCAGAGTATAAGCGTTCCTTTTCTACACAGCCTAGCCAGCATCTGTTGTTTTTTGACTTTTTAATAATAGCCATTCTGACTGGTGTTAGATGATATTTCATTGTGGTTTTGATTTGTATTTTTCTGTTGATTAGTGATGTGGAGTGTTTTTTCATATGTTGTTGGCTGCTTGTATGTCATCTTTTGAGCAGTGTCTGTTCATGTCCTTCACGCATTTTTAATTGGGTTATTTGTTTTTTGCTTGTTCAATTGTTGAAGTTCCTTATAAAATCTGGATATTAGAGCTTTGCTTAGTGCAGTTTGCAAATATTTTCTTCCATCCTGTAGGTTGTTAGTTTACTCTGTTGATAGTTTTTTTTTTTTTTTTTTTTTTTTTTTTGCTGTGCAGAAGCTCTTTAATTAGCTCCTACTTGTCCATTTTTGTTTTTGTTGCAATTGCTTTTGAGAATTTAGTCATAAATTCTTTTCCAAGGCTGATGTCCAGAATGGGGTTTCCTAGGTTTTCTTCTAGGATTCTTATAGTTTGAGGTCTTACATCTAAATCGTTAATACATCTTGAGCTAATTTTTTTTTTTTTTTTTTTGAGATGGAGTTTTGCTCTTGTTGCCCAGGCTGGAGTGCAATGGCGTGATCTCTGCTCACTGCAACGTCTGCCTCCCAGGTTCAAGCAATTCTCCTGCCTCAGACTCCCAAGTAGCTGGGATTACAGGCATACACCACCACGCCCAGCTAATTTTGTATTTTCAGTAGAGACGGGGTTTCTCCCTGTTGGTCAGGCTGGTCTCGAACTCCCGACCTCAGGTTATCTGCCCGCCTCAGCCTCCCAAAGTGCTGGGATTACAGGCGTGAGCCACGGCGCCCGACCAGTGGAGCTAATTTTTATATGTGGTAAAAGATAGGGGTCGAGTTTCATTCTATTTATGGCTATACAGCTATCCCAGCACAATTTATTGTACAGAGATTCTGTTCCTCGTTGCTTATTTTGGTTGACTTTGTTAAAGATCAGATGGCTGTAGGTGTGCAGCTTTATTTCCGGGTTCTCTATTCGGTTTCATTGGTCTATGTGCTTGTTTTTTGTTTGTTTGTTTGTTTCATTTTGTTTTTTTGAGAGAGGGTCTCACTCCCATTGCCTAGGCTGGAGTGCAGTGGTGTGATCACAGCTCACTGCAGGCTTGACTTCACAGTCTCAGGTGATTCTCCCACCTCAGCCTCCTGAGTAGCTGGGATCACAGGCGTGCACCACCACAGCCAGCTACTTTTTTGTATTTTTCATAGTGACGGGTTTCACCATGTTGCCCAGGCTGGAATCATGTGATCTCCCCACCTCAACCTCCCAAAGTGCTGGGATTACAGGCAGGAGCCACCGTGCCTGGCTATGTGTCTGTTTTTGTACCATACCATACAGTTTTAGCTACTGTAATCTTATAACATAGTTTGAAGTCAAGTAATGCCTCTGGTCTTGTTCTTTTTGCTTAGGATTGCTTTGGCTATTTGGACTCTTTTTTGGTTCCATAGAAATTTTGGCATAGTTTTTTCTAGTTCTGTGAAAAATGGCATTGGTAGCTTGATAAGAATAGTGTTGACTCCATAGATTGCTTTGGGCAGTATGGCCATTTTAACAATATTGATTCTTCTGAACCATGGGCATGGGATGTTTTTCCACTTGTTTGTGTCATCTATGATTTGTTTCATCAGTGTTTTGCAGCTCTCCTTATAGAGGTCTTTCATCTCCTTAGTTAGATGTATTCCTAGGTATTTTATTTTTTGTGGCTGTTGTAAATACAATTGCATTCTTGATTTGGCTCTCAGCTTGAACATTATTGGTGTACAGAAATGCTACCAATTTGTTTTCACTGATTTTGTATCCTGAAACTTTACTGAAGTCGTTTATCAGTTCCAGGAGCCTTTTAGTGGAGTCTTTATGGTTTTCTAGGTATAGAGTAATATTGTCAGTGAAGAGATAAATTGACTTCTTCTTTTCCTACTTGCCTGTCTTTTCTTTCTCTTGCTTGATTGCTCTAGCTAGGACTTCCAGGACCCTAAAAATTGCAACCAAAACTTCATGTGATCATTTTGCATACTTTGGGTTTAGAGCTAATAAACAAGAGCTTTCTTATGACAAACAATGCTGCAATGAATAATCTTGTATACAAATGTCACCTTCACACACACACATATATATATAAATACATCTAGAGGATAAATTCCCCAAAGAATTACTGGGGCAAATGATATAGGCATTTATTGTTGTTTTAAATAGCAAATATATATATACAGGGTCTTTTATAATCTGATCTTCTGTGTTTATACTCTCTGTGACTTCTAGATCTAAAATGTGCACAACTACATGGCTAAAATTCAATTGCGTCCTCCATGTATCATGTGTGTTAACTTTTCCAGGCTAAATGAGAATTGATTTATTATAAACTGTATTTCTGACTGAAGTACCTCCCATGCTATGTTTGCCTGAGGACAGAGCCTTCTAATTCTACCTGTCGTCTACCACTCTACCCCCACACTGTTTCTATCCGCTGTATTCCAGGTTCATCCTCCATACTGCTGTTTATAATCGCCTCAACTCCAACTTTAGTAATGCTCTACCTTTAGCAAAAATGATGGCTTATAATGAAAAGCAGGTCCACAGTGACTTCACTTTAGACCAGGAAGAATTCTGACCCCACAAAGGGAGCCAGCCTAAATGCCAGGGTGTCGTGGGTTACCCGGACCACTGCCAAGCAGAAGGAATATACTCATTTCTCAGAGAGAGATATTGAGAGGGCTCCTTCTCTCAGAGATCACCTCTACCTAAAGAAAATAAAATTATTTTTCATTGAACTGTACTTAGAAAAGGTAAGTATCCTTTGACTTAGATAAAATCCCTTTTAGAAATAACTTTAGCAAAACCTTCCAGTCTGCTCTTAGCCAGAAAACCCTATTAAGCAAAATACAATTGTCTCAACCCCACAAGTAGTGTTCCTGAAAGTTAGTACCAGCTTTGTTAAAGATAGAAGGCTGCATGCTTCTTGCATTTGGCAGGGTTCATGATTTGATTTTCACTGAAAACAATGTTTTGAAGTATTGGACAAGCAGAGAAATGAAAGAAACATCTGCCTCATTTCTTCTAGGAGAATATTTGCAATACACTTTGAGGCCAAATTTGACAATACATGTATTAAAAGACTTTAACAGAAAGCTAGACAGTGAAAACATTGGCCACCTAGTAATATATTTTTTAAATGATACTCAATGCTGGCAGGGTAGTATGAATTAGTTATATCTTGCTAGACAGAAATTTGGAATATGTATTGAGAGTCTTTTTGGCTGGGTGCAGTGGCTCATGCTTGTAATCCCAGCACTTTGGGAGGCCGGAGGCAGGCAGATCACTTGAGGCCAGGAGTTTGAGACCAGCCTGGCCAACATGGTGAAACCCCATCTCTACTAAAAATACAAAAATTAGCCAGCTGTGGTGGTGCATGCATGTAATCCCAGCTACTCCGGGAGGCTGAGGCACAAAAATTGCTTGGCCTTGGGAGGTGGAGGTTGCAGTAAGCTGAGATCGCGCCACTGCACTCCAGCCTGGGTGACAGAGGGAGACTCCATCTCAAAAAAAAAAAAGAGTCTTTTTAAAATGTGAAGGGGCTGAGGGTGAGTGGTGTGGTTATAGTAAGGCAACGCGATAGATCCTGTGGTATTGGAACTGTCAGCATCTTGACTATGGTGGGGGATACATAGACCTGTACGTTGCAAAGAAATTAATCACACATGCAAGTGAGTACAAGCAAAACTGGACAAATCAGAATGAGATTGGTGTATTATATCAATGTCAATATCCTGGCTGTGATATTGCACCATCGTTTGGCTAAATGTTCGCACTGGGAAAAACCCAGCAAAGTACAGAAGTGAACTCTGTGTAGTATTTCTTCTAACTGTAGTATTTCTTCATACAGTTATCTCAATAAAAGTTTCCGTGTAAAACTGTGAATCTGCCAAGATAAGTGAGGTGCAAAGTTACCCCTGGGTGAGAGAAAAAATTAATTTGTGTGCTACAAAATTTTAGGTGTAAGACAGTTACAATATGAGGACAGTTGCACAGCACAGGGCCAGGGTGGGGGTTGTAAATAGCCCACCTGAGTCTGTCCTTTGTTACTTAGGGAGGGGAAGACAGAAAGACGGGTGACTTTTTTGTCCCAATAAATCTATACCTAAAAGCCTATCCTTTGGAAATAGAGATGTCCACTGCAGTGTTATTTATAATAAGAAAAAACTGGAAACAACATGACAGCCCATCATTATGAAAATAATCAATACATGTGACATTTATACCATGGAACATCATGTAGCCATTTAAACAAAGATACAAGATAAGGGAGGGAATGACTGTGAGGACTTTAGAGTATCCAAAGTATTACACATAGTTACACAGAATAAGGAGGGACAAATGGAAGAAAACACATCAAAGTGAACTCTAGGAAGAAATGTAAGGCAATCTGGGAAAAGGTAAATGCAGAATATGATATGATATCAAGTAATGGTTGTAACTTTGGGGGGGATGTGATAATGTGCGGGGATTTTATTTAAGTCCTTACCCCTTATCCATTAGTGATACATAGTGAAATAAATACCGATGAAATGATAGACTGTCTGGATGGATTTGCTTTAAATATTCCAGAAGCATCCAGATATTATTTGCACAATTTTAAAAGCAAGTAAAATAAAACAAATGTCAACAGCAGTTATTTTCTGAACTATGCAATTGGGTAACTGGTCTTTTTATTTATACTTCACTGTTTTCTAAGGTTTTTTCCTTTTTTTTTTCGAGATAGAGTCTTTCTCTGTAGCCCAGGCTAGAGTTCAGTGGCACAATTTTGGCTCACTGCAAACTCCACCTCCCGGGTTCAAGCGATTCTCCTGCCTCGGCCTCCTGAGTAGGTGGGACTACAGGTGCCTGCCACCACGCCCAGATAATTTTTGTATTTTTAATAGAGATGGGGTTTCACCATGTTGGCCAGGCTGGTGACTCCTGACCTCACGTGATCTGACCTCAGGTGATCTGCCCACCTCAGCCTCCCAAAGTGCTGGGATTGCAAGTGTAACCCACTGTGCCTGCCCATTTTCTAAGTTTTCTATGATTAACAAGTATAAAAAAATGAGATGGAGGAGGAAAAAAGTAGGATATGTTTAGAGGTATCAGACCAGAGAAATAAGTTATTTATACACAGGCAATTGCAGCAGTGATTATATTAATCTGGAGACAGTCCCTTTTAAGGGACAATTTACCTTTAGACTTATCAGCTGAGTGGTTGCAGATGCCCTTAACCAGGGACGATAGAAACGATTGTTCACAGAGTGATCCACACAGCTGTTCTCCTGCCCAAATTGCCTGGGAAGGAGCTACTGGCTTCCTGTTGGGTTCTGTGGGTCTGAATTTTTGTATCTTAGGCTAGTCATTCTTAACTGAGGGAGCCCACCAGAATAACCAAGGGCAATTTTCTTTTTCAAACTATAATTACAAATACTGAATAGTTCCTCACAGGGTACAGAAACATTGTCTAAAAGTTCCCTAGGTGATTTGGATAGGCACACATGGCCAATAGTCCCTCATTTAAATAAACGTGTGTGCGTGTGTGTGTGTGTGTGTGTGTGTGTGTGTGTGTAAATATGCCTTAAATATTTGGGGAAGTATATGTAAGAAAGTGGTAAAGTGGGCCAGGCGCAGTGGCTCACGCCTGTAATCCCAGCACTTTGGGAGGCCGAGGCAGGCGGATCACCTGAGGTTGGAAGTTCGAGACCAGCCTGGCCAACATGGTAAAACCCAGTCTCTACTGAAAATACAAAGTTAGCCGGGTGTGGTGGCGCATGCCTGTAATCCCAGCTACTTGGGAGGCTGAGGCGGGAGAACCGCTTGAACCTGGGAGGCAGAGGTTGTGGTGAGCCAAGATCACGCCATTGCACTCCAGCCTGAGCAACAAGAGCAAAAACTGTGTCTCAAAACAAACAAACAAAAAAGTGGTAAAGTGGTGGCTTTGGGGAAAAGAACTGGGCAGCTGGGGATGGAAAGGGAGAGAGACTTTTCAAGGCATATCCTTTTGTGCTTTTCACATTATATGCAAGTGCATATATTACCTATTCAAATAACGTGAAAAGTGAAAGAAAAAAACAAATTTTAAAAGAGCCCCTGCTTGAAACACTCAGTTTGCCAGAATCTGCTTTTCTTTTGCTAAGGTGGTCAAAGTTCTGTAAGGAGGACACATTTTTCTTTTGCAGATGATTTTGCTAAAAAAAAAAAAAATTCAGAGAAAGCATCTAATGACTTTGAAAGAACACCAGAATAAACATAATGGATTTTACATTCTGATAGTTACACAAACTCCTCACCAGTTTAGAGTTACACCTTCTACCATTAGGAAGTACATAAAGTCAGCCTACATGCAGGAGACAAAGATTTTCATTCTGCCATGAAAGTAAAGAATTTCATTAAATATCTCTGATGATAGCAGCTGCCTGGCTTACTTGGGAGCAGAGGTGAAGGTAAATGTTTCCTTAATTATTTTGTGATGTTTGAATTTTGTGCTAACCACAGAATTACCAGTTTTTATTTATTTTTTTTAATTTGAGCATTTAAGACAGTGTGATTACATGGAACTACAAGGTGACCATCTCACACTCCTATAATCACTCCCAGCAGCACCTTTGAGTTCAAAGGGCAAAGGTGATAGTATACATCTTCAAATATGTGGGGGCACAGAGTGACAGAGGGCACCTGGAAAAGATTAACCAGCTACAATGGGAGCCAGAGGTAACCTAAGGGGCTGGGCCCACTGGTTAACAGAAAGGTCAACAGAAGCAGAGTCCAGGGAGCAACATCACCTCTTTAACCCAGTGTGGGTGACGCACATCATTTGACCCTCCCTGACACCCAACTCACTTATAAAATGGAAATACTCAATTAGCTGGGCACTGTAGCATGTGTCTATAGTCCCAGCTACTTGGGGGGCTGAGGCAGGAGGATCGCTTGAGCCAGGGAGGTAGAGGTTGCAGTGAGCTGTGTTCATGCCACTGCACTCCAGGCTGAGCAACAACAGAGCAAGATACTGCCTCAAAAAAAAAAAAAAAAAAAAAAAAAAAAAAAGAAAGAAAGAAAAAATATATATTCTTCCTTATAACAAGTCTTCCAGATTCGGTGTTGGGTACACACACACACATACATACACACACACACAGAAAATCTGGAAGATTTGTTTTCCATCCCCCAAACACTAAAATGCAGGAAACAAATTATGAGTTCTCAGAGCTCAGGGTTTCATGTTGATTTTAATGTCCTGTTTTGTGTGTGTTCTAGTTAAAAAGACAATGAGAATTCATTGTTGGCTTGTCTATACTTCAAGTGCACGTGATACTTTTTATTCATAATTATTTTTTAAATATATTAAATTTATATGGAAATTCTGTTAGAGTCAAGTGCTGACTCCACCAACCCCTTCATTAAGAGGTGATTCTGACAACTGTTAAGCAAGAGAAGGTCAGCTAAGATTTGGATAAGACTTCAAATACTCCTTGATCACATGCAAATCAACTTTCAGAAATGAGACTTCAGGCAAGAAATTTTGCTCTGAGATTAGTTGTCTTGGGCCGGGCACAGTGGCTCAGCACTTTGAGCTGAGTGTAGTCTTAGCACTTTGGGAGGCCAAGGCGGGTGGATCACTTGAGGTCAGGAGTTCGAGACCAGCCTGACCAACAGGGTGAAACCCTGTCTCTACTAAAAATACAAAAATTAGCTGGGCGTGGTGGAGGGCATCTTTAATCCACTACTCGGGAGGCTGAGGCAGGAGAATTGCTTGAACCAGGAGGTGAAGGTTGCAGTGAGCCAAGATCATGCCACCGTACTCCAGCCTGGGCGACAGAGCGAGACTCTGTCTCCAAAAAAAAAAAAAGAGAGAGCAAAAGAAAGATTAGTTGTCTCTAATTGGTTAAAGGTACTTGAAAGTTCAAAGGTACAAACTGAAACAGTCAGGTTGCTTCCTCTCTCTGGTTAGACTTGTTCAATCTGCAAATGGAAATTCCTTTAAAATTTCCCAAATTGAGAGGAGCGGAAGCCACTGTGTGGGCCCACAAGAGACTGTCATCTGTCCAGATACAGACGTCAAAGGCCGTTCTTCCCAAGCAATCAGGAACGCAGTTGAGGCTGGCAGCAGTGAAGCCAAAGAGAGACAGAGACCAAAACCCACCTCCAGCCAAAACTGGTTGAGCAGCTGCTAGGAGACCAATGACCAGATGACCAATACGGACCAATAATTCTGAGGTCCCTGATAGAACCAGAATGGTTTTAAGCTGATTTTTATTTACTAGCTTTTTTTTTTAATTCGGTTTATCCCCCTTGGTTTTAGAAGTAAAATGTCCTTGCAAAGAGAAAAGTTTCCATAAAGAATTTTGTCAGTCTAGATAGAATGACTGTAAAAATTATCACTACACATATAATGGGAAACTCCACAAAAAAACAAATTAGAAAAAAAGAAATCTCATTTATTTGTTCAGTACATTTTTGAATGTGAAAGGATCCAGGAAAAGGAGGAAGAATAAAAAATGCATTCTAAAATCAGGGAAAATCAATAGCCTGAGAGGAAGTTGTACATACACACACCCAGGCATTTCATCACAGGACTCCCTCCACACAACCTTCCCAATGCTCACCGGCAGCCAAACCACATTTCTCTGGGCAGCACAGTCAGTTCCAGATTGAAAGGATTTCTCAAAAGGTCAGAGTTGTGGACATATTGCTCAAAACAAACAGGAGAATGTAGAAATAAGAGGAAAAGTGGATAGGTGCATTAGGGCTGTGTAATGCAGGTGCCAGGAGTTATCCTACCAGGACCCACAAGCAAGTCATAGCTGCACTGCTAGGGAGGGAATAAAGGGAGCTGCTTAAATGCAAGACGCAGTGTGTCTTCCTTCACCACCCTTTGTCGGCCAGAGCCTGATATTCATACTCAGGATGTCATGAAAATGTAATTGATGAGGTCGAGGAGCCGGGGGGAAGAAACCCAAGTACTCCTACTGTCCAACCCAATGGAATTCCCCATGGGTAGGCCCTCAAAGTGATGCCAATTACTGTGAGATTCATTGTTTTCACTTCTGTAATAACCTTTCCACCTTAACCAAAATCTTGGCAGCCAAGGAATCCACCAAGCTGAAGCCAAAGGCAGCATGTTTTAAAATGGAAGCCTTGCCCAAAAAGGACACACTCAGAAAAAAGCAATGAATTCTATTCTGTACCTGGGGAATGGCTCTAAGTTACAAAGCCAAGGAGAGCTATGTTCCAGTTAAAAGCCAGACAGAACCAGACCAAGCTAGGCTGCCCAGGAGTAGGGGTTTAGGGACGTGGAGAAGTGTTGTGGCAAAGAACCCTTCTTTTCCCTGTTTAGCTGGAGTTTGACCTCATTTGGACAGCCACAGACATTCCAGCAACCAGACAGTTCCTGGAATAAACACGGGGCTTCTCCAAAACAAGTGACCAGATAAATTTTAAGGAAAACAGAGGAGGGAGTGGAAAGAGAACATATAAGATTCTTAAGAGACTTAAATCAACCTGTTGCAATGTGTGGATCTCGTTTGTACCTTGATTCAAATAAACTACTAAAAACTACACAACAGTAGGGGAAAATCTAGATATTTGAATTGACACTAATTTTTAGTGTGATAATGGATGTATTTGATCATATATTTCTTTACCTGATTCCACTTTATTTAGATAATCTGAAATATTTATGGATGAAATAATGCCTGGGATTTGCTTTGCAATAATCTGGTCAGATGGGTATAGAGGAAAACAAGATGGCGCCATTGAGTTGAGACTTCTTGAAGCTGGGTGATTAGTACACAGGGGTTCATGTGCTCATCTCTCTACTGATGTGCATGTTTCATTTTCTGTAACAAAAATTAAAAGAAGGCAAGGGCCTCTGGGAGGGTGAGGAGTCAGGTACTCACACTTCCCCTTGATCTCTTGAGACTTCTTCTTCTCTCCATCAGCAGGAGGACCCATGCCTGTGATGATGAATCCAGGTGCTCTGTTTTGACAGAAAGGCTTCTTGAAAACCTTTCATGTCTGCAACTGCTCTTCCACTAAGTGAAAAGGAACTTGGCCAATCAATCTTCGGTGACAAAACTCAGAAGCAGCAACTCGGGCTTAGCTGAGCAGCTCATCGTTTTATTGACACCTATGAGTGGTGGTTCTAGGAATGTTTTATGCCAGTAAGCATTCCTACTTTGATAAGATTTGCTACCCAACGGTCCACAGGGTCCCACAAGGAGCAGCAGGCCCCAGTACTTGGACATGCTGGCCACCAGTGAGGGCAGGGGCGGCCTCTGCCTGTGGGCAGCACGGAATGGGGAGGAGACCATTAGCAAGAGGGAAAGGAGGTTGTTGGGCATGGGACAGAAGAGCAGCACAAAACCCCTTGCACTAACTGGAAGTTTTGCCCTGGGCAGGCTCTTCCTAGAAGAGGGAAGGAAACCCTTTTCCACTCCCTGCCCCAGCCTACTCTTCCTTCCCCAACAGCTCCCACGTAGGAAACAGTGCCAGTTCCCAGGGGGCTGAAGTTACCTACTAAGCATTAAGACAACAGGGACATGAGGGCCACTCAGATTCCTGACTCTTATCCCAGACCTCCTCCTCCCATTACCTCAAGACAGTGAGGACGGTAAGACTCCAACCAAATACCAAGGAGAAACTGTCAGAACCTGGGGTTACTTCGTACTATAATGGAGATTAGTATTCAAATAGCTTTGATGGCTGGGAGAAGCCCTTATGATGTCTTTGCTGAAACAGAATACAGCCAAAATAATCAAGTTATTTAAATATTTATAGTGGTGGTTGAAAAAGAAACAACTTTCACAAGAACAAAGTTACAATAGTTTAATAATTTAAATAGGACCACCTTCAGGAACATACATACTCATACATAAAATTAAACAATTTAATTTTGAACAGTGTATTGAAATACATCAAATTCTTAAAAATCCCCCAAATGGACTCAAGATCATGGATATGAAAAGGTAATTTTGAAGTACTAAAGACTAGAGTAAAACAGACAAAGTCATTACTTTGCATTTACTAATAAGACAACAGCCTGTGGATACATTAGACCTTTATAAGAACACTTCTAGGAAATGTTAGAACAACGAGTCATTAAAAAGGAATATAAATGAGTTCATAAAGATAAATGTATAGCTGACAATTTCTTTGGTCCTCGAAGTCACACTTGTTTTTACTTTAAAATGCCAAACATGAGTTGAGTGCTCAGAATTCTACCTATAAATGTCTAAATATTAAGCAGGCTAATGTTTATACTGGGCTAGATTTAAAAAGGTACTCAAGCCAACCATCACTGTACTTAAACTCCAGAAAGAAAAAGCTAGGAAACAGAAGTAGAGAGGAATGGAAAAAAACAAAAAAACCCAATACCTCTGCCATCTTGCCCCATCATAACCCAAATAGCATCAAAGTGGCAGAGATGGGACTAAAGTTAAAGCAAGCATCAAAGTTATTACTTTTAGGGTAATGGGATGAATTTGAAGAGCACTATGTCAACCAAATACTAAACTTCATGGAATAACTGTGTTTGTGTTTCTGTGGAGGAGTTGCGGTTTTGTTTGTTTTAATTTGGCCCACGCTGCCCCAATGGAGGAAATTTTAAGATAATCATTAATAAGGCAACAGCTTCCAGGATTAAAATACCTATACCATCTATACGGAGTTACAATGAGGACAAGACCCACATAGACCACAAAGGAAACCGGGACCAGAAGCTTCCAGTGCATTTTCACAGATCGTTGGTACGATACGCTTTGGTTAAAACGTTGGACACAGCTCATAATGTCTTCCACCGTCAGTTCATTCTGTGCTCGTTCAGGTGCGTGGAAGCTATGGTTCTGCAGACCTGAAAATGATGGGCACTCTCAAATGTTTCTGGAAATACTTAGAAAAATATCTTATAAGATTAAAAAAAAGAAGAAGAAGAAACATTTTGAGGCATCTACATGGATCACACAAAGGAAACTCAATAAACCTATAAAGTTAAAACTGAGCTGACTAGTTATTTGCAGTGTGAGTACTAAGTCTCATAAAATAATGGCTTTTTTAAAAAGGCAAAAGTATCTACACTCTAAATGATATTCTTATCAAGGCACAGAGAGTTAAATGTCTAAATCCCTGTATGTTGACACGAGAATACACTCGTAAACAACACCAGGAACTAATTCCCTATTCTTGAATTTAAAAACAATAGAAGGTAGAAATGTGCCTTTTTAACTCACAGTAAAATCAAAAACATAGACATTCCACCACCTTCCCTTGGTGACTAACATTACGACTGCTAAAAATATATTTTTAAATGTCACTGGTGGTTTAATAAACATGACCAAAGTGAAGTCTGTTGAACTTGAATTCACAGAGCAATACCGCACTAAATATTTTAGCACTTTCGGCACTACACCACTTTTATTGGAGGAAGAAAAAAAACAGTATACTGGGCACAGTTCCCTCTCATTCCCAATGCTCCTATGCTTATGAGGCAAATTACTGTACTATTTGAAAAAAATACACTAATTCTTCTCCCTTCCCAGGCCCCTCTGGTTATCTGGCAGTGGTTTTGTGCACGTACTTACACTATTAGCAGTTCACTTTAATATTGCCACAAAAAGGTGGCAAGAAGAAAGTAGAGGGCTCAACCCTTTATTATATTTATTTGACTTCCTAGAAATAATTTTAAATATAATTAGTGACAAGGAATAAAGTTCACATCTGTAACAATTGAAAATGGAATGTACAAACAAGACCGGACAGACAGACAATGCTACTGGCAGTACGATCGGCAACCAACGCACACACACTGAATGAAGCTCAGCTCCTAATGAGAGTCAGGAACTCTTCCCGAGTCTTTGGATCCTCCCGGAACACACCCAACATTGTGCTGGTCACAGTTTTGCTGTTCATTTTCTGTACACCTCGCATTACCATACACATGTGTCTACAAAATAAGGCAACACAGGTTGTTTAAAGGAGTAGACAGCTGCTGGTTTGGTTTTTAAAAGCAGGCCTAAAGATTAAATCTCAGCTCACAGTTACCAAGTATATCGAAATATCCCTTCTTACACAAATGTTATCTATTAGGTTCATGCAAAAGTAACTGCGGTTCTTGCTATTGAACATAATGGCAAAAACTGCAATTATCTTTGCAGCAACCTAAACTTTTTGTTCTTGAAGTTGTCTTGCAACTTTTATTTTTATCAGTAGTTGATCCTTAAAGCATCCAAAAAGGGGAAAAATGGAATTTTCTTCTGGGGTGAAAGTAATATAAAAGGTCTACAGAGTTACTTAACTTCTAGATCAAAAGAAAGTCAGAATTCTCACTTGCTCTGCCTTCAGGACCAAGACAGCACTATGCTAGCCTAGGTGTTCAGATAAATGCTCAAGTATACTGATGTCACCAGGCAGAATTCAGATAATGGTGACCAGAGATCCTGTCTGAGCAACCTGGTGACATTAGATACCAGACATAGAACAGAGTTCACACCACGTCACAGAACACATATGAACTTTGTCCACACAACAGCTGCAATTCTCTTAACTCATCCTAACTTAAAGAAATGTACCAATTCTTGGCTTTATTTTTTAAATGTGTGACAAAATATTAGAAAAACTCGGCTTGGAGCAACAGAGAGCTAAAGAAGAAATCAAGAGAAGACATAAAATCAAGAGAAGACATAAAAATGGCTATTGGCGTGGTGGCTCACGCCAGTAATCTCAGTATTTTGGGAGGCTGAGGTGGGCAGATCACTTGAGGTCAGGAGTTTGAGATCCCCAGCCTGGCCAACATGGTGAAATCCCATCTCTACTAAATACGAAAATTAGCTGGGTGTGGTGGCGGGCACCTGTAATCCCAGCTATTTGGGAGGCTGAGGCAGGAGAATCGCTTGAACCTGGGAGGCAGAGGTTGCAGTGAGCCAAGATCACACCATTGCACTCCAGCCTGGGTGAGAGAGCAAGACCCTGTCTTGAGCATTTTTAAAAAATGGCGATTGAGCTGGGCGCAGGGGCTCACGCCTGTAATCCTAGCACTTTGGGAGGCCGTGACGGGTGGATCATGAGGTCAGGAGTTCGAGACCAGCCTGGCCGACATGATGAAACCCCATCTCTATTAAATATACAAAAATTAGCCGGGCATGGTGACACACACCTGTGGTCCCAGCTACTCGGGAGGCTGAGGCAGGAGAATCGCTTGAACCCGGGAGGTGGAGGTTGCAGTGAGCCGAGATTGCACCACTGCACTCCAGCCTGGGCGACAGAGTGAGGCTCCATCTCAAAAAAAAAAAAGGCTATTGATTATGCAAATCTCTACACCTGTGCTTTTAACTCCCTATGCCTCCACAAGCCCCATCCTACCCTCAAAAAATACTTCTCCCATATTCTGTTCCTATATCAGTAACAGTAAATGAAAGTGGTAAAAGAGCTTTAGGCTCAGGGATGGAAATCTACAGTTATCATATCAGTTGTGTGGCATCACCTGGTGCTACAAAATATGAGAAGCACTAAATAGCAAGATCACTTCTAGTGCACCATTATGACGTTACTAAAGGCAGATGCAGACTTACGTTGCTTCAACCACTACCCCGACTCCAGCAGGCCGCAAGGCTTCCGTGATTGCTACAGCAATTTGTTTTGTAAGGCGCTCCTGAACTGTGGATGTGATAAGGAGCTCAGTTTGAGAGTCTGACACAAACAGCTGGAAGCTTTTTCTGTCTCTAGAACATTTGAAATCTTAAAAATCAGACTTCTGTGAGATTTAAGAGCCAAGACACACCAGCTTTTACCAGACTGCTTTGTCTGCTGACTGGGCCACAGAGAGGCCCGGATTCAACTCCCTCACCTGAAGTACAGGGCTAAAGAGATCTCAGAACACCCTGAAGCCCTCCAGCATCACTGCGGGAAGGAATTAGAATAGCAATTATCTCATACCTGTGCAGTTAGAACAACACAGTACTGGTTACCAAGCACCTCCATGGAGGTAAAGTAGTGCAGCAAATAAATAGCCTGCAACAGGGTTAACAAAGGGGCTGCAGTCCAATTATTGAATTGTGCTTAGAGCAATGTTGAAAACCAACAATTTAACCTAAATAATATAGTTCCTGTCCTGAATAAAATGACTTGTCTTTTAATTCATACAGGAATATTCATTGCAGCACTGCATCTATTTGAAAACTGATGAAACCCCCCAGTATCTATCAGAGCTGGTATAGGTTACGCCAAGCCATGGCATATACGGTAGGATTCTAGACAGCCACCAGAATGAATGAGATAGTTACATGGATGTGGCAAAAATGTTTAAGATTTGTTAAATGAAAAAAAGCAGGGAAAAAAGCAAGGCTGATTATGTATAAAATGAGCCCATTTTTGTTTAAACATAATCCAAATAAATTGATTTGAAAATGCAGGTATATGCATGAAAATGTGAAGGAATGTGCAAATACAACAGTGATTTCTTCTGGAAGCTTGAAACAGTAGACTTTTTATAGTCCTAAGAGGTTTTACATTTTTATAAGTCATACTTATCGCACTAGTAATAAAACAAAAAATACTTTTTGTGTAGGAAAAATGTTTTCTGTAGCCAGGCACAGTGGCTCATGCCTGTAATCCCAGCACTTTGGGAGGCCAAGGTGGGCAGATCACCTGAGGTCGGAAGTTCGAGACCAGCCTGATCAATATGGTGAAACCCCGTCTCTACTAGAAATACAAAAATTAGCCAAGGCATGGTGATGCACTCTTATAATCTCAGCTACTTGGAAGGCTGAGGCTGCAGTGAGCCGAGATTGCACCACTGCACTCCAGCCTGGGTGACAGAGCAAGACTCTGTCTCAAAAATAAAAATTTAAAAAAAGAAAAAAAAGAAAAATGTTTTCTGTTAATACAGATTTTTAAAGCTTACCTTGTAGTCTTCTACTATAGATTTCTACAATCCTAGAAAAGAAAGAATTGTTTTAGTTAATCACAAATCATTTGAAGTAAAATTGATAAGCCTTCCTCATAAAACAAAAAGGACATTGTTGAAGCAAGTGGGCTGCAAGAGGAAATAAAGCTTATGGCAAGATGACAGAAAGATACAAGTACCACAGGGAGATGTAGTCTAAAGTCAACTTGATTGGATTGAAGGATGCAAAGTATTGTTCCTGGGTATGCCTGTGAGGGTGTTGCCAAAGGAGATTAACATTTGAGTCAGTGGGCTGGGAAAGGCAGACCCACACTTAATCTGGGTGGGCACAATCTCATCAGCTGCCAGCGAATACAAAGCAGGCAGAAATATATGAAAAGGCAAGAGTGGCCTTGACTCCCAGCCTACATCTTTCTCCAATGCTGGCTGCTTCCTGCCCTCAAACATCGAACTCCAAGTTCTTCAGTTTTGAGACTCAGACTGGCTCTCCTTGCTCCTCAAGCTTGCAGACAGCCTATTGTGGGACCCTGCGATCATGTAAGTCAATACTTAATAAACTCCCCTTTATATATATATATATATCTCCTATTAGTTCTGTCCCTCTAGGGAACCCTTACTAATACAGAAGACCACCAACCACTGCAGAGTGGTGCTTCCTGATGTCCCCAGAAAGAGAATTAATGAGTCTCCAACTGTGACGTTCACTTAGGAAAAACAGAGATGAGTAACAAAATTTTAAAGTTCCAAATCATCAATTTTAGATCATGTCTCAAGTGCTCTGATTAATCATATTGTTTTATCAGAGCTTAAAATTCAAGTTAAAAATAAAAAGACTTTGTTAATTAATAGCACACCACGGTCAACTACTATACCAACTAAACCTATTAGGAGAATCAGATTGGAACTGATTAGACTTCTTCAGACACCTCTTCATAAGATAGGTTTATGTAAGCACTTAGTAAGATTAACCCCCAAGAAATAAAAGCCTCCTGATCTTAACTTATAGCACAATCTGTCAAGTGATAAATTTTCCTCTTTTTTTTTTTTTTTTTGAGATGGAGTCTTGTTCTTGCCATCCAGGCTGGAGTGCAATGGCATGATCTCAGCTCACTGCAACCTCTGCCTCCTGGGTTCAAGCGATTCTCCTGCCTCAGCTTCCTGAGTAGCTGGGACTATAGGCACCCGTCACCATGCTCGGCTAATTTTTGTATTTTTAGTAGAGACAGGGTTTCACCATGTTGGCCAGGCTGGTCTCGAACTTCTGACCTCGTGATCTGCCCACCACAGTCTCCCAAAATGCTAGGATTACAGGCGTGAGCCCCTGTGCCCAGCCAGAATTTTCCCCTTTCAACATCTTTCATTCTATTTATGAAATATAAAGATGACCACGTGACTTATCCATTTGAAGATGACTATTCACACTGAGGACCTTTTCTTTAAATTCATGGCCTTTTGATCATGAATTCAGATTCAATTTATGGTTCACCTCCCTATGAGGCATTTCCTGGCTCTTCCCCCAACTACACGTCTCAGAACCAACAACTTGCTCCTTTATACCCATTACAGCCAACAAAGTCAGTAACAGGTCCGCCACCCCGTTTACCACTCAGCCCAGAGCTCCCTGAGGGCAGAAGCCATCCTAGCTCTCCTTTATCCCAGCAGTAGTTACTAGGATATTGAAGAAATATATTAATAGCTATATTCTATTGGTATTTTGAACAAAACCTTAGAAAGGAATGGTTTTTAAGCTCCTAGATAGGAGGTATGTCATATTTCTTACTAGGTCAAATTTCTGTATATATTACTTCTGATAGTTTTTCAGGTGATTAGTTTGTTATATATGTAGGAGATGCCATTGATTTTAAAGTTAGTAATGTTTTCCTTCTCGTATTCACCATTCTTTTTCTGGAGTAGAACTTCAGGTGCCACATTGGACAATAGTGGTAACACTGGGCAACCATGTTTTGCTCCACACTTCAATAGGAATGCCTCTAGGATTTCACTACCACCCACAGTGCCTGCCTGCTTCTGGCAGACAGCTGCTCTCATGGCAGGAGGAACATTCCCATAGATTTTTACTGAGTGCCTGCTATGTATGTGATTATATGGTGAACATGCTCTCTGTGCTCTGAGAGCTTATTATTTCTAAACCCTAGTTTATTAGTTTTCTTTTACAAGTGAGGAGTAAATATGAAACCTAACACATCTTTTCAGCATGTCATGTAGCTTCCCTAGATTAAAAAAAAAAATCTTTATTTTGCTGTCATTCTGGAAAGATAATTTGTTGAGAGGTATTTGCTGGGAACCGAATTCTAGTTTGACACTGATATCTATCTTGCCCTTCAGTATTGCTGTTGGCAAACCAATTCAGTGTAACTGCTGTTGCCTTTTAGATAATCGATATTTCTTTCTTTGGCTGCTTTTATATTAACTATATTTTATAAGTATATACTGCAATTTACTATGTTTTAATCCAAGTAGGGATTTAATTTGACTTATTTGGAATTTATTAGGCTTTCTGAAGACCGATATTTTGCATGTGTTCTAGAAACTTTTTTAGCCATTATCTTCTCTAACGTTGCATCTAGCACATTGCCTCTGTTATCTCCAGGAATTTCAATTAAGGGCATATTATACCCTCCCAGTCTTCCATGTTTCTTAAATTCTCATTCATATTTTCTACCTGTCTTTGCGCTGCATTCAGCACAATTTCTTTAGACCTTTCTTCCCAATCACCGTATTTAATCTATGTCTAATCTATTTAATGAGTATACTGGACTTCAGTTTCATTTTTTTAATTTCTAAAAGTTATATTTCCTCCTCTTCCCAATCTGCCTGGCTAATTCTGCAAGTTTCTTATCCCTTTGTCAATTTTTTTTTGTTTGTTTTTTGGCACGGAGTCTTGCTCTGTTGCCCAGGCTGGAGTGCAGCAGCACAATCTTAGCTCATTGGAACCTCCACCTCCCGCATTCAAGCAATTCTCTACCTCAGGTTCCCAAGTAGCTGCGATTACAGGTGCCTGCCACCACACCCAGCTAATTTTTGTATTTTTAGTAGAGACAGGGTTTCACCATGTTGGCCAGGCCGGTCTTGAACTCCTGACCTCATGATCCGCCTGCCTTGGCCTCCCAAAGTGCTGGGATTAAAGGTGTGAGCCACCACGCCCGATCTCCTTTGTCAATTTTTTTATATATAAGTAGGTTCTTTTTTTTTTTTTTTTTTTCCCCCGAGACAGAGTCTCCCTCTTGTCACCCAGGCTGGAGTGCAATGGCACAATCTCAGCTCACTGCAACCTCTGCCTCCCAGGTTCAAGCATTTCTCCTGCCTCAGCCTCCCAAGTAGCTGGGATTAGCGGCACCCGCCACCACATCCAGCTAATTTGTTTTTTTTTTTAATTATTATTATACTTTAAGTTCTAGGGTACATGTGCACAACGTGCAGGTTTGTTACATATGTATGTAAGTGCCACGTTGGTGTGCTGCACTCGTTAACTCATCATTTACATTAGGTATATCTCCTAATGCTATCCCTCCCTGCTCCCCACGACAGGCCCCGGTGTGTGTTTCCTACCCTGTGTCCAAGTGTTCTCATTGTTCAATTGTCACCTATGAGTGAGAACATGCAGGGTTTGGTTTTCTGTCCTTGCGATAGTTTGCTCAGAATGATGGTTTCCAGCTTCATCCATGTCCCTACAAAGGACATGAACTCATCTTTTGTTATGGCTGCATAGTATTCCATGGTGTATAAGTGCCACATTTTCTTAATCCAGTCTATCACTGATGGACATTTGGGTTGGTTCCAAGTCTTTGCTATTGTGAATAGTGCCACAATAAACATACGTGTGCATGTGCTGGAGGCATCACGCTACCTGACTTCAAACTATACTACAAGGCTACAGTAACCAAAACAGCATGGTGCTGGTACCAAAACAGAGATATAGACCAATGGAACAGAACAGAGCCCTCAGAAATAATACCACACATCTACAGCCATCTGATCTTTGACAAACATGACAAAAACAAGAAATGGGGAAAACATAAATGGTGCTGGGAAAACTGCCTAGCCATATGTAGAAAGCTGAAACTGGATCCCTTCCTTACACCTTATACAAAAATTAATTCCAGATGGATTAAACACTTAAATGTTAGACCTAAAACCATAAAAACCCTAGAAGAAAACCTAGACAATACCATTCAGGACATAGGCATGGGCAAGGACTTCATGACTAAAACACCAAAAGCAATGGCAACAAAAGCCAAAATTGACAAATGGGATCTAATTAAACTAAAGAGCTTCTGCACAGCAAAAGAAACTACCATCACAGTGAACAGGCAACCTACAGAATGGGAGAAAATTTTTATGATCTACCCATCTGACAAAGGGCTAATATCCAGAATCTACAAAGAACTTTAACAAATTTACAAGAAAATATCAAACAACCCCATCAAAAAGTGGGTGAAGGATATGAACAGACACTTCTCAAAAGAAGACATTTATGCAGCCAACAGACACACGAAAAAATGCTCCTCATCACTGGCCATCAGAGAAATGCAAATCAAAACCACAATGAGATACCATCTCACACCAGTTAGAATGGCAATCATTAAAAAGTCAGGAAACAACAGGTGCTGGAGAGGATGTGGAGAAATAGGAACACTTTTACACTGTTGGTGGGACTGTAAACTAGTTCAACCATTGTGGAAGACGGTGTGGCGATTCCTCAGGGATCTAGAACTAGAAATACCATTTGACCCAGCCATCCCATTACTGGGTATATAACCAAAGGATTATAAATCATGCTGCTATAAAGACACATGCACACATATGTTTATTGCAGCACTACTCACAATAGTAATTTTTGTATTTTTAGTAGAGATGGTGTTTCACCATGTTGGCCAGGCTGGTCTCGAACTACTGACCTCAGGTGATCTGCCCGCCTTGGCCTCCCAAAGTGCTGAGATTACAGGCGTGAGCCACTGCACCCAGCCTATTTTTTAATATATAGTAAGTCCTTGCTCAAGGTCGACAGGTTCTCGGAATCTATGACTTTACTAAAACACTGAGAACAAAACAAATTTTACCCTAGGCTAATTGATATAATAAGAATTAAGCTCCCATAGCATATTTCTGGTCACAAAAACGTCAACAAACTTCCAAATAAACACAAAAACACTTCTAATATTAAACACTAAAATAAATGTGAGTGATACATACATTTAAGAAAGATTAATGGAAAGATATTGATTTCCCCAATTATTCCAGTTCAAGGTCTCAAGTGGCTGGAGCTTTTCCCAGCAGTTCAGGGTACAAGGCAGGAACTGACCCTGGACAGGACACTATCCCATCACAGGGCACACACATCCACCTACTCTCACTCAGACTGGGACCACTCAGATCAGATACGCCAAATCACCTAACGTGTGCATCTTTGGGATGTGGGAGGAAACAGAAGCACCTGGAGGAAACTCACAGATGTGGGAGAAAACATGCAAACTCCACACAGACAGTGGGTCCCAGCAAGGAATTTTTTTTTCTCAATCATACTGAAATGACATTGAATGAAACAACATTATTCCAGGACTGTTATATGCCACTTTGCCTGAAGTCATTTCGCTTCAAGTTGCAGTCTCCAAGAACCCATCGACAACGTAAAGTGAGGACTTACTGTACTTGTTTTATATCCTATCTCTGATAGTTCTACTATCTGCCCTCTTCCATCGTGTTTGTCTGACTCGACTCATGGTACTCCTTGGAACTTCATCTTTGGGTATCCTTCCAAGCCTGGATAAAAGTGCATCAGAGAACATGCACTAGTTTCTGCTAGCTGCCTGCAAGGATACCTCTATGGGGATGTTTTATTTATTTTTATTTATTTATTTTTGAGACAGAGTTTTTGCTCTTGCCCAGGCTGGAGTGCAATGGTGCGATCTCAGCTCACTGCAACCTCTACCTCCCGGGTTCAAGCAATTCTCCTGCCTCAGCCTCCTGAGTAGCTGGGACTACAGGCGTGTGCCACCATGCCCAGCTAATTTTTGTATTTTTAGTAGAGATGGGGTTTCACCATGCTGGTCAGGCTGGTCTCAAACTGCTGACCTCAGGTGACCCACCTGCCTTGGCCTCCCAAAGTGCTGAGATTATAGGCATGATCCACCATGCCTGGCCTTATGGGGTCGTTTGAAACTAAATTATTCCATTTGATTTTTTGAAGGCCACACAGGTAGTACTAATTCTGATCCCAAACTTTATGAATGTGTCTATGAGTTCCTTTTTCTTTTTCCTGCTCTTCCTAGAATAATGCTAATAGGTAAGTATCGTCCTTGATTTGGGATGGGAAAAGGGAGGACAGAATCCAGACTGTGGCTTTAGTGCTAATTCCAGTGGATTCTCACTAGAATTGCCTCATGCTTTCCCGAAAGTGTAAAATGTACATATGCATTATATCTTGATACGCTGTGCCAAGAGGGGCATTATTAATCTAGTTCACCACACCCAGCATCAGTAGTTGTCAGTTTTAATCTAAACCATTCTTACATTCTTGGACTAAACATCCCTGGGTCATGTTGAAAACAGTACTTCTATACTAGCCTGACATTTTAAGATTCTTACAACTACATTAATCAGTGAGATTTGCCTATCATTTTTTTTTTTTAATGCTAGGCTTATCAGGCTTTGTTATCAAGAATAGGCAGCTTCATCAAATTAATTGACACTTCACAGGTTTCTCTACGCTCTTGAATTATTTATACACATGCAAAATTTGTGGTTACTTGAAAGCTTGAAAGAACACTTATAAAACTGACTGGGTCCAGGCACTTTCCCCCAAATCATTAATTTGACCTTTTCTAATGGTTATTAATGTATGCAGGCTTTCAAACTCTTGGTCCATTCCTTTCTCTCCCCATCTTTTTAAAAAACGTATTCATCAAGATGTAAAGATTTATAAAGCATATTTTTAGTTACATATCGTCTCATTCCTAGATATCAGACTCCCCAGCAACCTATGATACAAGATTTTCAACTTGTAGATTTGTGATTTCTGTTCTTTGGCTTTTTCTAAATTATTCTAAATAAGGAGTTTGGACTTTAACTGAAAAGCTGTGGTGAGCCACCAAAGGAGCAGCATGATCCAATCCACACTTTAGAAAGAACATCCCAGCAGCTCATGAGGGCAAACTGAAGGATCCTCAGAGATGAGAGGCAGGGAGGAGGCAGGAGCTTAACATTCCCTCCAGGAGGAAGATAAGAAAGGCCCAGCAAAGACCTGCAGCAGGGAGGGCAGGAAGGCAGGAAGTGGGGGTGCTGCACCTGCCGGGCAGTGAGCACACGCAGCAGTGGATGGGTTCTGCCTCACTCCTCACCCCAAAATACACTCCAGATGGAGCAAAGATTTAAATATAATAATGTGGCCATACAAGTACCAAAAAAAAAAGAAGTTTGTGAACTACAGAAAAGTTTTAAACTTCTTTATGGAAATATAATACTATAAAGCAAAATCAAAAGACAAATGACGAGCTGGGAAGCATTGTCTGTAGCACCTGACCTGACTGCTTTAACATTCAGAGCTTGTGCAAACCAAGAATAAAAAGACAAATAACTCAGTGGAAAAATTAATACTGGAGCTAAGAACAGGAAGTGTCTGAATAGATTCAACCTCGCTCTATTAAGGAAATGCAAATTAAAATAGATACTATTTTTTACTTATCAGTTTGGCAAAGATTTAAAAGTGTGATGAAAAGTGTGTTGGCCGAAGTGTGGAGAAACATACACCACCCCTTACCTATGTATCTATTTATTAGAGTATAAACTGGCATGGTCTCTTTGGAGAGCAATTTCATAATATCAAAAATTCGGCTACCCTTTACCCATCAAGTTCCATACTAGTAATTTAAACTTCAGATAGATTCAAAGCACACAAAGATAATAAAATTTGTTCACCAGGGTACTTTTTTACTTTTTGGCAAGTCTCAAACTGCAAACTGTACTTATCTATAGCAAATACTGGTTAAATGAATTGTATTAATCAAAGAAATATTAGGTAGCTATGAAAAGAAACTTGGACTTTTTGGACTAAAAGATGTCCAAAGAACTTCAAGGTATTTTAAATTTTTAAAAAGCTGGCCAGGGCCAGGCGCGGTGGCTCACTCCCGTAATCCCAGCACTTTGGGAGGCTGGGGTGAGCAGATCACCTGAGGTTAGGAGTTCAAGACCAGTCTTGCCAACATGTTGAAACCCCATCTCTACTAAAAATACAAAAATTAGCTATGCGTGGTGGTACACGCCTGTAATCCCAGCTACTCAGGAGGCTGAGGCAGGAGAATCGCTTGAACCCAGGAGGTGGAGGCTGCAGTGAGCCCAGATAGTGCCACTGCACTCCAGCCTGGGCGACAGAGAAAGACCCTGTCTCAAAAAAAAAAAAAAAAAAAAAAAAGCTGGCCGGGTGCAGTGACTCATGCCTGTAATCCCAGCATTTGGGAGGCCAAGGCAGGCTGATCACTTGAGGCCAGGAGTTCGAGGCCAGCTTGGCCAACATGGAGAAACCCTGTCTTTACTGAAAATACAAAAATTAGCCAGGCATGGTGGTGCACATCAGTAATCCCAGCTACTGGGGAGGCTGAGGCAGGAGAATCACTTGAACCCAGGAGGCAGAGGTTGCAGTGAGCCAAAATCGCACCACTGCACTCCAGCCTGGCCGACAAAGCAAGACTCCATCTCAAAAAAACACCAAATAAAATAAAATTTTAAAAAGCAAGTTGTAGTACAGAATATAAGATATGATCTTATGTTTGTGCTTGCATAAATATTTTCCAGAAGGATAGTGAAAGAAATCTCTAGTTCTAACTCTGGGGAATGAAAATAGGTAAGAAAAGTTTTCACTTTATTCACTCATTTGTATTTAAATGGTATGTTGCTTTTATAGTCAAAAAAGAAAAAAAAATACTGCTCCCTCTGTAATCTAATACTCACCTCACTTACTCTTACTTCCATCAGTCAATCTGGTTCCCATCCACTGGAATAGGCCTTGCTCCTACCCTCTGACTGGTCTTTGCTCATGCATTAACTATACCTAGAGAAACTTCTCCCCCATTTAGAATTCTGCTCATCCCTCCACCTCCAGGTCTATTCACCTGCCAGGCCACAGCCATCATGGCTCCTCTGAACTTGGAGCTACAGCAGGCATTTCCATGGCACTTGCAGTCTTGCCCTGTGCACTCTCCTTGAGGGTGGCTGCCATGTCCTGCTTCTTTAGCCTCCACAGTAGCTGGCACAGTGCCCACCCAACAGGTCAGCCATGGCTACCTGAGATACTACAACTCTAAATTCAAGATTTCGTACATTCACTCAATTATTTATTTATTTATTTATTTTTAGTGACACAGAGTCTTGCTCTGTCACGAGACTGGAGTGCAGTGGTGAAATCTCGGCTCACTGCAACCTCCGCCTCCCAGGTTCAAGCGATTCTTCCATCTCAGCCTCCGAAGTAGCTGGGATTACAGGCGCATGCTACCATGCCCTGCTAATTTTGGTATTTTTAGTAGAGATGGGGTTTCACCATGTTGGCCAGGCTGGTCTGGAACTCCTGACCTCAAGTGATCTGCCCACCTCGGCCTCCCAAAGTGCTGAGATTACAGGCATGAGCCACCTCACCCAGCCGAGGCTCAGTTATTTCTAAGGGAAGAAAATGAATACATGTTCAATGGCTTTTCAGCAACAAAAGAAAGTTCTATTCAAACTAAGTTTATTCTAGAATTCTACTAGAGTTGAGCCAGATCAACTCACTTCTGGCATTTTCTTGTTACTTAAGGCTTTACTGCTTGATATTTGACTTCACTGGCACTGAAAGGTCATTCATTTAAAGGCAAGCATATAACAAACTTCATATATAAGATTAAAATGAGCAGTGAAGTTTTGCTAAGACATTCAGCTTTTATTCCTCTTCATTCTCTAAATATTCTTACTTCTTATAAGGAATAAGTAGTTGGATAAAATCTTAGTCTTCTTTTCTATTTAATAGACTCTTTATTCAAATTTTTTGCAAAATATTTGAAAGCAACATACACTTGGTTCTTTGGCTTCATGTTCCATTTTATTCTTAAATTTTAATCCTATTAGTCTAAGGACAAATCCCCATGCTAATAATCAACTCCTTTGTATTGTTTCATAAAAGCTTAATTATTTGAGATCTTTTCCTTTCACTTGGAAAGGAAATAACTAAGATTATTTCCTTCTACCACCAGGTTGCCATTTATTGTATGATCTCACTGAATCACTCAAGAGTCCATTTCCCATAAAGTGTTAATCATGATCAACAGTTGGTTTTTCAGAGAAGGCTGTTACATTAAGACCAAGGCCTAATGTGATCTGCCAAGCTTTTTTACACTATGAAACTATCCATTACACCTTTCACATATGGACAGTCTGTTATAGGCATCAGCAGTGCTGGAATTTCTATATGGGCAAGGTATAGGGTTAGCAATCTTGCTGACAGGGAGGCCCAGGGGACTGGGCCTACAGCTATGTTTGCACAGTAAGCATGCTGATTTTACTTAGACTGTATATTATAAAACCATAAGAATAACCAATTTTAGTAAAGATACTTTTACTCACAGTTGACATGAAATTGGTTTAATACATCATTAGTTGAGGGTAAGTTACTGGGAAGGGAGTCGTTAATAAAAATTATAGTAAGATTAATTACTCCCAATCACTACCAACACACTTTTTCTCAGCAACTTTTCAGCACTGCCACCAGGGATGGATCACACGCAAGCAGCCAGAATGTTTCTGGATTTGTGCTAAGAGCCTTATTCCAGTGAAGCAATTACAGCTATGATATAATATTCTTTCATGGTGCCAAGCAGCCCTATCTAATAGCAAAATAGCTGAGCAGGAATGAGGTCAGAAACTGGGGAAGTTAAATTTGTCTCTTCTACCCACTTTCTTATTGATCCCCAGAGGAAATGAATGAGAAAGTGGAAGTGAAAACAAAGTAACAGGAACAACTTTAGAGGGCAGTTGTCAGATTGCTGGAGTAGTTTTTTTTTTACAGATTCCAACACAGAATTGAGAAATATCAGGACCACCATTTCACAACTGTGTTAAATCCCAGGGCCTGCATAAAGAAACAGGAACACATCAGAGCCACAGCACAGTCAACTGGTCACAGAGACTCATTTATTCCTCTTCTTTTATTTTTATTTTTTTGAGATAGGGTCTTACTCCATCGCCCAGGCTGGAGTGCAATGGCACAATCTCGGCTCACTGCAAGCTCTGCCTCCCGGGTTCAAGTAATTCTCCTGCCTCAGCCTCCTGATTAGCTGGGATTACAGGTGTGCGCCACCACGCCCAGCTAATCTTTGTATTTTTAGTAGAGATGGGGTTTCACCATGTTGGTGAGGCTGGTCTCAAACTCCTGACCTCAAGTGATCCGCCCGCCTCAGCCTCCCAAAGTGCTGGGATTACAAGTGTGAAAGACGGCACCCGGCCGAGACTCATTTATTTCAATTATGATATGGTCACTATAACCTCAAGTTATTCAAACTTAGCTTGATTATTTTTGAAAAAAAAAAAGAGTAGGAACACTTTACCCGACCCCTTCATCTTGTTCTTAACTTTCTCTCTCTCTCCACACACACACACACCTCCCAGTATTTCCTCCATCACTCAAAATTCACTAACTTTATACGAAGAAACAACAAGGATATTTAAGGGCAATAAAATATTGGTGGCTGGGGCCTACCAGAGATATCTGAACACAAACCCCCATGTTGACTTCCAGTTAAACACAGATGAACGTGTATGTACATCACCTCTCCTAAAACCCAAATAAAAAAGGCAGTAAGGGAATTTTTTAAGGCATGAACCCACAGGATAAACAACAGAAAAGAAGATTGTAGCAGGAAAGAGAAATGAGAGCGAGGAGCGTGAACACTGTATCAGAATAAAGCTGTGCAAAGCCAAGGCAGGCAGTCTTGTGTTTGCAGAAACAAAGAACCTAGACATGAACGGACTGGCCTGCAGGACCCCTGAGATATGCCTGGAGGCATCCAGTGCAGAGCAAGGCAGGGTTGAGGCTGGGGATCCCACAGGGAAGTTTCATTACAAGTCTGAAAGCAGTGTTGTATGAAAGCAAAGAAGGTGAGCACTCCCCTTGACAAGGATAGAAGAGTCCTCAGGCCTGACAACAAGTTCGACAGCAGAGCACTGCAGCTAGACCCCTGCCCAGCTTCTTCCCCAACCCCTCACTGTTAGCTAAACCCCCCTTAAAGGATGGGGCTGGACTGAAGGTAAGCTCAGGACCTCTCCAGTCAGAGAAGGCTCTGCAGAGAAAGAGGTGGGCTGAGACTTCCAGGATGTATGTATCTATGGAAGAAAGGGTGGGAAGTGGAAGAGGAAGCAGGCAGTAGGGGACGAGAAGGAAGGGGCATCTGTGTTTCAGACCCTCCAAGTCTTTAAGTTGCAATATGACTTCCAAGTTAGATCCATACAGGTAAAGAGAGAAAGCCTGATGAGATAGATTCTCAGCAGATGAGGGCAGGTCCTATAAACCTGTATTCTTGTTCACTGCACAGTCACACTTACCTCGCAAGTTTGCTGAGGCCAAGGACTTGCTTGTTAGGAAGATAACCAATATGGACCTTCAGAGAAGAGACGGAAATCATTAGCTGAGTGAAAATACAGTGCCTTCTTTGTGACAAAATAAGGAAATATAGAAAGAATATAGTACACTTTTATGTAATTTATCACGACAATGTATTACCTTGAAAACATCTGGAACTGTTAAGACTTAGAAAATGAAACATTTATATATGTATTTTTAAAATTACATAAATGCAGTAAAAGCAAAATATATAAGTATGAGTCTATTAATCAAATAACAAACTTGTACAGTTGTCCGTTGGTAAATGCGGGAGATTGCTTCCAGGACCCCTGTGTATACCCAAATCCTGCATACTCAAGTCCCGCAGTCGGCCCTGCAGAACCTGCATATATGAAAAGTTGCCCCTCCATCTATACAGGTTTTGTATCCTGCAAATACTGTAGAATTTTTGATCAGTGTTTGCTTGAAAAAGAGCCATGTCTAAGTGGACCCATGCAGTTCAAATTCATGTTGTTCAAGAGTCAATTGCATGGCCCTGACACTTACCTGTGAAGTTGAACTCTTGACACAAATCTGAAAGTTTCTTCTTTATGGAGGAGAAACATTCTCAAGGAAAGGCAAATGATCTCATAGCAACACTAAAATGTATACAGGAAAGCCTCCTTTAAATGGCAAAAACTGTAAGCATAAGTATTGCCATTCCACACATCACAGCAGCCTTAAGATCCCACCTCACAGCCTTAAGATCCCACCGCAAAGCCCTGCAGCACAGAAGGTCTCCACACCCTTTTGTGCTTGGCTTCCTGGTTTCTAAGCTGCTAGAGAGTGCACCATCTTCCTTTTTTTTTTTTTTTTTTTTGAGATGGAGTCTCACTCTGTCGCCCAGGCTGGAGTACAGTGGCCCAGTCTTGGCTCACTGCAAGCTCCGCCTCCAAGGTTCAAGCAATTCCCCTGCCTTAGCCTCCTGAGTAGCCGGGACTACAGGCGCCTGCCACCACACCCAGCTAATTTTTGTATTTTTAGTAGAGATGGTGTTTCACCGTGTTAGCCAGGATGGTTTCGATCTCCTGACCTTGTGATCTGCCCGCCTCGGCCTCCCAAAGAGTTGGGATTACAGGCGTGAGCCACCACGCCCGGCCCCATCTTCCTAACTGGAGAAAAAGGGCACTGCTACCACCATGGCTTGGCAAGAACCTGCACCCTAAGAACTAAGTTTTAAAGGACCCAATATACAGCCAGGCCATTTCTGTTATCTTAAATGGCACCAATTAATATCAAATATAAAAGTTACTCTTTTGGGGCCAAATACTACATACGAAAAACATTAGTTCTCTGAAAAGATTAATAGAGTAAATGGTCACTTGTAGGCAATTAATTAACCGAATATAAAATTAGAGACTCAACGGCATCATGGTTTGCTAACACTGTTTTCATTGTTCACTTACTATTTACATAATTGATCTAGTAGTACTTAGTGATTTTTTCCCCCATCCATTGGCACTATGCTTTAGGAATTTGAGAAGTCCACCTCATTGCCTTCCTGGTTGGCAGGAGGAAAAAGTAAAATAGCACCTGAACATTGAGGATTTCAAAGAAAAATTAGAGAGTTAAAACTTTCCCATGAACCAAGGTCTTCTATGCTGTCTGAAATTTTTACATTTCCATGCAGACACGGAATTTGTTCATTGTTTATACTATTTTTGGTCTTAAGATCCTAGGTAATTTAAATGTCCATTTCACAAAATCACTAGATAGGCCAGGAGTGGTGGCTCACACCTGTAATTCCAACATTTTGGGTGGATTGCCTGAGGTCAGGAGTTCAAGACCAGCCTGGCCAACATGGTGAGACCCCATCTCTACTAAAAATACAAAAATTAGCCAGGCGTGGTGGCGGGTGCCTGTAATCCCAGCTATTCGAGAGGCTGAAGCAGAAGAATTGCTTGAACCTGGGAGGCGGAGGTTGCAGTGAGCCGAGATCGCACCACTGCACTCCAGCCTAGGCAACAAGAGCGAAACTGTCTCAAAAAAAAAAAAAAAATCACTAAATAATATATTTTTAAAACAAAGGTAGCAAAAACACAAACACTGAGGAAGTAATAGCAGAAAGTAACAGGATAAAATGGTGACAGGCTGAGTACAGAATCAGTGCCTTGGATCTGGCTGCAGCCAAGCCACTAACTCTCTCTATCCTCTTGAACAAGTCACAGGCTTTCTGTGCCTAATTTGCTCACCAATAGATTCCCTTTCAAAGATTCCTTCATTATCAATTGCAGGATTTCCAGATACGATATGGCTTCTGATGTGATGTATCTGGGTTTTCTGATTGCTTTCTCTTCTTTTCTTTTTAGAGACAAGGTCTTGTTCTGTCACCCAGGTTGGGGTACAGTGGCATGATCATAGTTCACTGTAACCTGAAACTCCTGAGCTCAAGCAATCTTCCTGCCTCAGACTCCCAAAAAGTAGCTAGGACTACAGGTATGCACCCACCATGCCCAATTAATTTTAAAAAAAAATTTATTTTGTGGTAGAGACAGTCTCACTTGCTGGTCTTGAACTATTGACCTGAAGCTATCCTCCCACCTTGACTTCCCAAGTCGCTGGGATTACAGGCATGAGCCACCTCACTCGGCCCTGATGTGATATAATATGAAGTCTTCAGCACCCTTATGAAGCACTACTCTTTTTTTTTTTTTTTTTTTTTTTGGACACGGATTCACTCTCTTGCCAGGCTGGAGTGCAGTGGTGTGATCTCGGCTCACTGCAGCCTCGACCTCCTGGGTTCAAGCGATTCTCCAACCTCACCCTCCCGAGTAGCTGAGACCACAGGTGCATGCCACCATGCTAGCTAATTTTTGCCTGTTTTTTTGTTTGTCTGTTTGGTTGATTGGTTTTCGTTTTTTTTTTTTTTGGTTGGTTTTTTTTTTTTTGGTAGAGACAGGGTTTTACCATGTTGCCTAGGTTGGTCTCAAACTCCTGAGCTCAAAGCGATACATCCACCACCTGCCTTGGCCTCCCAAAGTGTTGAGATTACTGACGTAAGCCACCGTGCCCAGCCCTTACGAACTACTTTTATCAGAAATGTTTAGCCCTAGTCTTATGAAACTTTAGATCTAATCTAGTTTATAGGAAATCCAGAGGCTGAAGGAAACAAATCTGGAAGGTGGGGCACTCTGCTGAACAGCTGGCCTATTTTCTTTTCAGTAGAGAATGTTATGGGTGGGAGCACTATTTTAGAACAAAAGGGACTTAACAGGTATAACCAAATGCAATGTAAATACAAATGTGTGACTCTCCCTTGGATTCCTGTTTAAACAAACCAAGAGTAAACATTTGAGACAATTGGAGAAATTTAAATATGAATTCGTTATTAGACACTATTTAAGAATTATTGTTAATTTTGTGATAGTGCTGCTGTGGATAAGTAAGAAAATATTTTAGGGCCAGGTGCGGTGGCTCACGCCTGTAATCCCAGCACTTTGGGAGGCCAAGGCGGGCGGATCACGAGGTCAGGAGATCAAGACCATCCTGGCTAACACCGTGAAACCCCTTCTCTACTAAAAATACAACAACAAAATTAGCCAGCATGGTGGCAGGCGCCTGTAGTCCCAGCTACTCAGGAGGCTGAGGTGAGAGAATGGCGTGAACCCGGGAGGTGGAGCTTGCAGTGAGCCGAGATCACACCACTGCAATCTAGCCTGGGCGACAGAGCGAGACTCCGTCTCAAAAAAAAAAAAAAAAAAAAAAAAAAGCATGCACATGTACTCCAAAAAAGTATTGACAGCAGTATTGTTTGTAATAGCAAAAAAAAAAAAAAAAAAAAAAGAGGCAACAATACAAAGGTCCACCAAGAGCAGAATAGATAAATTGTGGTATATTTGTACAATGGAATAAGATATAACAATGAAAATAAACTACAATGACAGGCAATGACATCAATGAATCCGACTATGTAGAACAAGAGAGGCCAGACACAAAGAGTACATATCGTAGAATCTTTCCACTTACATATAGTTGAAAAACAAGAAAACGAATCCATAGGGTTATAAGTTGATAAACTGATACAAAGGATGGATTAGGGATTAAGAAGAGAAAAGAAATGAGGTGAGCTTCCAGGATGCTACACATATTGTAGTTGTGGGGGTTTCGTTGTTGTTTGTTTGTTTGTTTGTTTGACAGGGTCTGGCAGTCTGGCTCTGTTGCCCAGGCTAGGATATAGTGGCGCAATCTCGGCTCACTGCAACCCCTGCCTCTTGGACTCAAGCCATCCTCCCATCTCAGCCTCCCGAGTAGCTGGCAGTACAGGCATGCACCACCATGCCCAGGTAATTTTTATTTTTATCTTGGTAGAGATGGGGTCTCACCATGTTGCCCAGGCTGGTCTTGAACTCCTGGGTTCAAGCAATCCACCTACCTCAGCCTTCCAAAGTGCTGGGATTACAGGCATGAACCACCGTGCCAGCCTATTCTAGTTCTTGATCTCTGAAGTGGTAAGGAACACCCTTAAGTTTTATGCATTTTCTATCTATATATTATTTCCATAAAAAAGTGAAAAGATACAATACTTTAACAAAGACAAAAATGAAGCAAATGTTAACACTTTAACTTTAGTTGATGGGTATATAAGTATTCATAACACTGCTTCTTGTAAGTCTTCTGTTTAAAGATTATTAATAAAGAGTCAAAATTAAATAAAATTATGATGGGGGTAGGGAAATGGGACAACTCTTTGTTCTATACCACATGTTCTCAAAGGTATGTTAAGTAGTCATTCCTAGACAACATCTAATAACTAACTCAGATTTAAATTCCTCCAATTGTCTCAAATGTTTTACTTTTGGTTTGTTTAAACAGGAATCCAATGGAGAGTCACACATTTGTATTTACACTGCATTTGGTTATACCTCTTAAGTCCCTTTTGTCCTAAAATAGTGCTCCCACCCATAATATTCTCTATTGAAAAGAGAATAGGCCAGCTGTTCAGCAGAGTGCCCCACCTTCTGGATTTGTTCCATTCAGCCTCTGGATTTCCTGTAAACTAGATTAGATCTAAAGTTTCATAAGACTAGGACTAAACATTTCTGACAAAAGAAATTCACAGAGGTGCTGAGGAATCTAATGCATTAGATTCACTTTTCCTAATATAGAAAGGAATGGAAACAAATCCACAAATACCATAACCTCTGTCACAAGAAATTCTGCAATTATTGTTGCTCATGACATGCCATACATACATATCTATCTTGGATCAAACATTATTCAAGTTAAAATAAAGGGCATCTCTAGATTGGGATGCTAATAATAAATAAATAAAGGTTAAAGGTTTTCAGAGCCTGTAGTAGCTACAAAAAAAAAAAAAGAGAGAGAGAGATGCTACTTAAACCTCATTATTTTAACCTATGAACCTGGTATTTAACATGAAAGGCTTATCCTGAGAGCCTTCTGCTACTTTGGTTTTGTTTTTTAAGTTTCAAGTTATTAGTCAGGTTAATAAAGAATAACCATATATGTATAATTGTAAATACCTGAGATATCAGCAATTGGCAGCTAAAAATTTTAAATATAATTATTCTAATTGAAAAACTTTCACTATGTTTTAAATTGCTGGGAAACAACAAAGAGAACCTTACCTTTCCAACAAATGGAACCAAGTGATGCTCACACATGGAAAACATGTCTATGTCCTTCACAATCACCATCTCATCATGATCTTCATCAAATATAGCATCGTTTAGGACATCTGAAATCAGAGGCTTGCTTTAGTAACATGTCCAATTTTATAGAAAGGTAGAATTATGGATAAACATGAATAGACAGTCAACATAAACGAACGTTAATCCTCCCTAAAATATTAAGGGAATACAAATTAAAACTAGATATTTTTCCTTATCAAAGTAGCAAAGTCCTTTTCTGTAAGTAACATTTAAAAATCCTTGATACAGTGTTACATGAAAAATGCAGGATTATGAACATATTTGCAGTATGGAAGAGGAAGGAGAACGGAGGGAGGAAAGGAAAAATTATACCAAAATAAAACAGTGGCTATTTCTGGCAGTAGAAATGGGCCACTTTCACTTTCTTCCTTACATTTTCTTCTACTTTATATTTTGTCTATAATCAATATGTAGAAAACCATATCTGAGAAAAAGACTAATCCTTAGCCCTCTGACTTCTGAGGCCAGATCCAGACACCTGTAAACCTGACCTCTATTATCAATTCCCCAAGTAATTTTCTACATTTGTAAAGTGTTCTATATATTGTAGGCTAGCATCAGACTTATTCTAAACAGTTGCCTTCCTAAGGAAATAAATCCTACAGTTTGTGTGTATATGCCTCTCTGGGAAGGCTTTGGAAGATAAGCAGTGTCTTGTTTAAGCTGTGGACCCTGGCACTTCCAGCCAGACATACAATAGACATTAAAAAAAAAAAAAGCTTTATTTTTAAAAATTGCACTGACTTATCCTCAACTATGCTATGTGCAAAAGAAAAGATTAATCAGATGATGCCTGAGAGCACTCTGAGCTTCCTAACATTCGGTGACTGCAAGAACATCCTGTCCTGGATGCTGAAGAGGGATAGAGGGAAACAAGCCACATTCCCCACCAATCATAATATAGCCAAGCTATTGATAATAGGCAGGTACCCAAACAACATTGTAGATAAATGCCATATGACATGGAAACTTCTTCAGCTATATTGTCAAATGAGAAAAGAAGCTACAAAGAAATACAGTAGGATTTCATTTTCGGAAAATAAATATAGACATAGAAAAAAACTGTACTGATACCTAGACAGCTTGGCAGACTAGATATAATAAGACACGTAGCTGAGTAATTTCAAGGATTTGGGGGATATGCAATATACATAATAGAATTAGACAGAGAAGGGAAGGGATGTATTAGAGCTTTGCACCTGCAGCTCTTTCCCCTCAGAAAGGCAGGCGGCTGAGTGAGTCACAGGAAGATGGACAAATGTCCACCCACACTGCCTGACCTTCAGTGGCTCCACTGCTACTAGAATAGGGGGCTCACAGAGACCAAGTCATCACGTAAACCACAGTTATTACCCCAAGTCAGGCTATTCAGAGATACATTTGACTGTGTCATAGAAAAGTCATTAGTGTGGTCAAGAAAGGCGAACATGGCAGGGTTAGACACATACAGACAAACAGAGACACCCCTGGTAGAAGTGGCTGATAACATCCCAGGAGAAAAAGGCGCAGTGTCACTCACTGAGTATTTCTTCTACCACAGCACTTTTCTATGCTGAATATTCTGCCCTACCTTCAGTCTTATTTCTGAAAAGAAGACCAAAAATAGATCCTTAATGTTTCCAAAAGTTTCTTGGATTTCTCCCCAAGATTTTAATATGGTATGATTGCCACATATAGCTTACTAAAATCTTTAGTCACACAAGATATATTCCTGGAAGGAAAAACAAACCAAAAAAATGTCTTAAAGAAAAAACAAGAGAGAAGCATTAAATATAGGAAGCATTTGTTTTCTCTGGCAAAGAATGAGAGCGTCCCCATCCTAAGCTCTGACGACAACCATATGGCCCATGTTAAAGTCAGCCCTTCAACTCAGGCGAAGTGAAGAGCTGGCTCCAGGCTGGGTGCAGTGGCTCATGCCTGTAATCCCAGCACTCTGGGAGGCAGAGGTAGGTGGATCACCTGAGGTCAGGTGTTTGAGACCAGCCTGGCCAACATGGTCAAACCCTGTCTCTACTGAAAATACAAAAATAAGCCAGGCGTGGTGGTGCATGCCTGTAGTCCCAGCTACTCGGGGGGCTGAGACAGGAGAATTGCTTGAACCCGGGATGTGGAGGCTGCAGTGAGCCGAGATCATGTCACTGTACTCTAGCCTGGGCAAGAGAGAACAAGACTCCGTCTCAAAAAAAAAAAAAAAAAAAAAAAAAGATCTGGCTCCATCACTTACTAGTTATTAGGCCTTGGGCAAGGTACTCTGTACCTCAGTCTTCTCGGCTATAAAATGAGCATAAAGTGCCTGCTTCACAGGGTGTCATGAGGATTAAATGGGCACATGTGTTTAGAACTATGCAGGCGGAGCAAGTGCTAGTTATTGTTATTACTATTATTATTACAATTAAGATTGAGGGAGCTGCAAAGCTATGTATCTCCCATGCATATTGAGGTACATCAAAATTTAAAAAGCAATAATTTGCCTTAACAGAGTACAGAAAAGGAAAAATAGTAACTTGGTGGAGAAACCTGGCAGAGGCTACCTTAACCAAATGATTAAGGTTAACTTTGCCAGTAACAGGACATACTGACATCAGGTAGCTCCTGATAGGACACCATGAGAAGGGCACATCACCTCTGCGGTATTCTTCCCAAAAATCCATAACTGCAGCCTAATCATCAGACAAATCTAGGGACACAAAATATCTAAACAAGTACTCTTAGAAAGCATCAGGCCAGGCACAGTGGCTCACACCTGTAATCCCAGCACTTTGGTAGGGCAAGGTGGGAGGATCACTTGAGCCCAGCATTCTGAGACCAGCCTAGGTAACACTGCAATATCCCATCTCCACAAAAAATAAGAAAAAAATTAGCCAGGCACGGCAGCACACTCCTATAGTCATAGCTATTCAGGAGGCTAAGGCAGGAGGATCACTTAAGCCCAGCAGTTCAATGCTACAATGAGCTATGATTGCACCACTCCACTCCAAATAGAGTGACAGGGCAAGATCCTGTCTCTATTTTTTAAGTGTTTAAAAATTAAAAAAAAAAATTAAGGCATCAAAGTCATGAAAGACACAGAAAGACTAAGGAATTGTCAGATTGTAGGAGACTAGAGAAATGACAATGAAAATCTGAATAAAGTCTGTAGTTTAAATAATAGTATTGTACCAATATTACTTTTTAAAATAAAGTATATTTTTATTATTTTTTCTTTTTTTGAGACAGAGTCTTGCTCTGTCGCCCAGGCTGGAGTGCAGTGGCATGATCTCGGCTCACTGCAAGCTCTGCCTCCCAGGTTCACACCATTCTCCTGCCTCAGCCTCCTAAGTAGCTGGGACTACAGGCGTCTGCCACCACCCCAGCTAATTTTTTGTATTTTTAGTAGAGATGGGGTTTCACCATGCCAGCCAGGATGGTCTCGATCTCCTGACCTCGTGATCCACCCGCCTCAGCCTCCCAAAGTGCTGGGATTATGGGCGTGAGCCACCGTACCTGGCCTTATTATTATTATTATTATTTTAGAGATGGGATCTTGATATATTGCTCAAGCTAGTCTTAAACTCCACGGCTCAAGCCATCCTCCCACCTTGGTCTCCCAAGTAGCTGGGACTACAGGCATGCACCACCACCTGGCTCCAATATTAATTTCTTTTTTGAGATGAAGTCTCACTCTGTCACCCAGGCTGGAGTGCAATGGCGTGGTCTCGGCTCACTGCAACCTTCGCCTCCCGGGTTCAAGCGATTCTCCTGCCTCAGCCTCCCGAGTAGCTGGGACTACAGGCACGTGCCACCAAACTCAGCTAATTTTTTTGTATTTTTAGTAGAGACGGGGTTTCACTATGTTGGCCAGGCTGGTCTCGAACTCCTGACCTCGTGATCTGCCAGCCTTGGCCCCCCAAAGTGCTGAGATTACAGGCGTGAGCCACCATGCCCAGCCAGTATTAATTTCTTAAATGTTGATAATTGTACCATGGCCATGTGAGATGTTAAACATCAGGAGAAACTGGGGAAAGGGTATATGAAAACTCTCTCTACTATCTTTATAATTATTCTGTAAGTCAGTCTAAAATTGTTTCAAAATAAAAACTTTCTTTTTGAAACGAAGTTTTGCCCTTGTTGCCCAGGCTGGAGTGCAATGGCACAATCTCAGCTCACTGCAACCTCTGCCTCCCAGGTTCAAGTAATTCTCCTGCCTCAGCCTCCTGAGTAGCTGGGATTATAGACACATACCACCACGCCCAGCTAATTTTGTATTTTTAGTAGGGATCGGGTTTCTCCATGTTGGTCAGACTGGTCTGGAACTCCCGACCTCAGGTGACCCACCTGCCTCAGCCTCCCAAAGTGCTGGGATTACAGGCGTGAGCCACCGTGCCTGGCCCAATAAAAAGTTTTCTAAAAAGCAAAAGGACAATGTCCCTCAACTGGAACATATAAACAATGGAGTACACTCAGCAAGAAGATGGAATGAATTACTGATACATGTAATAACATGGTTTGAGTCTCCAAAGTACACTACAATGTGAAAGAAGACATCCATACACAGAAGAGACTACCTATGTTCTAGAAAAGGCAAAACTATAGTGATAGAAGGCAGACAGGTGGTTTACCAGGGCCAGAGAGGTAGGAGAGAGAACTTCACTGCAAAAGGAAAGAAAGAAACTTTTTTGGGTGATGGAAATAGTTCCTATCTTCACTGTATGGGTGGCTATATAACTGCATACGTTTGTTAAAATTCACATTGTACATGTAAAGTAGGTAAATTTTACATAAGATAAGTGACACCTTAATAAAGCTAACTTCAAACATAATTTTTAGGCTGGGTGCGGTGGCTCACATCTGTAATTCTAGCACTTTGGGAGGCGAAGGTGAGAACATTGCTAGAGGCCAAGAGTTCAAGACCAGACTGCCCAACCTAGCCAGACTCTGTTTTTACCAAAAAAAAAAAAAAAAAAAAAAAAAGGGTGGGGGTGGAGCCAAGATGGCCGAATAGGGACAGCTCCAGTCTACAGCTCCCAGTGTGAGCAACGCATAAGACGGGTGATTTCTGCATTTCTAACTGAGGTATCGGGTTCATCTCACTGGGGAGTGTCGGACAGTGGGTGCAGGACAGGGGGTGCAGCGCACCCAGTGAGCCAAAGCAGGGCGAGGCGTCACCTCACCCGGGAAGCACAAGGGGTCAGGGAATTCCCTTTCCTAGTCAAAGAAAGCGGTGACAGATGGCACCTGGAAAATCAGGTCACTCCCACCCTAATACTGCACTTTTCCAACGATCTTAGCAAACGGCACACCAGGAGATAATATCCTGCGCTTGGCTCGGAGGGTCCTACTCCCACAGATCCTCGCTCATTGCTAGCACAGCAGTCTGAGATCAAACTGCAAGGCGGCAGCGAGGCTGGGGGAGGGGCACCCGCCATTGCCGAGGCTTGAGTAGGTAAACAAAGCGGCTGGGAAGCTTGAACTGGGTGGAGCCCACCGCAGCTCAAGGAGCCCTGCCTGCCTCCGTAGACTCCACCTCTGGGGGCACGGCATAGCCGAACAAAAGGCAGCAGAAACTTCTGCAGACTTAAAAGTCCCTGTCTGACAGCTTGGAAGACAGCAGTGGTTCTCCCAGCATGCAGCCTGAGATCTGAGAATGGACAGACTGCCTCCTAAAGTGGGTCCCTGACCCCCGAGTAGCCTAACTGGGAGGCACCCCCAAGGAGGGGCAGACTGACACCTCACACAGCCGGGTACTCCTCTGAGACAAAACTTCCAGAGGAACGATCAGGCAGCAACATTTGCTGTTCACCAATATCCACTGTTCTGCAGCCTCCGCTGCTAATACCCAGGCAAACAGGGTCTGGAGTGGACCTCCAGCAAACTCCAACAGACCGGCAGCTGAGGGTCCTGACTGTTAGAAGGAAAACTAACAAACAAAAAAGACATCCACACCAAAATCCCATCTGTACATCACCATCATCAAAGACCAAAGGTAGATAAAACCACAAAGACAGGGAAAAAACAGAGCAGAAAAACTGGAAACTCTAAACATCAGAGTGCATCTCCTCCTCCAAAGGAACGCAGCTCCTCACCAGCAACGGAACAAAGCCAGACGGAGAATGACTTTGACGAATTGAGAGAAAAAGGCTTCAGACGAACAAACTACTCCAAGCTAAAGGAGGAATTTCGAACCCATGGCAAAGAAGTTAAAAACCTTTAAAAAAATTAGACGAATGGCTAACTAGAATAACCAATGCAGAGAAGTCCTTAAAGGACCTGATGGAGCTGAAAACCATGGCACGAGAACTACGTGATGAATGCACAAGCCTCAGTAGCTGATTCGATCAACTGGAAGAAAGGGTATCAGTGATGGAAGATCAAATGAATGAAATGAAGCAAGAAGAGAAGTTTAGAGAAAAAAGAATAAAAAGAAATGAACAAAGCCTCCAAGAAATATGGGACTATGTGAAAGGACCAAATCTATATCTGATTGGTGTACCTGAAAGTGACAGGGAGAATGGAACCAAGTTGGAAAACACTCTGCAGGATATCATCCAGGAGAACTTCCCCAATCTAGCAAGGCAGGCCAACATTCAGATTCAGGAAATACAGAGAATGCCACAAAGATACTCCTCGAGAAGAGCAACTCCAAGACACATAATTGTCAGATTCACCAAAGTTGAAATGAAGGAAAAAATGTTAAGGGCAGCCAGAGAGAAAGGTCAGGTTACCCACAAAGGGAAGCCCATCGGACTAACAGCTGATCTCTCGGCAGAAACTCTACAAGCCAGAAGAGAGTGGGGGCCAATATTCAACATTCTTAAAGAAAAGAATTTTCAACCCAGAATTTCATATCCAGCCAAACTAAGCTTCATAAGTGAAGGAGAAATAAAATCCTTTACAGACAAGCAAATGCTGAGAGATTTTGTCACCACCACGCCTGCCCTACAAGAGCTCCTGAAAGAAGCACTAAACATGGAAAGGAACAACCGGTACCAGCCACTGAAAAAACATGCCAAATTGTAAAGACCATTGAGGCTAGGAAAAAACTGCATCAACTAACGAGCAAAATAACCAGCTAACATCATAATGACAGGATCAAATTCACACATAACAATATTAACCTTAAATGTAAATGGGCTAAATGCTCCAATTAAAAGACACAGAATGGCAAATTGGATAAAAAGTCAAGACCCATCAGTGTGCTGTATTCAGGAAACCCATCTCACGTGCAGAGACACACATAGGCTCAAAATAAAGGGATGGAGGAAGATCTACCAAGCAAATGGAAAACAACAAAAGGCAGGGGTTGCAATCCTAGTCTCTGATAAAACAGACTTTAAACCAACAAAGATCAAAAGAGACAAAGAAGGCCATTACATAATGGTAAAGGGATCAATTCAATTCAACAAGAAGAGCTAACTATCCTAAATATATATGCACCCAATACAGGAGCACCCAGATTCATAAAGCAAGTCCTTAGAGACCTACAAAGAGACTTAGACTCCCACACAATAATAATGGGAGACTTTAACACCCCACTGTCAACATTAGACAGATCAAAGAGACAGAAAGTTAACAAGGATATCCAGGAATTGAACTTAGCTCTGCACCAAGCAGACCTAACAGACATCTACAGAACTCTCCACCCCAAATCAACAGAATATACATTCTTCTCAGCACCACATCACACTTATTCCAAAATTGACGGAAGTAAAACACTCCTCAGCAAATGTAAAAGAACAGAAATTATAACAAACTGTCTCTCAGACCACAGTGCAATCAAACTAGAACTCAGGATTAATAAATTCACTCAAAACTGCTCAACTACATGAAAACTGAGCAACCTGCTCCTGAATGACTACTGGGTACATAACGAAATGAAGGTAGACATAAAGATGTTCTTTGAAACTAATGAGAACAAAGACACAACATACCAGACTCTCTGGGACACATTTAAAGCAGTGTGTAGAGGGAAATTTATAGCACTAAATGCCCACAAGAGAAAGCAGGAAAGATCTAAAATTGACACCCTAACATCACAATTAAAAGAACTAGAGAAGCAAGAGCAAACATATTCAAAAGCTAGCAGAAGGCAAGAAATAACTAAGATCAGAGCAGAACTGAAGGAGATAGAGACACAAAAAAGCCTTCAAAAAATCAATGAATCCAGGAGCTGGTTTTTTGAAAAGATCAATAAAATTGATAGACCGCTAGCAAGACTAATAAAGAAGAAAAGAGAGAAGAATCAAATAGATGCAATAAAAAATGATAAAGGGGATATCACCACTGATCCCACAGAAATACAAACTACCATCAGAGAATACTATAAACACCTCTATGCAAATAAACTAGAAAATCTAGAAGACATGGATAAATTCCTGGACACACACACCCTCCCAAGACTAAACGAGGAAGAAGTTCAATCTCTGAATAGACCAATAACAGGCTCTGAAATTGAGGCAATAATTAATAGCCTACCAACCAAAAAAATCCAGGACCAGATGGATTCACAGCCGAATTCTACCAGACATATAAGGAGGAGCTGGTACCATTCCTTCTGAAACTATTCCAATCAATAGAAAAAGAGGGAATCCTCCCTAACTCATTTTATGAGGCCAGCATCATCCTGATACCAAAGTCTGGCAGAGACACAACAAAAAAAGAGAATTTTAGACCAATATCCCTGATGAACATCCATGCAAAACCCTCAAAAAAATGCTGGCTAACCGAATCCAGCAGCACATCAAAAAGCTTGTCCACCAGATCAAGTGGGCTTCATCCCTGGGATGCAAGGCTGGTTCAACATATGCAAATCAATAAATGTAATCCAGCATATAAACAGAATCAATGACAAAAACCACATGATTATCTCAATAGTTACAGAAAAGTCCTGTGACAAAATTCAACAACGCTTCATGCTAAAAACTCTCAATAAATTAGGTATTGATGGGACATATCTCAAAATAATAAGAGCTATCTATGACAAACCCACAGCCAATGTCATACTGAATGGGCAAAAACTGGAAGCATTCCCTTTGAAAACTGGCACAAGACAGGGATGTGCTCTCTCACCACTCCTATTCAACATAGTGCTGGAAGTTCTGGCCAGGGCAATCAGGCAGGAGAAAGAAATAAAGGGTATTCAATTAGGAAAAGAGGAAGTCAAATGGTCCCTGTTTGCAGATGACATGATTGTATATCTAGAAAACCCCATTGTCTCAGCTCAAAATCTCCTTAAGCTGATAAGCAACTTCAGCAAAGTCTCAGGATACAAAATCAATGTGCAAAAATCACGAGCATTTCTATACACCAATAACAGACAAACAGAGCCAAATCATGAGTGAACTCCCATTCACAATTGCTTCAAAGAGAATAAAATACCTAGGAATCCAACTTACAAGGGACATAAAGGACCTCTTCAAGGAGAACTACAAACCACTGCTCCATAAAATAAAAGAGGATACAAACAAATGGAAGAACATTCCATGCTCATGGGTGGGAAGAATCAATATCGCGAAAATGGCCATAGATTCAATGCCATCCCCATCAAGCTACCAATGACTTTCTTCACAGAATTGGAAAAAACTGCTTTAAAGTTCATATGGAACCAAAAAAGAGACCGCATTGCCAAGTCAATCCTAAGCCAAAAGAACAAAGCTGGAGGCATCACGCTACCTGACTTCAAACTATACTACAAGGCTACAGTAACCAAAACAGCATGGTACTGGTACCAAAACAGAGATATAGACCAATGGAACAGAACACAGCCCTCAGAAGTAATGCCGCATATCTACAACCATCCGATCTTTGACAAACCTGACAAAAACAAGAAATGGGGAAAGGAATCCCTGTTTAATAAATGGTGCTGGAAAAGCTGGCCAGCCATATGTAGAAAGCTGAAACTGGATCCCTTCCTTACACCTTATACAAAAATTAATTCAAGATGGATTAAACACTTAAACGTTAGACCTAAAACCATAAAAACCCTAGAAGAAAACCTAGGCAATACCATTCAGGACATAGGCATGGGCAAGGACTTCATGTCTAAAACACCAAAAGTGATGGCAACAAAAGCCAAAATTGACAAAAGGGATCTAATTAAACTAAAGAGCTTCTGCACAGCAAAGGAAACTACCATCAGGGTGAACAGGCAACCTACAGAATGGGAGAAAATTTTTGCAATCTACTCATCTGACAAAGGGCTAATATCCAGAATCTACAATGAACTCAAACAAATTTACAAGAAAAAAACAAACAACCCCATCAAAAAGTGGGTGAAGGATATGAACAGACACTTCTCAAGGATATGAACAGACACTTCTCAAAAGAAGACCTTTATGCAGCCAAAAGACACATGAAAAAATGCTCATCATCACTGGCCATCAGAGAAATGCAAATCAAAACCACAATGAGATACCATCTTACACCAGTTAGAATGGCGATCATTAAAAAGTCAAGAAACAACAGGTGCTGGAGAGAATGTGGAGAAACAGGAACACTTTTACACTGTTAGTGGGACTGTAAACTAGTTCAACCATTGTGGAAGTCAGTGTGGCGATTCCTCAGGGATCTAGAACTAGAAATACCATTTGACCCAGCCATCCCATTATTGGGTATATACCCAAAGGATTATAAAACATGCTACTATAAAGACACATGCACACGTATGTTTACCGTGGCACTATTCACAATAGCAAAGACTTGGAAGCAACCCAAATGTCCAACAATGATAGATTGGATTAAGAAAATGTGGCACATATACACCACAGAATACTATGCAGCCATAAAAAATGATGAGTTCATGTCCTTTGTAGAGACATGGATGAAGCTGGAAGCCATCATTCTCAGCAAACTATTGCAAGGACAAAAAGCACCGCATGTTCTCACTCATAGGTGGGAATTGAACAATGAGAACACTTGGACACAGGAAGGGGAACATCACACACCGGGGCCTGTTGTGGGGTGCGGGGAGAGGGGAGGGATAGCATTAGGAGATATACCTAATGTTAAATGACGAGTTAATGGGTGCAGCACACCAACATGGCACATGTATACATATGTAACAAACCTGCACATTGTGCACATGTACCCTAAAACTTAAAGTATAATAATAAAAAAAAAATTATAAAGTACTGCATGGTGATATGTGCCTATAGTCCTAGCTATTCAGGCGGCTGAAGCAGGAGGATCCCTTGAACCCAGGATAGGAGTTTGAGGCTGCAGTGAGCTATGATTACACCACTGCATTCCAGCCTGGGTGACAGAACAAGTCCCTGTCTCTAAAAATCATAATAATAATAATAATTTTTAAAATTGTAGTATAGTATGTAGCCTTTTGTGTAATGAAAGTGGAAGGAGGAGCTATGAACATATGACATATACATATGAATGTATATGCTTATCTGCAAAAAGAAACACTGGAAGGATAAATTCAGAAGCTAGTAAAAATGATTACCTGCAAAGCAGTAAGAGAAGAGACAGAAGGGATATGGATGAAAGGGAAGCATCTTTGAATATAATTTGTTACACAGTTTTGACCTTGGAATCATGTAAATGTTTTACATACTCAAAATTAAATCAAAGAGAAAAAAAATCTAGTGATCCTCATACAGCTAAATGCTTCATGTGATAATGGAACACTGATATGTTGCCTATGCCCCATTTTATTAAAATGAACCAGACTATAACCTTGACCTAGCCAAATCATTTTTCTTCAGTAATAAAGTTTCCCTGCTATATTTACTTATGTTTTGCTCCAACATATCTAAAAGCTACCATCTGTAGGTAATAAGAACAGAACACTATCACATATTGTTTTAATTTCCTGCCTGTTATCAGCAGCAAGAAGGTAACCCTGGAAACAGGGATTTATGGCATTCTGTTTCCTACGGTTGGTCACAACCACAAACAAAATGAAAGCAGCCTCCACAAGTTAAAGGTTTGTCTACAACAACACCACACAATGTCAGTTTTCAGGTATACCTTTCTCATGTCATTCATAATTAAGCAATGTCAACAAATAACACTGCTGGGTAACATCCCTCAAGTATTTAGTCTGCCAGACCCTTTTCTGAAAGTATAGTAAGACAGGCCCACAATACAAGCCCAAGTGCTTTTTTTTTTCTCTCGAGACAGGGTCTCCCTCTGTTGCCCAGGCTGGAATGCAGCGGCACAATCTCAGCTCACTGCAACCTCCACCTCCTAGGCTCAGGTGATCCTCCCACCTCAGCCTCCTGAGTAGCTGGGATTACAGGCGCAAGCCACCATGCCTGGCTAATTTTTGTATTTTTTTGTAGAGATGGGGTTTCGTCATGTTGCCCAGGCTGGTCTCAAATTCCTGAGCTCAAGGGATCTGCCTGTCTTGGCCTCCCAAAGTGCTGTGATTACAGGCATGAGCCACCATGCCTGGCCCCCAAGTGCTTATTTAAGCATACTTCGAAACAGGGGTTCCCAGACTCCCGCTGTGGGCCTGTTAAGACACAAATCTCTAGGCCCCACCCCTAGGGCTTCTGTTTCAGGTGATCTGAGCAGACCTGAGAATTTGCATTTCTAACAAGTTCCCAGAAGATCCTGAAGCTCCCGGTCTGAGAACCAGAGTGCCCCTGGTTTGAACTATTTCATGTTTTGTGCTGCTACACAGAAACTTCATCTCTTCAAAATGCTCCTACTCAAATATATAGGTAAATATTTAAGGACAAACAGACCTGTTTCTGCTGTGGAGAAAGTGAGGGAAAAAGGTAAGAAGAAACTCCAGGGAAAGATTTCCTCAAAAGGAAATTTCTGTCCAATGGAGTTCCCTCTGAACCCATAGTATAGGAATTAGTGCCGTCTGGAGTATCTGGTGATCAGCACCAACAACTCCAGCTCTCTGAGGAAGCCGGACACCTGACGCATCTCCCTGGAAGGACAGAGTTAAAAGACAGTGGAAGATGACTTGGAACATCTGAGTGAGCATCCATCCTAAAGGATAGGAAAGAGCTAATGGAGTCTGCCTACTGGTTTTAAAATTAAGAGAAGAGACAGAGAGAAGTGCCTAGGGCATCACACCTCTGCTTTTGGCTGGAATTAAATCAACTCAAGGTGCTAACAAAGATAAGCCTATCCTGATTTGGTGGAGAATGGTCCAGACCCTCATAGTTCCATCTAATATCAGAGCTACCTCCACCAGCATACAGCGCTTATCTCATCATGCCTCGTAGTACCATGGTTATTTGTGCCCACGTCCCACAGACACACTGGGCTATAAGTTTCTGAGTTAAGCATTATATCTGAAGGCTTTGGAGCTTCTACACACTTCCCTGTAACACCATGCACAAAGCTGGAGTTAAACATAGATCTTCTGTGTTTATTCAATTAATATGTCTGTCTTTACTCTATGATTCACTTTTTTTTCTTTTTGAGACAAGGTCTCGTCCTGTCACCCAGGCTGGAGTGCAGCAGTGCAATCACCACTCATTGTAGCCTCCATCTCCCAGACTCAAGCAATCCTCCCACCTTGGCCTCCCCAGTAGCTGGGACTAGAGGTATGCCACCATATCCAGTTAATTTTTTATTTTTTTGTAGAGACAGAGTCTCATTATGTTGCCCAGGCTGATCTTGAACTCCTGGGCTCAAGCTCCTCCTACCTCAGCCTCCCAAAGTGCTCGAATTACAGGTGTGAGCCACCACGCTGGACCAATTCACTTCCTTAAAATACATTTTTAAATGAAGGGACTCCAAAGAAATTCATGCAGCCAAGGGAACATAAGAATTTTCAGCTGGGCACAGTGGTTCACGCCTGTAATCCCAGCACTTTGGGAGGCCAAGGCAGGTGGATCAATTGAGGTCAGGAGTTCAAAACCAGCCTGGCCAACATAGTGAAAACCCATCTCTTCTAAAAATACAAAAATTAGCCGGATGTGGTGCCATGCACCCGTAGTCCCAGCTACTTGGGAGGCTGAGGCACGAGAATCACTTGAACCTGGGAGGCGAAGGTTGCAGTGACTTCAGATCACACCACTGCACTCCAGCCTGGGCAACAGAGCAAGTCCCTGTCTCAAAAAAAAAAAAAAAAAAAAAAAAAAAATCACTGCCATCTTGTTGGTAATAGCAAAAATAGAGAAGAGTGAATCAGAAGAACAATTACACAGTTTGGGTAAACTCACAATAAAATATGACCCAGCAATGAAAGTCAGTAAATTTGGGCTGCATTTATAAATCCTTGAAAGGATATTCAGTGTAAAAAGCGTGTAGCAGAAGGATATGTAGAGTATGAGCCATTTAAATTAAGTAAAAACAATGTTACATGTTGTTTGTAAACATATACAGAAAATGAAAGTATAAAAATAGACATGAGGCCGGTCGCAGTGGCTCACGCCTGTAATCCCAGCACGTTCGGAGGCCGATGAGGGCAGGAGTACAAGACCAGCCTGGCTAACATGGTGAAACCCCATCTCTACTAAAAATACAAAAATTAGCTGGGTGTGGTGGCACATGCCTGTAATCCCAGGTACTCAGGAGGCTGAGGCAGGAGAATCGTTTGATTCTGGGAGGCGGAGGTTGCCGTGAGCCAACATTGCACCACAGCACTCCAGCCTGGGTGACAGAGTAAGGCTCTGTCTCAAAAAAAAAAAAAAAAAAAAAAAAAGACATGAAAGCAATCCCAGCTACTCAGGAGTCTGAGACAGAAGAACTGCTTGAACCCGGAGGCGGAGGTTGCAGTGAGCCAAGATCATGCCACTGCACTCCAGTCTGGGCAACAGAGCAAGACTCCATCTCAAAAAAAAAAAGAAAGTTAGGGACCAAATTCAGTATAGTGGTTACCTCTGTAGTGAGATGATAACTGGATCAGGAAGTGATAACTAGGAAGTTTAAACTATCTGTATTTTTTAAAAGCAATTATAGCAAAATACTAAGATTTGTCAAAACCCAATGTATTTTGATTAAACTTGTTCATACAGTCTTGTATATGTGAGAAATTTCATTAATAATATATTATAAAATATATATTTTATATATAATATAATATATATTATATAATACATAATATATAAAATATATATATACTCCATATATATATATACTCCATATAAATATATACTCCATATATATATATACACTCCATATATATATATACTCCATATATATATATACTCCATATATATATATATACTCCATATATATATATACTCCATATATATATACTCCATATATATATACTCCATATATATATACTCCATATATATATATACTCCATATATATATACTCCATATATATATACTCCATATATATATACTCCATATATATATATACTCCATATATATATACTCATATATATATACTCCATATATATATACTCATATATATATATATACTCCATATATATATACTCCATATATATATATATACTCCATATATATATATACTCCATATATATATATATACTCCATATATATATATATATACTCCATATATATATATACTCCATATATATATACTCCATAATATATGGAGTGTAATGCTGCAATCTCGGCTTACCGCAACCTCCACCTCCCAGCTTCAAGCGATTCTCCTGCCTCAGCCTCCCGAGTAGCTGGGATTACAGGTATGTGCCACCATGCCTGGCTAATTTTTGTATTTTTAGTAGAGACAGGGTTTCTCCATGTTGGTCAGGCTGGTCTTGAACTCCCAGCCTCAGGTGATCCGCCCTCCTCAGCCTCTCAAAGTGCTGGGATTACAGGTGTGAACCACCGCGCCAGGCCAATAAAAATATTTTTTTAAATTAAGGTCTTCATACACATGCTGGCATTTGTTTTTTCTATAAAAATAAAAAAATTTTAAAAAGAAACAAACATTAAAAAAACAGGTTACCTTTGCATGGAGGGGCTATAGGAGGAGGGCAAGGAGGAGTACACAGGAAGACCCAGCCAGCTTCACGCAGTGCTGCAAACTCTTTCAAAATCCTCCCTAAATCACATCCTGCAACTCAAAGTCTTCTGCCCTGAAGATGGCATTAAGATGTTTTGCTTTCTACCACCTGTTTGAAAAATTTGTCCTACAAGTAAGAGCATGTTAAAACAAATTCAAAGAGGAAAAAAAAATCGCTCTCTCTGCTTTCACTTTCATCATGAGTACACCTCTTGTTAGAGCTTCCGACACTCACAGCTTTTTGTACTTACCAAGACAGAATTTGGAAAACTTGGCCAAAATAAGCATGAACCCAAACATTCCACAGACTGACACAATGGCGGAAACTAAGACGACTACAGACAACCAGTCACACCATCTGCTGGAGTGCACAGAGCTGCCGCACAGCTTTGATATGCTCCACAAACTTATTTCATAAACTGTAGGTTTGTCAGCAGGAAAGACCTAATGTATTGCAAAAAAAGTAAAAGTTTGGTTATTTTGGAAATTTTCACTCCATCTTTGGCAGAGACAAATTCATATGTTGCTCTTAGCTATTAAAATATAGCCAAAGCTATTGAAATAGATGTTCTCAGCTGCCCTCAAAATAGTACTGACATGCATGTTTCCTTCAGCCAACCCAGTACTGATGAGCTATTCTCATCCTCTCAGCCAGCCTTGTCACAAACACTACGTTTCTTGGTAAGAGTTCAAGTTTTCACGTATAAAGTTATCTTTACTAACATTTTGCTCCTCATTACAACAGTAATATTCATGGAAGTTTATCGGTAAGATGTAGAAATAATCAAATGAGAAAGTGAAAGCACATAAAATCCCTCCACCCTGATGCAATTACTTTACTGCCTCTTAGGGGAACCGCACGCACAGTGGTTCAAGATGTAGAATGGTAAAGTAGAAGGAATGAATAAAAGAGTCCAGAGCTCAAGGGTGTTGGACATTGATGCCAAATTACAAGTTATCCTTCTGCCCCACTGCTCAGCTTCTGAGATGTGCATGGCAGTGGCCAGGGCCTCTCTGTACTGAGGTAAGGGGAAAGTACTTATTTTAAACTGTTTAGATTTATTGCTGGATAAAACTGAAGGCTGCCAATCATGTATACTATTAACTCTCAAAGTTATCCAAGCCAAAGAACTCGCCTTTCTGGTCTCAGTTTACTACTCTGAATATTTCTGGTAGACCAAAATTAGAGCCTTAGAAACTGTCTAAGGAATCAAAACAGTGTATTCAAGGAGTCATTTTTAAAAACACACACACACTTGCCAAATTTAGTTTTTTAACTGGATAATTTTGTATATCTTTCACAATCCAGCTGTTAAACCGAAAATGGAATTTACGAAACAGATGGTGATAACAAGGTCTAGTTCACAGCAGTTCTACAGAAAAAAAAAACACACCAATCTGATTAAACTATCCATTTGCTTCAAAAGCCTCTAATAGGCTCGTCCCTTATCATCCTACATTCACTTATACCACGAGATTTCATACAGATGGGTGTGATGGAACCATCTGTAATCCCATCCAAGTAAGTACCATCAGAGTGCGCAAGCCACCATCATTAGTGACAGATGAAGAGATAAGGGATCTTCCTTCGCAACAGGGGTTCCCAAATACAGCCAATCAACAGGGAGTTTTGGAAAATATAGCGTCCCAAGCTACCCAGCAAAAATCTCATTTACTATGTGTAGGGATGGACCCAGGATAAGTCGTTTTAAAATCTATGTGATTCTGGTGACTGGCTGGGGTGGGAGCACACAGGCTTGAGAGCTGAGGGTACATGAGGGTTGAAAACAGACCCACTGCTGGCCGGGCGCGGTGGTTCACGCCTGTAATCTCAGCACTTTGGGAGGATGAGGCAGGTGGATCACGAGGTCAGGAATTCGAGACCAGCCTGGCCAACATGGTGAAACCCCATCTCTACTAAAAGTCCAAAAATTAGCCGGGCACGGTGGCGCGTGCCTGTAATCCCAGCTATTCGGTAGGCTGAGGCAGATGAATTGCTTGAACCCGAGAAGCGGAGTTTGCAATGAGCAGAGATTGCGCCGCTGCGCTCTAGCCTGGGCGACAGAGTGAGACTCCGACTCAAAAAAAAAAAAAAAAAAAAAAAAAAAGCCCGGTGCGGTGGCTCACGCCTGTAATCCCAGCACTTTGGGAGGCCGAGGCAGGTGGATCACGAGGTCAGGAAATCGTGACCATCCTGGCTAAGACGGACAAAGTCCGTCTCTACTAAAAATACAAAAAATTAGCTGGGCGTGGTGGCAGGCGCCTGTAGTCCCAGCTACTCGGGAGGCTGAGGCAGGAGAATGGAGTGAACCCAGGAGGTGGAGCTTGCAGTGAGCCGAGATCACGCCACTGCACTCCAGCCTGGGAGACAGAGCAAGATTCTGTCTCAAAAAAATAAATAAATAAAAAGAAAAGAGAGAAAACAGACCCACTGCTGGCCCAAATTTGCTGTTCAGCAAGGCCAAACAGTGGGCAATTCTTCACTGTAACCCTCACTACAGTCACCACGTCATTCCTGTGGAACACTATGAGGCCTGGGGCAGGGGTGGGGTGGAGGCAGAGACAAGGAGGAAACTGGAGCCAACTCCACCTAAAGAAGGTGAGGCAGGAAGGACCCAGGTAGAGAACCTCTACGTGGTTCTTTTTGCTGGAGCAAAGTTTAAAAATTTGTGAGGACCTCACATCAGAAAGTTGTACCCACATTCTAGAAAAATATCCCCCACTTAAGAAACCAGTTGCATCCTACAACCAACTCATTAGAAATCAATGTCTAGGGTAATACAATAAAGTTTTCATAGTTCTGAGCTGAAAACAAATCTATCAAACCATGACCTCAAGCAACTTGAGATCTGCAGAAATAAGAGGCCTAGGTGTAAAAATATTTGGAGAATGACTAGAGGTTAAATTGTAAAACTGATAGTTCACATAAATGAAAACTTGTGGGCTGAGACAAAACAATATGATTGTATTGAAGATTAAAATTTTACCCAGGCCTAAAGGTCGAGTAGGAGGAAAGGTGGAGGGAGGGTTTCCTAGAAAGGGAAAGGAAGAAAAGTACCATATAAAATAAGATATGGAAGTGGGAAACAGCAAAAGGAAAAAAGCCTGTGTAGGTCTATGCATGGAACAGAAACAAAATTCCCTTCTCTTTTAGAGCATTGTTTTCTTTTTTTCTTTTTTTGTAAGATTACACAGTAGGCCGGGCGCAGTGGCTCACGCCTATAATCCCAGCACTTTGGGAGGCCAAGGCAGGCGTATCATTTGAGGTCAGGAGTTCGAGACCAGCCTGGCCAACATGGTGAAACCCCATCTCTACTAAAAATACAAAAATTAGCCGGGCGTAGTGGCGGGTGCCTGAAATCCCAGCTACTTGGGAGGCTGAGGCAGGAGAATCGCTTGAACCCAGAAGACAGAGGTTGCAGTGAGCCAAGACCACACCATTGCACTCCAGCCTGGGCAACAAGAGTGAAACTCTGTCTCAAAACAACAACAACAACAACAACAACAACAAAAAAAAAGATTACACAGTAATTTATTGAGAGCCTCCTCTCCCTGCCTTGCAGTTGCTTGGAGATTTTGTACGCTAGCCCCAGGAAGGTGGCTGGGGGCAGTGGTGCAACACACTGCTCAATGAGACCCATAAGGTGGCTGTAACCATCTTCCACATACCAAGAACATGGTCAGCAGATCCAGCTCCTCATATAGTGCCTCCTCCCTGTAATTCTTCTGCATGATCTGGTGCTGTTCCGGTGTGGCCCATTGCAGACACTGAACCACCAGTCAGCTGCATTTGTTGTCATCTGTTGTCCTGGATGTCAGTACAAACTCTGCCAGTGGTGACAGTAGGGTCCCCAAAGAGGTCAAGGTAATCATCCTGAATCTGAAAGAACTCCTAACTCCAGCAGGATCTTCCTGTCATTGGCCCATTCCTTCCCCACACTGACGCCTGCCATAGACATGGCTGCAGCTTCAGGATGGTAGAAGAAGTAGAAAGCTGTCTTATACTTGACAGTGATTTGTACCTCTTTTCAGTGAACCAGTCAAGATCCACATTGCTCTGGGGGGCTGTGATGGGGTCCAGGGTCTGCCTGATCTCTGTCTAATAGGAACTCCACAGGAAGTGCTTTTTCAGGTTCAGGTAATGGGGTTGCTCTCAGCAACAGAGCTTCAACAGGTGATAGATAGATGCTTCTAGAAGCATAGCATCATTGATGGCATCCAAACCTACACCTGGCTTCTGATACAAGCAGATCTGCCCCCAGCAAGGTGAGGGATGAATCCCTGATGTCATCTGCCACCAGGAAGAAAGCTTGCAGCACAAGGTGCAGTGGCTCACACCTGTAATCCCAGCACTTTGGGAGGCCAAGGCAGGGGGATTACCTGAGGTCAGGAGTTCGAGGCCAGCCTGGCCAACATGGCGAAACCCCGTCTCCACCAAAAATACAAAACTTAGCTGGGTGCGGTGGAATGCGCCTGTAGTCCTGGCTACTCAGGGGGCTGAGGCACAAGAATTACTTGAACCCAGGAGGTGGAAGTTGCAATGAGCTGAGATTGTGCCACTGCACTCCATCCTGGGCGGCAGAGCTAGGCTCCATCTCAAAAAACAAACAACAACAACAACAAAAAAAAACGGGCAAGCTTACAGCAGTTCACACAACAGCCCAGACAGGACCTGCTGGAGACTATCAGCATCCTGTTTCCTGGGCTCTGCCAGCTCCTGGAATGCTACCAGCATCATCAAACCCTAGTGGTACTTGTCTCCAGTGGCAGTGTACTCCAGGACCTCTTTGAGCCAGGTAATAGACTCTCCTGTCTCTGGGTGCCCCATCTCATCCTCAGTCAGCATCCTGACAACCTGGGAGAAGTCCTGGATAAAATTCTGCTTTTCTTGGGCATACATATCTGGATTTCTGGTCTCCATTCATTTTGTTCCTGGATGTGAGTTCCTGCTTGGACAGCATTTTTCAAATTAAATTTTACATTTAGTTTGTGATTTCTTTCAAGCCCTACCACAACTCGCATTAGTCAAAACCAGTTATAGGCCGGGCGCGGTGGCTCATGCCTGTAATCCCCGCACTTTGGGAGGCCGAGGCCGGTGGATCACGAGGTCAGGAGATTGAGACCATCCTGGCTAACACAGTGAAACCCCGTCTCTACTAAAAATACAAAAAATTAGCCGGGCGCGGTGGTGGGTGCCTGTAGTCCCAGCTGCTCGGGGGGCTGAGGCAGGAGAATGGCGTGAACCCGGGAAGCGGAGCTTGCAGTGAGCCGAGATCGCGCCACTGCACTCTAGCCTGGGTGACAGAGTGAAACTGTCTCAAAAAACAAAACAAAACAAAAAAAACACCAGTTATTGTCCCGACTTTACAGATGAGGACACAGATACTGTCATTTGGAAACACTAGCTGACTGCTGAAGAAGAGCCAACCAGCCGGTGGGAGAGCTAGATTTTGACCCATCTTCTGACTCCAGACCAGAGCCTTAATCTTGGGCTGAACTCAACCTACTAGAAGTGTGGACTGAAGGGGAGAGGTCCCCTTCAGGAAACACGCATCAGGGGTTATTGTAGGTTGAAGTCTGCCATGTGGTGACAAGGCCCAGAGCTGATGACAGCAAAAGACAGCAAATCTGATTTTTTAAAAGAAAAGTAAAATCCATTATAAACTGTCAGCCAGGAGAGCAGAGCAGAAAGAGTGGCCTAATGCCCAGAGACTGCCAGAACCAAAGTGGTGCGCATCAGTCACAAAATACTGTTTCACCAACTATTTATTTGGCTTATTTGAGGGAAAATTCAGAAATGTAATGCTATGTTGACCTTTTCTTTTTGAAATCAAACTGGAAGAATTTCAGGGGAAAGGAAAATCCCATTAAATCTTCAAACTAATAAAACATTTTTTAAAAAGGAACTTCTCTAGAGAAGCTTATCCTAGAAAACCAGTGAAACAGGGCTTTTAAAAACCAATTAGAAGTCTTTAAATCTTCAAGATCCAAATACTTAGTGTCTCCCAGTTGTGACAGTGCATGAAGTACAGAGCATTCCTGCTAAAAATGTTTTCCAGGAATTTAGTGAGGTCTTTAGACCTGACTTGCAGTTACCAGGAATATGAGAAATATAGAAGTTAAATGAAAACAAACAAACAAAAATCATACAAATCATAAAGGTAGAGTATCTTACAGGACAACTGACCTCTCTGATAAAGCAGTGGCAGGGGTTGGGGGCGGTAGGCGCTATTCCAGATTAAAACGTAATAATCAAATGCAAATGTATGGACCTTGAGTGGATCCTTGTTGGAAAAAATCATTAGTAAAAGACATTTGAGACACCTGAGGAAATGTGAATATATATTAGGTATTAGATGATATGAAGGAATGAATAGCTAATTTTACTAAGGGTGGTGTAAATCATTAAGAAAAACGCTTTTTAGGGTGACATTTCACCTCTAAATACATGTCTCTGATTTACTATCAGTAAACGAATAAACTACGCCAATATGGCAGAATGTTAGTTTTCAATCTAGGTGGTAAGTATATAGGTGTCTATTATATAATTTTGACTACTTTTATGTTTGAAGGTTTTACATAATAAAAAATTAAAGTTTACAAATACATGAGACTAACAGTGAATATTAGTTTTTTCGGTATTACTATTCTACCCAACCACTCCTTTTCTAGTTTATATGAAGCTTTATTAATAAACTAAAACTTCAAGCACTAGTAAAACTAACAACTGGTTATTATTTTGGTAGAAGCAACAACAACATTCTTGGGGGGAAAAGTCTTTAAATAAAGGCTCTGTCTAATCAAAGGAGCTACAGGTAGGAAGACCATAGATCCCAAGAACATTTAGATAAGAAACCTTTTCAAAAATCTGCATCATAAGAAAAAAGACAGAGACCTGTTACTATAGAAACGATTTGCAGGGCTTGAACATTTCCAGGGAAAACAGCACCTCTAGCAAGGAAAGGAGGCTGAAGAGCTTCCTAGGGCCTTGCCTGTCAGCTGCTGGAAGTCAACAGAGTGAGCGATGACAATTCTGACAGGCCCACCCATGCTCAGAGACCTCGGCATGACAATTTAACTCCTAGTCCTACTGCCTCTCCCTTCAGAACAGACCCAGAATAGTCAAGTGACTCACCTACCTAAGTTCATAAACCAGTTAGCATATTACTAGCCCAGGCTAGCTGTTCTTCCCATTACAGCAGCACAAAGCTTTGTTGACATACTAGTTTTTTTTTTTTTTGAGATGGAGTCTCACTCTGTCGCCCAGGCTGGAGTGCAGTGGCATGATCTCCGCTCACTGCAAGCTCTGCCTCCCGGGTTCACACCATTCACCTGCCTCAGCCTCCCGAGTAGCTGGGACTACAGGCGCCCACAACCACGCCCGGCTAATTTTTTTTTTTTTTTTTGTATTTTTAGTAGAGACAGGGTTTCAGCGTGTTAGCCAAGATGGTCTCGATCTCCTGACCTGGTGATCTGCCCACCTCAGCCTCCCAAAGTGCTGGGATTACAGGCATGAGCCACTGCACCCAGCCTATACAACTAGTTTAAGAAATACCAAGGAGATTTCAGAATTAGATCAGTGAACAGAATTTCCAACATGCTAAATATGAAGCTGAAAGATGTGCATCTACTTTTTATAAACTACTTCACTTATAAACAGCCCCAGCCCTCAAAAAGCTGTTTACTGTGGTGGAGGAGGGGTAGAAGGGGAGAAAGAGATGACACCAAAATGAAAGGACACGCAGCATGGGATAAGTATGGCCTCCGTGGAGGCAAAGCCTGACAGCACTAACAGCTGGAGGCTGTCAGCAAACTGTTCCTTGAAGCTGAAGGGCAGATTCTTTTTGATAGGCCATCAGAGAGGCATACCTCCAGGGCTGCCCATGTGATAAACGATAAATGGTGGGGTCAATTAGAGGGGTATGATCTACAGCAGCTATGCCTTAAAGTCAACTAGTCAGCGACCTCACTGAGTTAAGGCCTCTCATCTGATCTCCAGGCACGCATAGCCCTTCCTCACTGCTAACGAACACTGTACCACAAATGCCTAGACCACACAGGTAAAATTATATTTTAAGCTATTTTAGTGAGAGATTCCTTGTTTGGGATGTTTGCCAATGGCCTCTATTGAACTGAGTTCTGATTCCTGCTTAGGACAAATAAAAACTAATGTGTGATACATAAAACACATCACACTTCACAGGAAGAGCCATGGCCTCTTAGGACTGCACATCACAAACATTTGGACCAACTGGACCTCGAAAAATTCACCCAGAATTCAGTCACGGCCAATTTCCTCACCTAAACCTGGCTGCTTGTTCACAGAAGTCTCCATAAGCAACAGTTGTTGATAAGCAAGAGGCAGCAGCCACCTCCCCATGGTTGCCAACCAAAAACAAAAAGGACAGTAAAATAAATTACAGGAGGAGGGCAGATAATAAAGGCCAAACATTGCAAAAGAACAAACCTCAGGATCTTCACCTGGGTCTCCAGCTCCAGCAAGGAAATGAGACAGAGTGGTTTCTCAGATTAACTGTGCACTAAACTATGCACTAAACTAAAATACTAAATTGCCCTATATGAGGAAATGCGATGGAAGATAAGAAAAAAATGCCAAAAAATGTAGCAAGAGGCTACAACAGAACAAAACCTCACAGCAATGGTGAGGAAAGACAACAGAAAATCAATCAAGTGTTTTTTGCAAGGAAAAAACTTATTCAATTTTAGAAAAATCACTTTGGCATGAATGGATCAGAGCAGGACAAGCTAGGAGGCAAGAAGGCCAGTTAAGAGGTTATTGTAATTTAAGTGAAAGATGACTCAGATTCTAGAAATATTCAGGTGGTATATGTGTCAGAACTTTGTGAGCATGATTAGCCAAGGGGATTCACGAGAAAGAATAATTGCAGATAAAACAAATAACCAGGCCGGGAGCGGTGGCTTACGCCTGTAATCCCAGCACTTTGGGAGGCCGAGGTGGGCGGATCACCTGAGGTCAGGAGTTCGAGACCAGCCTGACCCACACGGAGAAACCCCATCTCTATTAAAAACACAAAATTAGCCAGGCTTGGTGGCGCATGCCTATAATCCCAGCTACTTGGGAAGGCTGAGGCAGGAGAATCGCTTGAACCTGGGAGGTGGAGGTTGCGGTGAGACGAGATCGCGCCATTGCACTCCAGCCTGGGCAACAAGAGCAAAACTCCATCTCAAAAAATAAATAAATAACCAGGTTACAAAGACTAGATGAAGTAGCAACATGTGTCAGGTTAAAATTCATTACAAGGGTTGACTATGGCCAGAATGAACTTTAAAGACATCAGATAAAGGAGCTGGCCCTAATGCCATTAATATTGATCTTTTAAAAGTTTAAAATAAATCTAATTGCCTTGAAAACTCCATTTAATTTTAACTCTGGTACAGGTAACTATGAATGTTAGTGTATGCCTTTTATTGAAAAACACTTAGACCATAATCTCTAAACCAGCATGGACACGTTCTGCAAAAAACAAACAACCCAAAAAAACTCAAAATGAATTTCCTTCTAGGTTCAACTCAAAAGCTACTTTCTCCATAACATCTGGACTTTCCTGTCTCTCCACCAGAAGCACCCAGCTTCCCTCTGACTACACAGAACCCCTTTACTCCTTGAAGGCCAAGATCAGGCCAACAATCATCTTTGTTTCCCCTTTAACAGTGACTACTCATAGAGACCATCTACAGTTCCACTTTTCACAGTTTCAGTTACCCTTGGTCAAACATGGTCTGAAAATACTAAATGAAAAACTCCAGAAATAGACAATTCATAAGGTTTTTTTGTTTGTTTTCTTTTTGAGACAGAGTCCCACTCTGTCATCCAGGTTGGAGTGTAGTGGCACAATCTCGGCTCACTGCAACCTTCGGCTCCCAAGTTCAAGCAATTCTCCTGCCTCAGCCTCCCTAGCAGCTGGGATTACAGGTGTGCACCACCATGCCCAGCAAATTTTTTTGTATTTTTAGTAGAGATGGGGGTTTCACCATGTTGGCCAGCCTGGTCTCGAACTCCTGACCTCAAATGATACGCCCTCCTTGGCCTCCCAAGGTGCTGGGATTACAGGCATGAGCCATCATGCCTGGCATTTTTTTTTTTTTTTTTTTTTTTAAACAGAGTCTCCCTCTGTCACCCAGGCTGGAATGCAGTGGTGCAATCCCAGTTCACTGCAACCTCCGCCTCCCGGGTTCAAGTGATTCTCGTGCCTCAGCCTCCCGAGTACCTGGGATTACAGGCACATGCCACTATGCCTGCTTAATTTTTGTACATTTTGTAGAAATGAGGTTTGGCCATGTTGGTCAGGCTGGTCTCTAACTCCTGAGCTCAAGTCAGTGACCTGCCTCGGCCACCCAAAGTGCTGGAACTGCAGGCATGAGCCATCGCATCCAGCCAACAATTCATAAGTTTTAAAATGCACGCTATTCTGAGTATTGCGATGAAATCTCCAGCCCTTCTGCCCAGAATATGAATCAATCCTTTGTCCAGAGCATCCACATTGTCTATGCTTCCTACCTAATAGTCACTTAGTATCCATCTCAGTGATCAAATCAACCTTCAGTTTTGCAGTGTTTGTTTTCAAGTAACCCTTATTTTACTTAACAATGGCCCTAAACCACAAGAGTAGTGACGTTGGCAATTCAGTTATGCCAAAGAGAAGCTGTGTTTCCTTCAAGTGAAAAAGATTAAAGTTCTCAGTTTATTAATGAACAAAATCATTACGCTGAGGTTGCTAAAACTATATTAAGAACAAATCTTCTATCTGTGAAACTGTGAAGGAGGAAAAAAAAATTCATGCTAGTATTGTTATTGTACTTCAGACTGCAAAAGCTATGGCCACAGCACATGGTAAGTGCTTAGTTAAGATGGAAAAGGCATGAAATTTGTGGGTAGAAGACACAAACAGAAATTTATTCTGAATGATGGCAATCCAGTTTGGTACTACCCTCAGTTTCAGGCACCCACTGGGGGTCTTGGAACAGATCCCCAAGGATAAGGGGAACTACTGTATCTTCAATTCTAAGGTTTTCTTGAAATAAGGAAATTAAAATATAATATGTGTTGAGAATATACAACATTGTACAGAATGAATTACTGATGTGGTGGCTCACGCCTGTAATCCCAACACTTTGGGAGGCAGAAACGGGCGGATCATCTGAGGTCAGGAGTTCAAGAACAGCCTGGCCAACACGGTGAAACCCAGTCTCTACTAAAAATACAAAAATTAGCCAGGCATGGTGGTGGGCACCTGTAATCCCAGCTACTCAGGAGGCTGAGGCAGGAGAATTGCTTGAACCCAGGGGACAGAGGTTGCAGTGAGCCAAGATCACACCACTTCACTCCAGCCTGGGCGGAAGAGCAAGACTCTATCTCAAAAAATAAAAATAAAAATAAAATAGATGTTTTTAATGTGGATGAACCTTGAAGACATTTTGCAAAGTAAAATAAGCCAGACATGAAGGACAAACATTGTATGTTTCCGGCCGGGTGCGGTGGCTCATGCCTGTAATCCCAGCACTCTAGGAGGTTGAGACAGGCCAATCACTTGAGGTTAGGACTTGGAGACCAACCTGGCTAACATGGTGAAACCCTGTCTCTGCTAAAAATACAAAAATTAGCCGAGCATGGTGGTGGGCACCTGTAATCCCAGCTACTCGGGAGGCCGAGGCAGGGTAATTGCTTGAACCTGGGCGGCAGAGGTTTCAGTGAGCTGAGATCATGCCACCGCACTCCAGCCTGGGTGACAGAGCAAGACTCTGCCTCCAAATAAATAAATATTTCTACTAATGGGCTCCAATAGAATAAAATTCTAGTAAATGAATGTCCTCTTGGCCTTGAGTATAACAGATTTAACTTGGTTCAGATACTCTTTGCATAACCCAACACAAATTATATCCCAATCTAATTACTATAGACTCTAGCAAATTTATAACCATGGGAAACATATTTGTTTGCATAACCTGGAACTGAGAATTGTTCACATAATCCAGGATTCATAATCTGGGATCCAATGATTAGACAGTTGCCCTCTCCTGGTGAGTTTTAACACTGCAGTCTACTCAACCAAATACTAGACTCAAATTACAGTCCTCATATAGAAATCACTGGCAAATGAGTCAGGTGGGGAATGCCCAGGCATGGAAGGGTTTCTAGAGGTGGACAAAGCAAATAGCAGAGAAAATACAAAAGCGGGGATAGGTGAGGAAGAAGGGAGAAATCATTCAAATAAATCAGTAAAATATTATTATTAAAATTAAATCACCTACCAGAGATTACAATGATTCTCTTTCTATATCATCCTCTCAGCTCCGCCACTTTCAAGATACAGTCTTGGGAAAGTTCTCTCTGTGCCCCAATTTCCTTATGTATAAAATGGGAATAATATTGCCTACCCCATCGTGCTACTGTGAGGATCAAATGAGGTAACACATGTAAAAACTCACTGTTTAGCACAAAGTAAGCCATCAGCAGTATTTGTTACTCAGAACATCAGTCGGCTTAAGCATCGCTTCACCCATTCATGCTCCCATCTCCTGGCATTGGTCAAGTTCCTATGCCAAGTGCTCTCACTGAGCTGTGTTTTTGTTTATCATCACATTTCTCAATCTCACAACACATTTCTATTTCATGTGATTCTATCTGCTAGGCTGTAAGTTCCATGAAGGCAGGAACTATACCTGGTTTTGCTCATCCTGCATTCCCAGCGTTCAGTGAAGTGCGTAGTACTTGATGATCAATGAAATTGTAGTAAAATTCCTACTAATTTTTTTAATAATAGTATTTAGTACTAATACAAGTTGAATTGTGCCATTCGCCAAAAAAGATATGTTGAAGTCCTAAACCCCAGGTATCTTTAGCATGTGACTTTATTTGGAAGTAGGGTTGTTGCAGATGTAATTAGCTAAACTAACACAGGCATACTGGAGTAAAGTGGACCCTGCCTCATATGACTGACATTCTTATAAGACAAAACAAAAACATGGACACTGACAGAGGCAGCGACTGGAGTGACGCAGCTCAAACCAAGGAACACCATCAACTGACGGCCACCACCAGAAGCTGGGAAGAGGCAAGGACAGCCTCCCCCACTACAGGTTCTGGAGTGAGTATGGTTCTGCTGACCCCTTGATTTTGGAACTTTAGTCTCTAGAACTGTGAGACTGTTTATTTCTGTCATTTAAACCACCTAGTTTGCGGTACTGTGTGATAGCAGCCCTGGGAATCTAGTACGAGTACCAACCTGAAGGCTTTGCTTGCTATAGTGAAGTTATGTATATTGATTTTTCTTCCCATGTCAGAAAAATTGTTTATAGATAATCCATTTTTAAAAGAAACTATTAGGATTGGCTTTTCTCCCCCTTTCTCAGTAACTTCTTAACTGTTTTATTCCACTTAGACATGTCCAAAATTCCAATCATATAATATGTCAAAAGTGCCTTGTTATTTTTTCTTCTTTATTCACAGTGCTCTTTCTGGCAATGAACACAACTAAGTCCTATATAAGTGTTCATTAACAAACCAAGCACAAAAATTATTAATGGATCAAAATTTGAGTGAGCTACACATCTAAAATAGTACCTTTTAATGATGAGAAGAGCATTTCTATAATATACTTTAAAACTTGGGATATAAACTCACCTTTCACCCATGATATAGGAGAGAATAGTAAATAGTTTATGTTTTTGTTCCTCTTCACATCTTAGAAGTTGTTAAAATTCTTAGTTCACCACAGCAGTCTAATTTAATAAATCCGAGAGGTTTGTGATTCAAAAAGAAAAACCTTTTGTGATTGCTACATTTCAGTATGAAGTGTCTAAGATGCATTTTTGTATAAACAAAGTATCTAATTGCCTCCCATTATCTTTAGCGAATAGACATAATCTTCCAGTGAAAATGGCTGAGGTGGGGATATGACTCACTGCCAGTGTCTGTGCTTCCTCAGCCCTCACAGGGAAGCAGTCAGCCATCTCCAATGCCATCTCCTCACGCTGGATTATATGCATGCTTCCCAAAATTTTGAACTGTTAACATGATTTATAAAAACTGTCTTGGCAGACAAGCTAAAACCTACTTTAACTGGAAATGTGACAGAGTCAAGACTCTTGCATATTCCCAAAAACTCATAAAAAACAACTGATGGAACAAGTTATACCCATTTAATCCTTGGTAGATAATGCTGTCTGAAAGGCTGTTCCCATGTATACCTGGAAGGGTCAGTTACAGGGGCATGAAGATCAAGGCCCTCAGAGAATAGCAGACTCTCCAATTTAACTAAGTGTAGGTTCTGAATAAAAGAATAGTGGAAATACAGGAAAGGTACCTTATATAGAAAGGAGAACTCACCAAGATAAAACCTTGAATATTTAAGAGAACTAGGATACAGCTAAACTGAAATGGCACAGAAATAGATCAAGACGAGCTGGTCTGAGCTGGTCCAAGGATCAGCTTGTGATGTAGATTCAAAGGACAGCCAGTTCCTGGGAGAGATGATAGCGTCTCCTCCAGCCCTCCCTCCTAGCCCATGAGCTACAGTCCAGTAGGGAATAGTACTAGGAAACCTATACAACCCTGACACCACCCTGGTCACAGATGACCACAGATGCTCCCATGGAAGGTACACACTGGAAAGTAGGGAAAAGGTGCACAAGGAGACAGTCATGGAGAGACGCTGCAACGTAGGGAAAACTGAACAAATTCCCCAGAATGCCAGGAATTTGGATCAATCCACACAAGAGGCACTGGGAGGAAAAATGGATTTTGAAGAATGTAAAATACCAACTTATTTTAAATTTTACAACACTTAAGTCAACATTACTAACCAGGAGTTAATATATAGAATACAGATATATAAAAGATATAAAGTCCTGTATCCTGTTTACAAGCACAGAAAAGTGACCTTCAGAGAAGTATGTTCTTATCCAAAAACAATATATAGTGGCCACTTGACTCATGCTCTCTAAAGAAATAAAAGGGATTGTGCAGAAGCGTTTATGGACCTAAAGATGTGGGTTCCCACTCACTCCTATCTCCCACCAGTATCCTTCCTTCTCCCTGCCATCCAGGTTGGTCCAAGACCCCACCACATTTCAGGTTCATTCCTTTAAGTTCAGCATCATCCTTGTTCTCACTACTCTGTCTTCTCTTTAATTATATATCTCTTTAAAAAAAAAAAAGAAATATTAAATCCTTAAACAGATCCCCTAGATACAGGCTTTCAAACTTTTGACTACAACCTACAGTAAGAAATGCATTTTACATCTGGAGCCAGTGCACACACACACAATTATGCCTATAAAACCTACATAGAAGTTTCTCGGCCGGGAGCGGTGGCTCACGCCTGTAATCCCAGCACTTTGGGAGGCCGAGGCGGGCGGATCACAAAGTCAGGAGATCAAGACCATCCTGGCTAACACGGTGAAACCCCATCTCTACTAAAAAAATACAAAAAAAAAAAATTAGCCGGGTGTGGTAGCGGGCGCCTGTAATCCCAGCTACTCAGGAGGCTGAGGCAGGAGAATGGTGTGAACCGGGAGACCGAGCTTGCAGTGAGCCCAGATCGCGCCACTGCACTCCAGCCTGGGCTACAGAGTGAGACTTCATCTCAAAAAAAAAAAAAACAAAAGAAGAAGTTTCTCAAAACACTTGTCCTTACTATATGTGATAGACTGATCTTATCCATTCTACTCCACTTTTTGTTTTTTTTTTTTTTTTTTGAGATGGAGTCTTGCTCTGTCGCCAGGCTGGAGTGCAGTGGCACAATCTCGGCTCACTGCAACCTCCGCCTCCCGGGTTCAAGTGATTCTCCTGCCTCAGCCTCCCAAGTAGCTGGGACTACAGGCACGCACCACCACACCCAGCTAATTTTTGTATTTTTAGTAGAGACGGGGTTCTTGATCTCTTGACCTCGTTATTTGCCCACCTCAGCCTCCCAAAGTGCTGGGATTACAGACTTGAGCCCCCGTGCCCAACCTCTACTCACTTTTTTTTTCTGAGACTGAGTTTCGCTCTTGTTGCCCAGGCTGGAGTGCAATGGTGCAATCTTGGCTCACTGCAATTTCCGCCTCCTGGGTTCAAGCAATTCTCCTGCTTCAGCCTCCCAAGTAGCTGGGATTACAGGCATGCACCACCACACCTGGCTAATTTTTGTATTTTTAGTAGAGAAGGGGTTTCTCCATGTTAGTCAGGTTGGTCTCGAACTCCCAACCTCAGGTGATCCACCCGCCTCGGCCTCCCAAAGTGCTGGGATTACAGGCGTGAGCCACCGCGCCCGGCTACTCCACTTTTTTTTTTAATGCTGTTGACCCAATTCACAGTTTGAAATATACAGATAGGGTACACTGATTCAGTTCTCTCTGTAGCAGTATAAGGAAGTGGCTAAGAATTCTGCAGTCAGACTCTCTGGATTCAAATACCAGCTCTACTACTTGTGTCAACCTCTCTGCCTCAGTTGCCTTGTCATGGGGATAAGAGAAATGTTTACTTGAAAACTGGAAGATGAACCAAGACCATCCAACGTAAAGCTTTTAACCCATTAAAAAGTACGGTCATGCATTGCTTAACAATGGGGATACATTCTGAGAAACACCTGAGAAATGCAGTTTCATATCGCAAACACTGAAGGAAGAGAGTGCTAACACAAACCTAGATGAGATAGCCTATTACACACCTAGGCTACACGGTAGAGCCTATTATTCCTAGGCTACAAACCTGTATGGCATGTTACTGTAATGAATGCTGCAGGCAACTGTAACACAATGGTATTTGTGTATTTAAAGATATGTAGGCCAGGTGGGATAGCTCATGCCTGTAATCCCAGCACTTTGGGAGACCAAGAGGAGAGGATCACTTGAGCCCAGGAGTTCGAGACCAGCCTGGGCAAAACAGTGAGACCCTGCCTCTATATTTAAAATACAAATAATAATAATTTTAGAAAGACATCTAAACATAGAAAAGGTACAGTAAAAATATAGTAGAAAAGACTTAAGATGGTATGTCTGTGTAGGGCACTTACCATGAAAGGAGCTTGCAGGATTGGAAGTTGCTCTGGGTGAGTCAGTGAATGCATGGTAAGTGAATGTGAAGGCCTAGGACATTACTGTACACTACTGTAAACTTTATAAACACTGTACACTTGGGCTACACTAAACATATTTTTTCTTCAATAATTTCAGCTTAATGTATTTAAAACTTTGACTCTTTTGTAATAACACAGCTTAAAACAAAAACACATTGTACAGCTGTGCAAAAATATTTTATATCCTTGTTCTATACCTTTTTCTATTTTTAATTTTAATTTTTATTTTTATTTATTTATTTACTGTTGAGACGGAGTCTCACTCTGTCAACCAGGCTGCAGTGCATTGGTGCAATCTCGGCTCACTGCAACCTCCACCTTCTGGGTTCAAGTGATTCTCCTGCCTCAGCCTTCCAAGTAGCTGTGACTACAGGTATGCGCCACCACATCTGGCTAATTTTTACATGTTTAGTAGAGATGGGGTTTCAACATGTTGGCCAGGCTGGTCTCTTTCTAACTCCTAACCTCAAGTAATCCGCCCACCTTGGCCTCCCAAAGTGCTGGGATTACAGGTGTGAGCCACCATGCCTGGCCCAATTTTCTTAATTTTTAAATTTTGTTAAAAACTAAGACATGGGGGAGACGAGAGGAAAAAACTAAGACACAAACAAACACATTACTCTAGGCCTACACAGGTCAGGATCACCAAGACATCACCAGACAATGTGAATTTTTCAGCTCCATTGTAATCTTATAAACCACCTTCATACATGTGGTCCATCATTGAAGGAAACATCATAATGTAATGCATGATTATATTCAATTAATGGCTTATAATAATCTTAAATGGGCTGGGTATGGTGGCTCACACCTGTAATCCTAGCACTCTGGGAAGCCAAGGCAGGCAGATCCCTTGAGCTCAGGAGTTCAAGACCAGCCCGGGCAACATGGCAAAAACCCGTCTCTATCAAAAATACAAAAATTAGCAGGGCATGGTGGCACAAGCCTGTAGTTCCAGCTATTCAGGAGGCTGAGGTGGGATCACTTGAGTCCAGCAGAGTGAGACTGCAGTGAGCCGAGATTGCGCCACTGCACTCCAGCCTAGGCAGCAGAGCCAAACCCTGTCTCAAAAACATGAAAATAAACATAATAATAATAATCTTAAATGGTCCGCTCCATGGACTTTTCTTTTCTGAAACAGGGTCTCCCCACGTTGCCCAGGCTGTTCTCCTGAGCAACAACTATCCTCCTGCCTCAGCCTCCCTAGTAGCTGGGACTGCAGGCACGCCACAAAACCTGTCTTTATATTGTGGTAAAATATATATAAAATTGGTCATTTTTAGCCATCTTGAAGTTACAATCCAGTGGCATTCACAATATTGTGCAACTATCACCACTCTCTAGTTCCAGAACATTTTCATGACTCCAAAAGGAAGCTCCAAAGGAAGCTCCATACTCATTAAACAATCACTACCCATCCCCCTCTTCTCGCCAGTCCCTGACAACTACTAATCTTGCAGTGTCTCTACATCCATGGACTTTTTTTTTTTTTGAAATGGAGTTTAGTTCTTGTTGCCCAGGCTGGAGTGTAATGGTGCGATCTCGGCTCACTGCAACCTCCGCCTCCAGGGTTCAAATGATTCTCCTACCTCAGCTTCCTGAGTAGCTGGGATTACAGGCACCTGACACCATGCCCGGCTAATTTTTGTATTTTTGGTAGAGAATGGGTTTTCCCATGTTGGCCAGGCTGGTCTCGAACTCCTGACCTCAGGTGATCCGCCCGCCTCGGCCTCCCAAAGTGCTGGGATTACAGGTGTGAGCCACCGCGCCCGGCCCATGGACTTTTTAAATAGTAAAACTTGACCAGAACAGTTTTTTTGTTTTTTTTGTTTTTTCTGGAGACAGAGTCTCCCTCTGTCGTCCAGGCTGGAGTGCAGTGGTGCAATCTCGGCTCACTGCAACCTCCTCCTCCTGGGTTCAAGTGATTCTCCTGCCTCAGCCTCCCGAGTAGCTGGGACTACAGGCGCCCGCCATCACACCCGGCTAATTTTTTTGTATCTTTAGTAGAGACGGGGTTTCGCCATGTTGACCGGGCTGGTCTTGAACTCCTGACCTCAGGTGATCCGCCCACCTCGGCCTCCCAAAGTGCTGGGATTACAGGCGTGAGCACCGAGCTCGGCCAACCAGAACAGTTTTCTAATGTGGAATGATGTGTTCTTTGCAGTTATTAATCCTCTTTAAATGAATCTTCGCTCATGAGATATTTCAGCTAACCATTTCTCAAGTAAATCTGTGAGTCACTTTAGATAATTCTGTGACCTGTCTCAGGGTCAGAAATTCCTCTCTCTTTGGGTAATTAGATCCATGCTAGATTACAGAACACTGTCCTATGAATTCTCTTTAAGGGAGGATTCCCAAAGCCTGGCCGATGCTGTGAAGTAAACCACTTTCTGTGTCTGCAAGGGGCAAAATGAGTAAGGCCTTAAGAAGACATTTCATTACATTGTGAAATATCTCACACACACACACACACACACACACACACACACACACACACACAAATTTAAAGCCCTAGACCTCCAAAGAGCTGATCCCACAGAAAACTGAAAGTTTATTTTTCAGTCTTTGTATTTTGAAATCTCTTCTGAGATTCCAAACTTTTGCAATTGAGGGGTAAAAAAAAGTGAATTTGGAAACAGAACTAGAAGTCACTGCCGGTTTTAGAGTGTAGCATCATTTCCTTTTGGGGCCCCGTCTCTTTCACATTCTGATTTCCCACCCTTCCTTTGGGGTGTGGAAGACTGGGCAAAAAATAACTTTCTTTTTCCCAGGGTCTATTTGGTGGAATCGCTCTACACTCCTTCAGAGAAATAACTGGGGCAGGGAGATTGCCTTTCCAGCGCACTGTTTTTCTTTCAAAAAACAGTGAACGGTAGAATGCTTCTTAGGGCAAATAAATAAATGTCACCAAGACACACGGAAGGTGTAGACTGGAAAATAATGTCTTTGGTCCCAGCTGTAGAAGCCAGAAGCTTTATTTTTTTAAACACAGACCAATACTGCTTCTCTGGCCAACAGGCAGCAAAGTCCCCATTTTCCACTCTCCATCACCCCATCTTGCATCCTACCCACACTGATTGCATCCCCACCCTCTGGGTGAAAAGCCGACACGCCTCAGACGCTAACAGCACCGGGTCAACCCGGCTTTATTTTAGGGTGGGAGGGTGCGGGGATGAGACTGAGTCCTGGAACCCACGGAGCCCTCCGAATCCCGGAGTAGCTTTACTGCTTTTTGCGGGGTTGGGGGTGGGGGGAGGAAACAGATTTCAGCAGCAAACTCACCCAATCAACCTCACACCTCAAACTCCGGGGAAGCCCGTGCCCAAAATTGTGCCGAATTTTGTAAATGTCCTGAACTGGAGTAAACTTGAGGTGGACAAAAAAAAAAGCACAACTCTAAGACTCCGATCCCCTGGCAAATCAGTGGGAATGCAGGTCCCCGAGGTTTCGGGGAAGGATCGCGCCGAGGCTTCAATCCAGATACACACCCTGACAATGGGATCTCAATAAGGAACTACCCAGGAAGCCGTCGCCGCAGCAAGTGCCCAGGTGATCCTTATCGTGGGCAAGTTTGGAACCGCAGGTACCCCGAGAATCCCGCGCTGGGCGCTCAGGCGAGAGGGCTCCGGGCTCCCGTCCACGCCCACCCGGGGCGTTCTAGGAGGGCTGCGCGCTGGGAGCGGGAAGGGCCCCTGGAAGGCGGCTGCAGCGAGTTCCGGGGCTGAGAGGTCGCTGCCACCCAGGAAGCCCCGACTGTGCCCCACGCAGGGCCTCGGCAGGGCGGCAGGCTAGGGCGGGTTCGGAGGTGACAGCGCCCGGCTTCCTGCGCCAAAAGTGAGGCAACTCCGGAAACTTCCTGGAGCCGGCGCGCGTTTCCTGCAAGCACCGCCCCCGCCGCCCGCACGCTCTAGCAGCCCGCGGGCGCACTGACCTGAGATGGTCTCCTGGTAGCCCTTGGTGAAGAACTGCATGGCCGAGGCCGCCCTCCAGGGCGTCTTGAGCAGCCCTTGCCGCTGGGGGTTCTCGCCCAGCGAGCTCAGGATGGACGAGTAGGCGGCTGCCAGGTTAGGGAGGTTCAGCTCGTTATCCTCCTCGCTGCGGGGCCGCTCGCCCTTCCAGCCGTCCGCGGGCTGCGCGCTCTTGGCCTCGGGCCGCGGGGGCTTCTCCGCCGGCCTGCTGGGCCCGGGCCGCGGCGGATCCCGCTCGGGGAACCCATTGCTGCACCTGGCGCCCCGCGGCTTCTCCGCCGGTGCCCGCACAGGGCCCTTCTCCATGGACCCGCCGCAGCCGCTGCCGTTCGGGAAGGACCCCGGGGCGCTTCGAGGTCTGCGGCTAAACTCCGCCGGTGGCCGCGGACAATGGGCTGTGGCCGGAGTCACCTGAGGAAGGTACGCAACCTGCTTAGATCACACTCCGAGCCGGGAGCGGCCACAGGCTGGAAAGCCCGGCCGCGCCTCCTTTTTATGGCCCGGCGGCTCAGCCTGCGCCGCGGAGCGCTCCCATTGGCCGGCCCCGCCTCGCGTCACGGCCCTCGCCGCGCCCCTCGGCCTCCCGCCCCCGGGGTCCCCAGCAGGGGTCGCGGCTCCGGAGACGCCCGGAGGGGTTCGCAAGCGCAGGGAGGGAAGGAAAAGGGCGCCGGCCCCTAGGATCAGGCGGGACCCCTCCACTTATTGCGGAATGAGCCGAACCCGAAAAGAGGCAGTCGTCCAGGAGCTGGGATCTCAGTGAGAAAGACGCGGTCTGGGCGCCCAGTCGCCCCCTCTTCAGGCCAAGAGGGCGCTGCATTGAAGGGCTCCGGTCCCCTCGCCCTGTGAAAGATCAGCAAACAGGTGGCCTTGCCTGGAGAGAGACCGAGTTAAGCCACCGATTAGGAACCAACTCTTAAGCTTTCAAGGCAAGAGAATAATGTGACTTCAGACTCTTGGGTTTAGTTAAAAACGCACCTGCCACCTAGGGGCCAGGTGGCACCGCTGTCGGGGCAAGTGTCACATCAAGTGGCCCTTATGTGGGTCCCTATGTCTAGAAGGATAGGATTTATGGTTGCTAGAACTTTGATCCTGGAAAAATTGATTTGCAAACGAAGATAGGACTTTCACTTAAAATCCATTTCCGTCGGTGGCTCACGCCTGTACTCCCGGCGCTTGGGGAGACCGAGGCGGGAGGATCGCTTGAGGCCAAGAGTTCGAGACCAGCCTGGAAAACATAGCAAGACCTCATCTCTATAAAACCCATCGCATTTTCTAGAAACGCAGTTGTGCAGATTTGGTGCTCAATTGTTTTACAGTTCCATGCAAAGCGTCTTTCCCCAGATGTTGGTACAAATTGTGAAATGCTATTCACCAACTGAACTCTTAACCAGTGACATCTGCTGTAACTGTTTTCTTTGAGATTAATAAATGGACCTTTTTCCTCACTTGAGGGATTATCTCATAATGCCGAAGGTGAGCTTTAAAACATGTATCAAAATAATATTTTTTTTCTTTTTTTTTTTTTGAGGCTCACTTCATCCTCCGCCTCCTGGGTTCAAACGATTCTCCTGCCTCAGCCTCCTGAGTAGCTGGGATTACAGGCACCTGCCACCATGCCCGGCTAAATTTTTGTATTTTTAGGAGAGGTGGGGTTTTGCCATGTTGGCCAGGCTGGTCTCGAACTCCTGACCTCAGGTGATCCACCTGCCTCGGCCTCCCAAAGTGCTGGGATTACAGGTGTGAGCCACCATGCCTGGCCTAATGTAGATTTTCTGACATAGAAGCAGGTATTAATAGGCTTAGGATCAAACAAACCAATAGGGAAGCCTGTGGAATTATTCTATGCTAACAATGTAGCTTGGTCATTATAATAAGTAATTAGTATTTATGATACATCTGCTCTAGGCGCAGCCCCGTTGGAAACATTCAGGAAAGAAATATGGACATTGCCTAGCCTTGTAGGCACCTTTACTCCAAAATGGAAGAAATGTTCATATCAGTGGGGTTATTTATTTATTTATTTATTTATTTATTTATTTATTTTTAAATTTTAATCTATTTATTTAAGAGCGGGTTATGAGACTGGCTAATTTTTGTATTTTTGGTAGAGATAAGGTTTCACCATGTTGCCAAAGCTGGTCTCGAACTCCAGGGCTCAGGATTATAGGCCTGAGCCACCGTACCCGGCCCAGTGGGGTTTTTAAATAGAGAATATGAACATCCTTTGGAAAACCTCTTTGTCATTTTCCTCTTTATTAAAATTTTTAAATTTTTTATTGTAGGTTTTTATTGGGAGTGGGGCCCTGCAACATTTTTTTCCTCTAACTGTGCTGCCCACTGTCTGCTGATACCTCCTGGTCAGAATTATCTGCTGGGTCTCAAGCTATTTCAAGCATAGTTGAAGACAACATTCAAAGGATGACCTTGCATTTAACAAATGAAAACAAAGATACTAAGTGAGGTACTTTAAAAATGGAGAGAGTAGATAGAGATGCTTTCAGTACGAATTTATTTTTAGTGGCAATCTTTCGTCTTCCTTTAAAAACATGTGTAAAGATTAACTAATATTGTATTCCACAAAGACAGTTTCTAATGAAATTTTTACCCTAAAAATTAACATTTTCTTACACGTATTGCCACTGAGGCACCTGCACCTTTGTTGCAGGACAGGGCCTCTGGATACATGCTAACTTGTAAAATGGAGGCAGTGCCTTTCGGCCAAATGCCCAAAAATAATACAAGAAAACTTTGAAATCACCAACATTATATGAATAATTTAATAGTAAAATGTAGATAGTTGACAAGGATGGTTATAAGTAGCAACAGGAGAAAAAAAGAGGAATAAACCAAAAGGGAAGTAGGTCCCAGATAATTTATTAGCATAAAATGGTTCAACAGTAATATTATGAGCATTTACAGCCAGGAATTGTTACCGCATCCATGTTTTTCACCCAGTAAGGGATTCATTTTCAGCTTGGACCCAGTCTGGGAGTTTCTTTCTACCAAAAAGCCAAGGAATTTTTTAAAGTCTCTAATTTCTAGGACAGCAGCAGAACAAAGAGGCAGATGAGAAAGACACACCAAGTCAGAGACTGAACACTGCAGTGCTACAGAAATGTACAAAGAGTTGTTTGCCAAGTGTGATATGATGATACATGTATATGTAGGTTTTCAGCCATAGTACCTGGTTCATAACTCACAGTCTTTTGTTACAATGTTGGGGCACTTTAGGCCTCAGAAAATAGAATCAATCTCTCTCTCTCTCTCTCTCTCTCTCTCTCTCACCTTCTGCTCCCCTTCCACTCACTAAAGGCAGGACTCTAATCATCTCCCGCCTTTCTGATTACGGATCATAAACCCTCATTGCAAACAGGGTCCTGCCTCATACCCTGGAGGAAGCATGGCTGCACAGAGAGGTCAATCACACCTTGACACGGCTGTCCATGCTTCAATCATGCCTATACAACGAACATAAAAGGCCCAGACGGCAGGGCTCAGGGAGGTTTTGGACAGCTGAATATGTGGAGGTTCCTGGAGGGTGGTGTGCCCAGGGAGGGCATGGAAACTCCATACCTCTTACCCCATACCTCACCCTATGCATCTTTTCATCTGTATCTTTTGTAATATCCTTCATAATAAACTGGTAAACGTAAGTGTTTCCCTGAGTTCTTTGAGTCACTCTAGCAAATTAATTGAACCCAAAGAGGGGGTTGTGGAAACCCCAACTTGAAGCCAGTCAATCAAAAGTTCCAGAGGCCCAGACTTGTGAGTGGTGGAAAGGAGGGGCCAGTGTTGGGGACTGAGCCTTCAACTTGTGGGATCTACAGCTATCTCCAGGTAGGCAGAATCAGAATTGAATTAAATAAGAGGGAGGACACCTAGCTGATGTCCCCTGCTTGGTGTGTGGGAGAAAACCCCCACCCATTTGGTCACAGAGTCTTCTGTGTTGACTGTTGTTGTGGTATAACAGCAGAAGAAAACCACAGTTTCAATTTGTCCAAACACCAAGGGTAATAGACAAACTAACATTGGGTATTTGGCAACAGTAATTGGAAAAAAGCAAATTTAAGTGAACTTGATGGAGGCTCTATACTTGAAATTCAAACTCTGGAGGAGATTTTGGATCAAGGTAGAAAGGTACAAAGAAAAGGTGGCCGGGCATGGTGACCCAAGCCCGTAATCCCAGCACTTTGGAAGGCCAAGGCAGGTGAATCATTTGAGGTCAGTAGTTCAAGAATAGCCTGGCCAACGTGATGGAACCCCGTCTCTAATAAAAAATACAAAAATTAGCCGGGCATGATGGTAGGCACCTGTAGTCCCAGCTACTCAGGAGGCTGAGGCAGAAGAATCATTTGAATCTGGGAGGCAGAGGTTCCAGTGAGCCAAGATCACGCCACTGCACCCCAGCCTGGATGACACAGCGAGACTCCATCTCAAAAAAAAAAAAGGCCCAAGAGCCTCATATTGAGTATAATAAGCCATCCAAAGCCTAAATGTACCCATAAAGGATACCCTAACAGACATGTGTCCCTGGTAGAGAATCTGCAATACCATCTCAGAAGAACAGGCAGATGCTAAGAGGGATGCTAATAGAAAGTGCACCTCAGCGCTGCTGAACTCTGTCCCTGCCTCCACATTACCCCAGAAGAAGGGATGCAACACAGCTCCTCAAGCTCCAGACTGCAGCAGAGTCAGGAAAACAAAAGGGCTTCTGTTATCATGGAAAAACCTGAAGATGTCTCAACAATATCAGAGATACGCAGTGTCAGGAAACAGCCTCCCAAGCATGGGCAGGGGGCAGAGAAACAGCATGGCAACCGTGCAAACACACACCAGCCAAACAAAACAAAAGAAAACCAAGGGGGAACATCATATGGCATGCAGGAGACATAAAGGCAAATAATGCAACTAAGAAGAAAGCAAATCTCATGGAACAGAAGAAAATTCCTCACGAATGTTTGATGCCAGAGACTAACTCAATAAAAGTATAAATTCAGGCTGGGTGCAGTGGCTCATGCCTGTAATCCCAGCACTTTGGGAGGTTGAGGCAGGAAGATCACCTGAGGTCAGGAGTTCGAGACCAGCCTGGCAAACATGGTGAAACGCTGTCTGTATTAAAAATACAAAAATTAGCCAGCGTGGTGGGCACCTGTAATCTCAGCTACTTGGGAGGCTGAGGCAGGAGAATGGCTTGAACTTGGGAGGCAGAGGTTGCAGTAAGCTGAGATCACGCCACTGCACTCCAGCCTGGGCAACAGAGCGAGACTCAGTCTAAAAAAAACAGACAAACAAACAAAAATCATGAATTTAATAAGACAAAAGCCAAAATAATAGAATTGAAAGGGGAGCTATGGATCAACAAAATAAATTGAGGACCATCATTATTATAGAATCAATTAGAAAGAACCATGTACAAAGTAGATACTGCTGAAACTGTAATTGCTGACATAAGGAAAGACGTGAGAGTGAATACAGAACAAAAGACAAACATGAAAGCTATTAGAGAAGACAAAGATGATCCAGTGTAAGGATAATTAGGGTTCCTGAGGTAAAGAACTCAATGAATGTGAGGGAATGTAATCAAATATATCACACAAGTGTATTAATCCTTACATTTATGTTTGATTGATTTTTGACAAGGATGCCAAGACAATTTAATGGGGAAAGAAGACTCTTTTCAACAAATGATACTAGGACGACTGGATATCTACATACAAAAGGAAGAAGTTGAACCTCTATCTCACAACATATACAAAAATAAACTCATCGGGTAGGTGCAGTAACAGCCACCTGTGGTCCCAGCTATGCTGGAGGCTGAGGCTGGAGAAGTCTTGAGCCCAGGAGTTTGAGGCCAGCCGGGGCAACATAGCGAGATCTTATCTCTAAAAAATAAAACAAAAGAAAATCAGAATGTAAGAGGTAAAATTATTAAACTCTTGGAAGAAAATATAGGCATAAATCTTCAAGACCTTGAGTTAGGCAATTGGATTTCTTAGAAATGAAACCAAAAGTAGCGCAACAAAAGGAAAAATGTAGAAAAAACCTAACAGCCATGTCATGCGGTGGTAAAGAAACAACCTTCAGTTTCACTGTCTGGGTTCATGGCCTGGCTCCATCAATTATCTTTGTTGTCAATGGGCAAGTTTCTTAATTTCTTTAAGCCTGGTTCCTCCTCTGTAAAATGAGTATTATATATAGAGTCTTTGTCATAGGCTTATTGTGAGAGTTTGAGAGAGCAACAGTATTAGACATATACAATTTGAAAAATAAGTATTGGCCATTATTAATGACAAAAATGTCTTTATACAAAAGCAATATTTTAATTCTAGCAAGTTCCCCTAGATTTTATTGTTGCTACAACCAGTGAAAAAAGAAAAAATTTAAAAATTTTTAAAAAGGCAGATCCCTTGGGGAAAAAAAAATAATATTTGGTGCTGCTTTACTTAAGAGAGTCTAAGTATAGACAGAAAACTTGAAGTGTTCTTTTTTTTTTTTTGAGATGGAGTCTCACTGTTGCAAAGGCTGGCCTTGAACTCCTGGGCTCAAGAAGTGATCCTCGGCCAGGCGTGGTGGCTCACACCTGCAGTCCTAGCACTTTGGGAGGCTGAGGTGGGCAGATCACCTGAGATCAGGAGTTCAAGACCAGCCTGGCCAACATGGTGAAACCCCTAAAAATAAAAAAATTAGCTGGGCATAGTGGCGCATGCCTGTAATCCCAGCTACTGGGGAGGCTAAGGCAGGAGACTCCCTTGAGCCTGGGAGGCGGAGTTTGCAGTGAGCTGAGACTGTGCCACTGCACTCCAGCCTGGGAGAAGAGCAAGACTCTGTCTCAAAAAAAAAAAAAAAGAAGTGATCCTTCCGCCTCAGCCTGCTGAGTAGCTGGGATCACAGGCTCGTGCTACCACACCCAGTTTAAAGTGCTGTTTCTTATCATTAACTGAAAATTAATCAAAAGTTGAAATAAAACATTTCTGTTCCTTGGTTAATGAAAATAGAAAAAAAATTTTTTTTAATTATAATGTAAGTCAATAGGGTATAGTTTGTTTCAAGATTTTCAGCAACAGAGTGATTTAACTGAGGTAAAACTGTATTGTAAATACTACAAGTTTGGTGTTTATTTATTTATTTTAAAGAAGGGGTCTTGCTCTGTTGCCCAGGCTGGAGTGCAGTGGCATGATCATGGCTCACTGCAGCCTTGAATGCCTGGGCTAAACAATCTTCCTAGCTCAGCCTCCCCAGTAGCTGGGACTACAGGAGTGAGCCACCATTTAATATTGTTGCTCTCTCAAACTCTCACACCTAAACTCCACCACCCAACTAGAGTTTGGTTTTTTTGTTGTTGTTTTTTAGAGATGGGGGTCTCACTTTGTTGCCCAGGCTGGTCTCAAACTCCAGGCCTCAACAGATTCTTCTGCCTTGGCCTCCCAAAATACTGGGATTACAGGAGTGAGCCACCGTGCTGGGCTAATATATTTTTTAATGTACTTAGTGCAACACCTGATGACAGAACTATGAAATGATACCTCAAAAGATGCATTTCACTGAATGCAATTTACTATTAAAAGCCCATATGCTGAGTTCCCAACTAGGCATTGCGAAATGACACCATTCATCAAGAAGGCTTTCAAACTTATGTATGATGAGAACACTGGGTCAGGGCTCTATCATCTGAGGAAGGGACAATCTAGACATGGATCAATATCTATCTGCAGAGCATTATCTCCAACACAACAGTGTCCGATGGCAGGGCTGTATGTCTCATCTGCACATTTCCACTGCTCCCCACTTCTCCCGAGCTCCTCTATCGGTAGTAGTTATTTTGGGAGGAGGCCTAGTTTATCCAGAGCAGAGGATTTGTTTTCTAGTCAGCAGATGCTTTCAAGTTGTAATTTAACTGTCAATGAAAAATAAATAAAAGGTGTTGCAAATTCTGTAAGATCTTAGCAATTCATGGAAGCTCTGTTGTTATTGAATGTATCTCCCTCTCAGTTGCCTGGGGAACTGCATTTTAATGTCACACATCAAGCAGCTCTTTCCTGAATGTAATTGTAGTTTTTCTGATGTCATGGTTAAAGCTGTTCAAATGTTTGGCTTCTGGCAAATATTTTCTAACATCATTCATGACAGTGATGGATCTGAAGCAATTTTAATACATTTTTAAATCTCACTAACTTATTAAATAACCAGAGAAAGAATCGTATATAAATTGAAAATATATTCATTACCAGAAGAAGTGTCTAGGAAGATACATGTGAGTCTGTAATGATATGAGGTTTTCATGACTATGATTGGTTCATTGCAGGATAGCATATTAGAGGCCAGGCACGATGTCTCATCAGGGTATGCCATATACCAAGATGAAGCCCTATACCAGATGGACCATTGGTTTCTACAAGTCACTGCTAGATGCCTACCCCAATATCATTTCTCCCCTTCTTTTACTAAAGGATCTCCAACTCAGTTCAGAGAGGCCTGGACTTAGTTCAATACACTTGGACTTGACTTTAAAAAAACACACACGCATTTTCAAGTTCCCTGCAGTTACAATGGCCACATGACATAGTTCTGTCCAATGAGTTATCAGTAGAAATTGCTGGATGGCACTTCTGGGAAAGGCCCTTAAAAGGGGGCAGATTGGTTGCTTTTCTATGTCTAAGGAATATGATAATTAATATTGATATAATATCTGTTTATACCCATCTTGTCCCATGAGAAAATTCTGAGTTAATGTGCAGTTCTGCTCAGGTATTAGATTAACATTTTCATAAGGAACCCTAGTGACAAAAACTGTTGAATTTTAGGCCGGTAGGGAGGTGTTTTTGAGCAGGAAAGCCTGAGTGCCCCTCAGTTTCCAACATACAAGAAGTCCTAGGCCAGGCGTGGTGGCTCATGCCTGTAATCCCAGCACTTTGGAAGGCTGAGGTGGGCAGGCCACTTGAGCTCAGAAGTTCGAGACCAGCCTGGGCAAGATGGTGAAACCCAGTCTTTACAAAAAATACAAAAAAATTAGCCAGGCATGGTGGCCCATGCCTGTAGTCGCAGCTACTGTTTAGCCAGTGAATGGAGCTGGCTTTGGCTTTCATGAACAATAAGGTGTGGGGAGGATGAGATTTGGAATGAGAGGATGAGATTTGGAGGATGAGATTTGTCTAATTTTATGCAATTAGACAAAGGGGTACATTCCAGCACAGCAGTGAGTAAGTCCTAGGTCTTGGGAAATAGCACCCTGTAGGTCTGTATATTTGCAAAGTTGTGGAGAATCTAAAAGGAAAATTGTATAAACTTTCCTCTCCAAGGCTAACTCATTTTCTTTAACTCACTGGTTTAATTTGACCAGTTTCATTCCTTTTGGCTTTCACACCTGTCCAAATCTGCTTGTCTCACTTTTATTATATATATAATATTATTATTTTAAAAAATAAAACATACTTCCCAACTGGTGAGCTTTTATACATATGCATATATAAATATGCAAAATGTTCTTATTGATCTACATAGGCAGTTGTAAATTTTATTTTATTTATTTATTTTTTTGAGATGGAGTCTCGCTCTGTCACCCAGGCTGAAGTGCAGTGACGTGATCTTGGCTCATAGCAACCTCTGCCTCCCAGGTTCAAGCCATTCTCCTGCCTCAGCCTCCCGAGTAGCTGGGATTACAGGTGCATGCCACGATGCCTAGCTAATTTTTTGTATTTTTAGTAGAGATGGGGTTTCACCATGTTAGCCAGGCTGGTCTGGAACTCCTGACCTCAAGTGATCTGCCCGCCTCAGCCTCCCAAAGTGCAGGGATTACGGGGTGAGCTACCACACCTGGCTGTAAATTTTAATAAATGGGTTTGGAAGATACAGTTTAATTAGAAGATTAATGAGACCTTCCAGAATGTTAACACAATAGGAGCGTGTGTTTGAACAGTACACGCCAAACTTCAGTCATTCAAGTACCATCTGGTTCTCTGATTGTGCCTATTTCTGAGGATATTTTAAAAGCTCCAGGATGTACCCCATACAACCAAAAACTTGGAGGGAAGAACAGCAATGTTCCCAGCCTTGTATGTTGTAATCACCAACCTTAAATACATTCCAACTATGAAAGAGAACAGGCCTTTTTGTGGCCAGGCTGGGGAATGGCATCCAACTGATCATAGATCAGATGGAAATCAAGAAATGATCAGAAAGCAAAGAAACTCAACCCTCACCCCATTGTCCCCTCATCACACTTCCTCAAGCCAAGTGAGAAAGACACAGCTAAGTGTTGGGCTAATCCTGTCCTTACATGGAAATCTGAGCAGTGGCAGAGAGTGAGAGGAAACGGAGCCTTTGTAAAGAGACTCGGAAAGTCACTGGTTCTGATTTTGGCAAAGGTGCAGAAGTAAAACAATTTGGCATTTATACAGGCCTGCGTGGAACCCTAGTTTAGTCACTTATTAGAAGCTATGTAACCTTGGACAGATCCCTTAACTACTCTGTACATCATTTTTGTCCTCTAGAAAATAAGCTATCTGCTGAGTGCAGTGGCTCATGCCTGTAATCCCAGCACTTTGGGAGGCTGAGGCGGGAGGATCACTTGAACTCAGGAGTTCAAGACCAGCCTGGGCAACATAGCGAGACCCCTGTCTCTGCTAAAAATAAAATTAAAAAAAATTTAGCCAGGCATGGTGGCAGCTGCCATGAGCTGTGATCGTGCCACTGCACTCCAGCCTGGGCAACATAGCGAGACCCCTGTCTCTGCTAAAAATAAAATTAAAAAAAATTTAGCCAGGCATGGTGGCAGCTGCCATGAGCTGTGATCCTGCCACTGCACTCCAGCCTGGGTGACAGAGTGAGACCCTGTCTCAAAAAGGAAGGAAGCAAGGAAGGAAGGGAGGGAGGGAGGCAGGCCGCCAGGCACTGTGGCTCACACCTGTAATCCCAGCACTTTGGGAGGCCAAGGTGGGAGGATCACTTGAGGTCAGGAGTTCAAGACCAGCCTGGCCAACATGGTGAAACCTTGTCTCTATTCTCCACTAAAAATACAACAATTAGCTGGGTGTGGTGGCACACACCTGTTAATCCCAGCTACACAGGAGACTGAGGCAGGAGAATTGCTTGAACCTGGGAGGCAGAGGTTGCAGTGAGCCAAGATCGCGCCACTGCACTCCAGTCCGAGTGACAGAGTGAGACTCCACCTTGAAAAAGAAAAAGAAAAATGGGACTAATAATACAATAATACCATCCTTGCAAAGTTGTTAAAGTGATTTCTAAAAATACAATGTATATTACATGATTCCATTTATATAAATTTCACAGACACTTTGGGAAGCCAAGGCAAGAGGATTGCTTGAGTCCAGAAGTTCAAGACCAGCCTGGGCAATATAGTGAGACCCCATCTCTATAAAAAATTTAAAAATAAATAAATAAATAGTCAAAAACAGGGAAATCAGTCTGTGATATTGCAAGTTAGGATAGTACCTATCTTTGAGGGGAGGGGAGGGTCTTGCTTGGGAGAGGCACCTTGTGAACTTCTGAGGTATGGGCAGGGACTTGGAAGAAAGGGATACGGGGCTTCACTTTGTGATAGTTCGCTGAGATTTACATTTATGTTGTGGGCACTTTTCTGTATATAAATATACTTGAATTTTGTTGAAGTTGAAAGAAATAACACATATAATGGCTTAGCACTGTGCCCAACATATTCTAGGTGCTTGGTGAATGACACTTGTTATTTGTCATTCATTCTAGATGCCAAAGCCTGTTGGAAGATGTGTAATTGAGAAATCAGTAAGAATGAAATCCAATTTTAAAATTTCCAATAGTTTGTGTTTCTATAACATGTCATTGACATCCCATGTGGAAATTTGAGAAGTATTATTAGAGAGGGGTGTAACTGGAAGCTGTGAAAATTCACATCTGAGGGCACAGAGAACAGGCTCCATTTTGCTGTTATGTAGACTTCCTAGTTCCTGTGTCCCATTGGAGATGCTCTGAAACCTTTTTCTCTAGTCTGTGATCCACCCACCATTTAGGTCTGCATGTGTCCATTTTAAATTAAAATTGAGTTCCCACTATGTAATTTTCCCACTGAAAAGCTGGGGCACGCAAAACCCTGTTGATCTCATCAAATCCTGATTAGTGGCCCTGTTTCTTGAAAATCATGGAAGAAGGCATTTACAATGAAATCCTCATTTTCATTTTTTTTTATTGTCTCAGCTTTTTTTTTTTTTTTTTTTTTTTTTTTTGAGATGGAGTCTTGCTCTGTTGCCAAGGCTGGAGTGCAGTGGTGTATCTCGGCTCACTGCAACCTCCGCCTCCCAGGTTCAAGCGATTCTCCTGCCTCAGCCTCCCAAGCACCTGGGACTACAGACATGCGCCACCACGCCCAGCTAGTTTTTGTATTTTTAGCAGAGACAGGGTTTCACCATATTGGCCAGGCTGGTCTCGAACTCCTTACTTCGTGATCCACCCGCCTCCGCCTCCCAAAGTGCTGGAATTACAGGTGTGAGCCACCATGCCTGGCCATTTGAATGTTAGTAATTGGAAGATTCCACAAAATAGGGTAGAGAATACCCAGAAACATACTTACCTTTGACTCTTAACTGTCCTTACCCTCTCATCCAAGCTTCTCAGACTGACTCCTTGTAATGTGTCTAGACTAAACTGAAACTTTACCTGTTGAAAATAGACAGTTATCAAGGAGCAAAAACAGATCTTTAAACAAGCTTTGAAGATTATCTTAATGGGGCTTAGTTTACACCCCAGGGTAAAAGTGGATCTGATCTTTGTTATCAGCTGAAAGGAACAGATCAGCATAAGCTGTCCAACTTAATTTTTTTTTTTTTAGATGGAATTTCACTCTTTTTGCCCAGGCTGGAGTGTGATGGTGCGCGATCATGGCTCACTGCAACCTCTGCCTCCCAGGTTCAAATGATTCTCATGCCTCAGCCTCCCAAGTAGCTGGGATTACAGGCACCCGCCACAACGCCCGCTAATTTTTTGTATTTTTAGTAGAGATGGGGTTTCACCACGTTGGCCAGGGTAGTCTGGAACTCCTGACCTCAGGTAATCCACCCCCTTGGCCTCCCAACGTGCTGGGATTACAGCATGATTACACCAACGTGCTGAGATTACAGGCATGCGCCACCCACTAAGCCCGGCCCCAACAGAAAGAAAAGAAAAGAAAAGAAAAGAAAAGAGAAGAGAAGAGAAGAGAAGAGAAGAGAAGAGAAGAGAAGAGAAGAGAAGAGAAGAGAAAAGAAAAGAGAAAAGAAAAGAAGAAAAGAAAAGAAAAGAAAAGGAAAAGGAAGATGATTCGTGGGGAGAGTGACAAGAAAAATTAGAAGGAGACTAGTGGGAAATTGCATTTATAATCATGGCGTCTGGGAAGTTTCCGAAACCCCTTGGGAGGAAGTGTTGTTATTTCCATTTTGAAGAGGAAGAAACTGGTTTTTACTTGCAAAATATCAGTAATTTGTTCAGTAAAAGGCTGCCCTCCAAAGCCCCAGCTGGACCAACCCACCATCCTAGCCCCCAGGGGAAAAAAGGAGAGTCAAATGAACAGCAATGTCTCTTTCCAGAGCTCCCTTCTGAAGATCCAGGATTGACAACCAGGAGCCCAGTTGCTCACCTGGAGCTTTCTTTCACACAGTCAGCCTACTCCCTATTGCCTTGTTCCAAGACCCCAGCATCAAGCCAAATTCTAGCCGGTGCCCACCCATTTCCATATCATCAATATCCACTTACACTTTTGTCCAGAGAGATCGACTTGTGGCAAATCTCCTCTTCCATCTTCCCTTTTTTTCTTTTTTTTTTTTTCTTTTATTTTATTATACTTTAAGTTCTAGGGTACATGTGCACAATTGGCCTGCTCTGTCTTTACCAAAAGAAAGTCATCAGCCTCAGGCATCCCATATCTTTCTATGATACACTGCCCCAGGCACCCTGTGAAAGTAGCAGTTCAGAATGTTGCTATCTGCATGGGGAGTAACAATAACAACTGAGTAATGTATTCATTTGCAAGTTAAGCTACTCTCAATTCTTTGCTTTCACCAAAACTGAAAGAGCGTCTAATCATATTGTCAGCTAATAGATCATGTAAGATTATTTTTAATACATTATGTAATTTTTACAGATATATACAATTTTTCATAGAAGCAAGGTAAATAATAACTCCTGCTATTCCCATCTATTCAGTACTTTTGTCTTTAAAAACAAAAATTGGAATAGAATTGATTATGAATATTTTCTCATTCTAGCAATAAACAATATTTATCCATGGCTTCATGAATGAAGTGGGAGGCGAGACCAGTTCTTTTTGTTAAGAAATGGGTTTCCAAAAGAATTGTACTGTTTAGTAAATATAAAATTTTGTGACATGTTTATTTTGTTGTGATACAATATATACTACTAAAAATGAAAAGATAATCCAGAATAACTTCAATAATACTTTAGAGCCTTATGGTCTCAGAAACTAATTCTTAAATTTAAGTTTATACATAAATTCTTTTTGTAGAGAGGCTCATCTGAGACAATCAATAAGAGAAATTTAGATAAAGTTAGGTAAAGGAAAGAGAAATACAAACAAGAAGAAAAATGAAAAAAAGGAAGAGCTTACTCAATGATTTGTATAACTGGATGATGGTAGGGAACAAAGTGCTATAGTATTTACATTCCATTGACTATTCTAAAAATGTGTTATAGTTTTGTTTTAAAGTCAATATTTAGAAGACACTGCAAATTATACCTTTAACAATTATTTAATCTTATAGAACTTTTAGTTATCAATCTATCAATGAGTGTGTGAGGCAGAGGAGGGTAGAAAGAGGACACATAGATTTCTATAATTCTTTTTTTTTTTTTTTTTTTTTTTGAGACGGAGTCTCGCTCTGTCGCCCAGGCTGGAGTGCAGTGGCGCAATCTTGGCTCACTGCAAGCTCCGCCTCCCGGGTTCACGCCGTTCTCCTGCCTCAGCCTCCCGAGCAGCTGGGACTACAGGCGCCCGCCACCACGCCCGGCTAATTTTTTGTATTTTTACTAGAGACGGGGTTTCACCATGTTAGCCAGGATGGTCTCAATCTCCTGACCTCGTGATCCGCCCGCCTCTGCCTCCCAGAGTGCTGGGATTACAGGCGTGAGCCACCACGCCCGGCCATGGTTTCTATAATTCTTTTGGAGGTACCTGAGCAAAAAAATGTTTGGCGACAGCCATTGTGGGATTTGGAGACTCAAGTGGCAGAATCTATCCTCACTTCCCTAGACTTGCATGCTGCAGTACAGTAGCCACTAGCCATGTGTGCCTGCTGAGTGCCTGGGACACGGTTAGCCTGAATGAGATGTGCAGTACCTATAAAACCTATACCAGGTTTCAAAGACTTTGTATTAAGGAAAAAAGAACCTAAAATATCTCAGATAATTTTTATACTGATTACATATTAAATGATAATATTTTGGATATATTGGGTTAAATAAAATGTATTATCAAAATTAATGTCACCTATTTCTTTTTTATGTGACAAACAGACAATTTTAAATTACATACCCATAGGTGGTTTCCATTTGTGGTTCATATGATATTTCTTTTTTTTTTTTTTTGAGACGGAGACTTGCTGTGTCATCCAGGTTGGAGTGCAGAGGCGCGATCTCCACTCACTGCTGCAACCTCCGCCTCCTGGGTTCAAGCAATTCTCCTGCATCATCCTCCCAAGTTAGCTGGGACTACAGGCGTGCACCACCACACCCGGCTAATTTTTTGTATTTTTAGTAGAGACAGAGTTTCACCATGTTGACCAAGCTGTTCTTGAACTCCCAACCTCAAGTGATCTGCCTGCCTTGGCCTCCCAAAGTGCTGGAATTACAGGCGTAAGCCACTGTGCCCGGCCTCATGTGATATTTCTGTTGGACAGCGCTGTGTCTAGACAAATGTTTCTCAGACCTCAGAAATTCCTGTAGCTCTTCAAGATTTTTGCAATATCTGCTTTACTGATGGTAATATTATGGAATTATGAAATTATTATTTTTCACTTTATATTGACTGACATTTTAAAGTTATTTTAAAAGGAAGCTATAGATCATGGACTTAATATATTAGCTCAAGTTGTTAATACACATTAAATATATAACTCTTGAAGTTTTAAAAAAGTCTGTCTCTCAATATATCTCTGAAACCATGACATGCTGCGGTAGTAACAAGCCAACTATACATTGGGAAACCTTGCCCTGGACAGGGGAAGAGGGATTTAGAGGGAATTTCTAAATTGGGTGGTGGAAGCTGTTGGCCCACTCGTAAGCAGTGCTATTCCTGGCCACCCACAGCTATGACCTTGGGAGCAGCTGTGAGACAGCAGAATCTGAGCTTCAAAGGAGGAATGGAATTGCATGCCTTAGGGAGACCCTAAGACAACTCTAAGAAACATTTAGACCACGAGCATCTCGGTGGCCATCAGATGGACTGAATAATAAAGATCTTTGTCTGTTTTCCATACGTCCCAAAAGCAGCCTCCCAACTCCTCATTCTGGTGTTGTCCTCAAAGGAAAGATCGCCCTACCCCGACACATAGGCTTTGAAGTCAGGTTAAATTTGATTTAGAAAACTAATATGAGTCTTACCCCAAGATTGTGGAATAAAATTCAGACCCCTTAAACATATCTGCAACATGGGTGCCATGATCCCCATATATATATAAAATGAAGCTCAGATGGCTTAAGTGACTTCCCAGCGTCACTACAGTTAACAAGCGACAGCCTGCTGGCTCCAAATCTGGAAGCCTTGTTATACCCATTTGCTCCTGCTTTTTTACAACAGGCATCACGGATACAACAGAGACATGACTCTGCCCTCCACACACTTGAAATCTAATTGGGACCCCAAATATTTTTCCCTATTATATATTAGGAAAACACCAGAAAATGTTTTCACTGGCAAACATAAATCCAGTTCCCACAAATGGAATCTAAGGCCATGTTCAGCATCCTTCTGTTCCTACAAACTCCTTGTTGTTATTTATTTTAATTTAACATTTAATAGAGACAGGGTCTCATCATGTGTCCCAGGCTGGTCTCAAACTCCTGGCCTCAAGGGATCCTCCCAACCCAGCCTCCCAAAGGGCTGGGACTACAGGCAAAAGTGACCATGCCCAGCCATTTATTTTATTTTAATGCTTTCCTCTGACCACAAGGAAATGATCATTTGGCAGCTGTGTTAACAAGAGCCCAGGCCAAAGTCTGACAGACCTGGCTTCCAAATCCTAGCTCTGCCCTTTACTGTGTGACTTTGAAGAAATCCTTAATCTCTCTAGGCTGCAATTTCCTCACTTGCAAGAAGGAAAAAGTTGTTTTAAAAAATTAGAAATAATGTATGCAGGCCAGGCACTGTGGCTACACCTGTAATCCCAGCACTTTGGGCGGCCGAGGCGGGCAGATCACTCGAGGTCAGGAGTTTGAGACCAGCCTGGCCATCGTGGCAAAACCCCGTATCTACTAAAAATACAAAAATTGGCCAGGTGTGGTGGTGCACCCTTGTAGTCCCAGTTACTCAGGAGGCTGAGGCACGAGAATTACTTGAACCCAGGAATCGGAGGCTGTAGTGAGCCAAGATGCACTCTAGCCTGGGTGACAGCAAGACTCTGTCTCAAAAAAAAAAAGAAAAAGAAATAAAAGAAATAATGTATGCATGTATGCAAAAGGCCTTGGTAAATATACGTAAGTGATAATATTATGATGATCATAGCAAATAATCATCCCTTATTCTTTTTTCTCAAAATCTTCCATCAGCTTTAATACAAAACAGGAGCAAGCCTTTCATCTAAGGAAGAATAAAAAAGGCTAAATGGCATTTGTGTGGCTGCACCTGTCTGTTCACTTACTTAGTGTCACCGTTTTCCTAGAATCAATAAGACTATTTGCCCCTAGACATAGTTTCCCAGCAACACACATCTTGAACCAATTCAGGTGAATTTCCTCTGTCATTTATAGTCACCTGGCTTCTGCATCAAGTGGCTCTTTGCAGACCTCCATAAATATTAGTATTATGCCTGCTTAAGGGAAATGAGAAAATGTTAGGTTTATACACTGCCTTTCTCTTGGGATTTTATAATACTAAGCAAAGAGCCATCAGCTGAGCCTGCCACATTCTCTTTGAAGGCTGTTGGATAGGTTTTTTTGTGCCTTGAAAACAGAGCAGAAGAAGAGATTTATCTCCAGGGTTTTCTGATCCTATGGGAAAGGAGTAGTCCTTACTCAACAATCATTGTTGATAATCAAGAGAGAGACCTGGGAAATAATCCGATTTTCCCACACAAGGGTCTAACCTGACATTTTCTTTCTTCCCACTGAGAGCAGGCTGGCAAGCACCTTTAAGGCAAAACAACAGTCAAGTTATTGCCAAACCTTTTAGCAAATAGTGTATGAATTTTTCGTTTTAAGTGTAAATATTATTTATTTTAAATTCCCTTTTTCCTTCCAAGACTGATTTTTAAAAAAATTTATGTTGTTTGAATCTCCACAGGCGGGACATTCACTTTGATATTCAATTAAGTGGGTTTTTGTGATTGCTAAGCAAGCTTATCATATGTTTAACAATAATATACTGTTTTTAATTAGAAAAATAAAGACAATTATTTTAAACTGGATTAAAATGTTATAATCATTTTGCTGTATTTTTAAAAATCAGTTTTCCTATGTACAGTTATATTTTATTTTACTTTTTTTTTTTTTTTTTTTTTAGAGACGGAGTCTCGCTCTGTCGCCCAGGCTAGAGTGCGGTGGCAAAATCTCGGCTCACTGCAAGCTCCGCCTCCCAGGTTCACACCATTCTCCTGCCTCAGCCTCCTGAGTAGCTGGGACAACAGGCGCCCGCCATCACGCCTGGCTAATTTTTGTATTTTTAGTAGAGGCGGGGTTTCACTGTGTTAGCCAGGATGGTCTCGATCTCCTGACCTCGTGATCTGCCCACCTCGGCCTCCCAAAGTGCTGGGATTACAGGTGTGAGTCACCGCGCCCGGGCTTTTTTTCTTTTTGAGACAGGGTCTCTTTTAGTCACCCAGGCTGGAGTGCAGTGGCACAATGATGGCTCACTGAAGCCTTGACCTCCCAGGCTCAAGCAATCCTCCTGCCTCAGCCTCCTGGGTAGCTGGGACCACAGGCGCATGCCACCACCCCCAGCTAATTTTTTTTAACTATTTTTAGAAACGGGGTCTCACTATATTGCCCAGGCTTGTCTCAAACTCCTGGGCTCAAGGGATCTGCCCACCTCAGCTTCCCAAAGCGGTGGGATTACAGGCACAAGCCGCCATGCCTGGCCTTATTTTACATCTTTACATTTCACTGGTAACCTCCTTTTTTCTTTTATTGTTATTATTAGCACTATATGAATTTTTCCATGTTACAACAAAATTTTCATAGTTTACAAAAAGAGCTTCTTATTAAAATCTCTTATTAACAACAGAAGTCTTCATCATTGGCTATCACTCAAGGACAATAAGATGACCTTTGTCAGGGTCTTAAATCTGTACCCGTTATAGATAAACAAATTATTCTGTTTTTAAGATATTTTTTAAGATACTATTCTGTACTTAGATAAAAATCTGAAGCATGTGACCTTAGGTAAATTATTTAACCTCTCTTAACTCAGCCTCTTTATCTGTAAAGTGGGGATAATAATGAAACCCAGTTCAAACAGAACTAAGCTCAGGACCTCTCACATGCTGAGCAATCAATAAAGGAACATAGGAAATGTATGTTTTTTTGTTGTTTTTGTTTTTTTCAGACAAAGTTTCACTCTTGTTGCCCAGGCTGGAGTACAGATGCACGATCTTGGCTCACTGCAACCTCCACCGCCCGGGGTTCAAGCGATTCTCCTGCCTCAGCCTCCCGAGTAGCTGGGATTACAGGCATGCACCACCACACCTGGCTAATTTTGTGTTTTTAGTAGAGACAGGGTTTCTCCATGTTGGTCAGGCTGGTTTCGAACTCCCAACCTCAGGTGATCCGCCTGCCTCGGCCTCCCAAAGTGCTAGGATTACAGGTGTGAGCCACTGAGCCCGGCCAGGAAATGTATGTTTTAAACAAGAATCATTTCCTGTCAAAACAAATGAAAAAGAAAGCGTTGGACTTTTACTGCCAGTTATCAAATTAGAGGCCATGTGTAGGGGTAGCCTAAAGAAATATAAGTTGACTGGGTGCAGTGGCCCATGCCTATAATCCCAGCACTTTGGGTGGATCACTTGAGCTCTGGAGTTCAAGATCAGCCTGGGCAACATGGTGAAACCCTTTCTCTATATTAAAAAAAGAAAAGAAAAGAAAAGAAATATAAGCCATGTACAATCCATGGAAAATGTTATCTCTTGATTCAGCAGTGCCAAGCTTGCCTTTGTCAGGAACTGCCAGCCTCCCTCTCTGGCAGAGCCACGGTCAGACAACACAGCGGCTCTCTTCCCCACCTCAGTCAGCTCTGCCTCCAGGCAAGCTTGGCTGGCCTGCACCTCTCAATCGCCCAGCACATCTTGAAAACTCTATCAGACAACACACAGCTGGTTTTCTACAAAGAGCAGGACATGTTATTTTCCTTTAGCCCTCAAATGTCTAAATATTATTCCAAACAAAATTTTGTAATGAATCCCACATTTCTAATTCACTGTAAGCTGCTTTTCAAACATGCTGAAATGCCTAGTGCAAAAGGGAAGAAATACTACTAGATTTTCCAGGGCTTAAAAAAAAATTCTATTTTACAATTTCAGATTTAAAGAAAATTTGCAAAAATAGTCAAAGAATTCCCATACGCCCTTCAACCAGACCCCCTAGATATTAATTCCTGCTTCATCATTTGGCTCTCTCATTGCCTTGAGCCAACCAATACTGTGTACAAGTTCAACATGTTTTCTTTACAGCCACTTCTTCCTGTGAAATGGGGTGCTCTCTACTGTCCTTGTTTCCTATAAATTACAACCCCACATAGGCTTTAAAATATATATGTATATAAATGTTTGTAGACGCACTCATTTTTTTTTTGAGACAGGGTCTTGCCCTGTCACCCAGATTGAAGTGCAGTGGCACAATCTCAGCTCACTGCAGCCTAGACCACCCAGGCTCAAGTGATTCTCTCTCCTCAGCCTCCTGAGCAGCTGGGACTACAGGTGCATGCCACCAGATCCGGCTAATTTTTAAATTATTTGTAGAGATGAGGTCTCACTATGTTGCCCACTCTGGTTAATTATAAATGTGTCACGTACTGCTCAAGTATCAACCAAAGTGATACACACATATGGTTTAAAAAATCAAATAGAAAAACATGAGCTAGGGTGGGTGCAGTGGCTCACACCTGTAATCCCAGCACTCTGGGAGGCCAAGGCAGGCGAGTTGCCTGAGGTCAGTAGTTCAAGACCAGCCTGGGTAACATGGCAAAACCCCATCTCTGCAAAAAAAAAAAAAAAAAAAAAAAAAGGCATGGTGGCACACGCCTGTGGTCCCAGCTACTAGGGAGGCGGAGGTAGAAGGATCGCTTGAGCCCAGGAGGTTCAGGCTGCAGTGAGCTGTGATCACACCACTGCACTCCATCCTGGGCAACAGAGCAAGGCCCTGTCGGAGAAAAAAAAAAAAAGCTTATAAAACGGAAAGCCATAATTCCACCCTCAGCTCTGCTCCTGAGAGGCAATATTGTTTAACCAATGCTTTCTGCTTTGATTCTTCCAGTGGTGACCACCACCACGTCTTTTTTTTTTTTTTTTTTTAAAGACAGAATCTTGCTCTGTCACCCAGGCTGCAGTGCAATGGCATGATCTCGGCTCACTGCAACCTCTGCCTCCTGGGTTCAAGCGATTCTTCCTGCCTCAGCCTCCCCAGTAACTGGAATTACAGGTGCGCACCACCACGCCTAGATAATTCTTGTATTTTTAGTAGAGACGGGGTTTCACCATGTTGGCCAGGCTGGTCTCGAACTCCTGACCTCATGATCCGCCCGCCTCGGCCTCCCAAAGTGTTGGGATTATAGGCGTGAGCCACTGCACCTGGCACATCTTTAAATAATGTGTTTCAGCTGCTATTTTATTTTATTTTTCGAGGCAGAGTCTCCCTCTGTCACCCAGGCTGGAGCACAGTGGAGCAGTCTCGGTTCACTGCAATCTCTACCTTCCAGGTAGAAGCGATTCTCGCACCTCAGCCTCCCAAGTAGCTGGGACCACAGGCACGTGCCACCACACCCAGCTAATTTTTTGTATTTTTTGGTAGAGACGGGTTTCACCATGATGGCCAGGTTAGTCTCAACTCCTGAACTCAGGTGATCCACCTGCCTCAGCCTCCCAAAGTGCTGGGATTACAGGCATGAGCCACCGTGCCCTCAACTGCTATTTCTTACTAATCAGCTTTGGACATTTACTTTTAACCTACTGCTATGAAAGACAAGAATTTAGCTCATCTACCCCTCTCCCCCATAGTGACATCACTATTCTTAGTTCTTCTACTGGTCACCTCTGTATCTTTAATCAACATGCTTAAGTCTCATATTTTGTCCCAGCCACCCTAGAAAGCCAACTGACTTCCCACTTTGTAAGCAGAGAACATTAGCACACTAATTCCTTACCCTTGTCCCTTCTAAAGACTTCCCCTCATAGGCTGGGCGTGATGGCTCACGCCTGTAATCCCAGCACTTTAGGAGGCCGAGGCAGACAGATCACGAGGTTTAGAGATCGAGCCCATCCTGGCTAACAGGTGAAACCCCGTCTCTACTAAAAATAGAAAAATTAGCTGGGTGTGATGGTGCACGCCTATAGTCCCAACTATTTGGAAGGCTGAGGCAGGAGAATTTCTTGAACCCAGGAGGTGGAGGTTGCAGTGAGCCGAGATTGCGCCATTGCACTCCAGCCTGGCTACAGAGTGAGACTCTGTCAAAACAACAACAACAACAAAAAACTAGACTGCTCCTCTTTCTTCACATTGTCAAAAATTTTTAGTATTTTCTTTCTGTTCTGTAACCACCATTGAAATGTCCATAATCTGTTCACTCTGCAAGGTGGAAAACTAATAGGGAGAATTTACCTTTCTGTGACTATGTGCCCTGAGGACACTGCAGAGCAAGTGGCATGCTAGGATCCCTTCTCCCCTTGGCCAGGATCATGTTCACGTGTCACTCAGTGGAGAATGTTCCTGGAGTGAAATTGAAATGGGGATTCTACCTCCACTAGACCCTTGATCATCCCTCATGTTTTCTGAGTTCTTAGTACTACCTGGTCATTCATTATCCTGGCACCTGTGTTTCATCTTGGCTTGCACCCTCCTTATTGGGCTTTGTAAGTGTGCAGGACCCTGAAATGCCAGAATATGCTGCTCTGGTTCTCCTTAGAAAATGTGCTCGTGTTCTTTAGCACAGAAGCTTTGCATTTTAGTTAGTTGCCAACAATGAAACAAAATTGAGATATTTCACACAAATTCTAGATTTCTGTCTTTTTAAAAATTATGATTGGTGGCCAGGTGCAGTGGCTGACGCCTGTAATCCCAGCACTTTGGGAGGCCGAGGTGGGCGGATCACCTGAGGTTGGGAGTTCGAGACCAGCCTGACCAACATGGTGAAATCCCGTCACTACTAAAAATACAAATTTAGCTGGGTGTGGTGGCGCATGCCTGTAATCCCAGCTACTTGGGAGGCTGAGGCAGGAGAATCGCTTGAACCTGGGAGGCAGAGATTGTAGTGAGCTAAGATTGTGCCACTGCACTGTAGCCTGGGCAACACAGCGAGACTCTGTCTCAAAAAAAAAAAAAAATATGATTGGGTAACTGTGGACTCGAATTCCGTGGCGATACGCTGAGGTACAATAGTACCAGCTCTCTTCCTTCTGCCTATGTGGACTCTGTTGGTGCTGGGTCTTCAACCCCTGAAATGATTCTTGGCTCCAGCCCCAAGTCTCACTCCTGCCCTCAGTCTACAGCCCTTCTCAGGGGCCGCAGGGCACACCCTGCTTTTCCTGGGCCATAGCCCCACCCTATGTATTCTTCCTTGCTACTTCTTCAACATGTGGTTCACAGACCAGAACAGCCTCAGTGGCATCCCCTGAGAACTTGTTAGAAATGCAGAATTTTGTCCAGGCGCGGTGGCTCACGCCTATAATCCCAGCACTTTGGGAGGCCAAGGTGGGAGGATCACCTGAGGTTACTACTCTGGCCAACATGGTGAAATCCTGTGCCTACTAAAAGAAATACAAAATTAGCTGGACATGGTGGCAGGCACCTGTAATCCCAGCTACTTGGGAGGCTGAGGCAGGAGAATCGATTGAACCCAGGACGTGGAGGTTGCAGTGAGCTGAGACCGCGCCATTGCACTCCAGCCTGGGCAACAAGAGTGAAACTCTGTCTCAAAAAGAAAAAAAAAAAAAAAGAAATACAGAATTTCATGCCCTTTCCTAGAACTGGTATTGAATTGTAATCTGCATTGTAACAAAATCCCAGGTGACTCATGTGCCCATTAACATTTTTCTCTTCTTCTTGTTTTTTGAGAAAGGGTTTGGCTTTGTTGCCCAGGCTGGAGTGCAGTGTGGCCATCTCTGCTCCCTACAACCTCTGCCTCCAGGGCTCAAACGATCCTCCCACCTCAGCCTCCTGAGTAGCTGGAACTACAGACACATGCCACCACACCCAGCTAATTTTTTAACTTTGTAGAGGCAAGGTCTTGTGATCCATCTTTCCTTCTTCCTTCCCTCCCTCCCTCCCTTCCTTCCTTCCTTCCTCTCTTCCTTCTTTCCTTCCTTTTCTTTTTCTTTTTTTCTTCTTTCTTTCTCTCCTTCCTTCCTTTCTTTTTCTTTCCTTTTTTTTTCTTTCTGTTTTCCTAAATTTGTTCTCATGCATGGATATCCCCATCCCTTTCACTTCATCACTGATCATTGATTTTGTGGATTTATTTCCTTCTTATTTTCATTTCATTTATATTATTTAATGGCATCTCTAGAAAGGCAAAGCAAAAATTTTGTGTGATCAGGATTCAGCAGTGATTTGCCAGTTTTCAGAGACAGGTCTTAAAACACTGGAGAAACAGACGATTTTACCAAGCTCTGTTTTGGTTTTGTTTTGTTTGCTTCCTTGTTTGTATTTTGCAGTTCTCCTCTCAATAAGAACACAGATGTGAGAGGGGAGGACAGATGCTTATGATCTTAATGGAACAATTCCTCATGTGGATGCAGGAGTCTCCTAATGCTCTTTAGTTGATTATGTTACACCTAGAAAACTCAGAAATGCTGCTGCCTATAAGACCAGACCAGTGGCCACCATTTTGCTAGAAATACCAGCATTAAAAAAGCAAACTGGAAATTACAATAAAGACAAAGGGAATGGAAGAGCTCAGCAGAGAGGTGCAAAACCATGTTTCTTTGTTGTTCTAGCTATATTTTTATTTTTAGCACCACAACTGCTACTGTACATTTGTCCCAGCCAGTCATCCAAGTATTTGTAGAAATTAACTGCAATGTTATGAATGTTTCACAGGTGGATGAGCCAAAGCTGATGAGAAAACAAACGGGTTCTGATCTTGTCACCATTTGGGGGCTCTGAGTTTTATCTGGCTGAAAATAAATATGTTTTCAATCAGAAACTACTGTGGAGACATAAGATATATATATATATCTTATTTGTTTTAAGACCTGTCTCTGAAAACTGGCAAATCACTTGTTGAATCCTGATCACACAAAATTTTTCTTTTGCCTTTCTAGAGATGCCATTAAATAATATAAATAGTATATACATATTATATAATATATAGTATATAATAAATATAGTATATATACATATAATATATATTAATATATATTATAATAGGTATAAATATATTTATGTAAAAATATATTTATATATTAATATATATAATATATATTTTTCTTCTAGAAACGTAATGCCCAACTAAAATTGGCTTAAACCAGTGGTTCTTAAAATTGACTGCATGTCATAATCACCCAGGAGGCCTGGCTCCCACCTGGTGAGACCTGATTTCATTGGCATGGGTATTGTCCTGGGCATTAAGAGTGATTCTCTTGTGCAGCCAAGGCTGAGAATCACTGGCTTAAACACTACATTTATTGTTTCACTTCACCAGAAGTCTGGAGGCAGTATTATGGGCATGGACTCAAGCACTTACCAACTTTCTCCTTAGTCATTCTCAGCCTGTTGTCAATGTCTCCACATTGGCACAGATGACTTCTAGAGCTCTGAACATAAAGGGTTCAAATACAGCAGGGAAAGTGAGGTCAAAAGCACTTCCTCTGCTGGGTGTAGTGGCTCACACCTTTAATCCCAGAACTTTGGGAGGCTGAGGCAGGAGAATTACTTGAAGCCAGGAGTTTGAGGCTGCAGTGAGCTAGGACCATGCCACCACACTCCAGCAGCCTGGGCAACAGAGTGAGACCCTGACAAAAAAAAAGAAAGAAAGAGAGACAGAGAGAGAAAGGGATGGAGGGAGGGAGGGAAGGAAAAAATGGTACTTATTTTTCATACTTGTCTTCCTAGGTCAGCAAGCAAGAAAAACCTTCTTAGAAGCCCCAATTTCTCCTTATTCCATTGGCTAGAACATTGTCATCCATAGACCAATCACTGGCAAAAAGGAATGGGATTGCCATAATTGGCTTATGTCAATTACTTTGTTGCTGTTAGGAAACAAAAGGAGGGTTCCATTAAACTAAGAACAGAGGAATAGCTATTAGGTGGACAACCAAAAATGTATCTCTGTTACCTTGTTATCTGAAACAAATCAGCAAAAACTCATCATTAACCATCAGTCTCCACTGAAACCACTCTTTCTCTTTATTTCTCAGACCTGCCAACACTTAGGGAAAATAGAAAGAACCCACGTTGAAATATTGGGAGCAGGTTCCCCCAATACTAGTATTTTATGGCTCTTTCTTGGAGTTCTTCCAAAGAACAAGAGAAATTTACTTAAACAAATAGAAAAAAAAATTCTATCTTGAGATTGCCTTATGGATTCATTGATGCTTTTATAAATCCAAGATACATTATGGGATCTTACTGATCTTGTTTTCACATTTTGCTATTTCATGATTTAAGGAATTCTTTTATCATACTTTTCAATCTTTTCCATATATATATATATATATATATATGTATTTTTTTTTTGAGACAGAGTCTTGCTCTGTCGCCCAGGCTGGAGTGCAATGGGGTGATCTTGGCTCACTGCAACCTCCGCCTCCCAGGTTCAAGCATGTAATCTTTTAAAATGTTTGTGCACCAGCATTTACTTGAAACAAAGGTGTACTGTTCAAATTCTTGCTAACATTTCTATTAAATTTTTTTACTATCCTTTTATTCTTCTGAAAATTAAGCATAAAATGACTACAAAACAGTGATGACTATTTTTTTTGATATACTGACAAAGATTACTCAGATTACCCAGTTGTGGGCTCAGAATCCTTTATCAGTGTCCACAGGAGAAATATATTGTTGACCTTGTTTAGGATAGGCACTGTGCCAGGCTCTGAAGGTACAAAAAAAACACATCTGTTCCTGAAGAGCTTTTGCCATGCTGGGGAGCCAGGAATACAAATTCTCTCCCAATAGCTACAAATGCCACATTAGGGTTTTTCTTTTTCATTTCATTTCACTTCATTTCTTATATTTATTTTATTTTATGTTATTTTATTTTATTTTAGAGAGTGTCTCTGTCCAAGGTAGGTGGATCCCTTGAGGTCAGGAGTTCAAGACCAGCCTGGCCAACATGATGAAACCTCATCTCTACTAAAAATACAAAAATTAGCCAGGTGTGGTGTCACACGCTTGTAATCCCAGCTACTCAGGAGGCTGAGGTAGGAGAATCGCTTGAACCTGGGAGGTGGAGTTTGCAGGGAGCGGAGATCATACCACTGCACTCCAGCCCAGGCAACAGGGCGAGACTCTATGTCAAGAGAAAAAGAAAAAAAAAAATTTAAATAGAGACACTCTGTTGTCCAGGCTGGAATGTGGTAGCACGATTAGGGCTCACTGCAGCCTCAACTTCCCGAACTCAAGCAATCCTCTCACCTCAGCCTCCCAAGAAGCTGGGACTACAGATATGTGCCACCACACCTGGTTAATTTTTCAATTTTTGGTAGAGATGGGGTCTCATATGTTGTCCAGGTTGGTCTCAAACTCCTGGGCTCACATCACCCTCCCAAAGTGCTGGGATTACAGGTGTGAGCCACTATGTCTGGCCTTCATCTTTAACTTTGATAACTAGTAATCTGTTCTTTATCTCTACAATTATTTCATGAATGTTATATGAATTACATTCTGTAGTTTATATTCCTTTGAGATTGGCTTTTTTTACTCAGCATAATGTCTTTGAGGTTAATCCAAGTTGTGGAGTGTATCAATAGTTTATTCCTTTTCATTGCTGAGTAGTATACCATGATATGAATGTACCATAGTTTGTTTAACCATTAACACATTGAGGGACATTTGGGTAGTTTTCAGTTTGGTACGATTACAAATAAAGCTGATATGAACAGTCATGTACAAGTCCCTGTGTAAAAATAAGTTTTCATTTCTCTGGGATAAATGCCCAAGAGGGCAATTGCTGGGTTGTATGTTAAATGCATTCTAGTTTTGAAAGAAACTGACAGACTATTTCCTAGAGAGGCTGTACAGTTTTACATTCCTACCAGCCATATATAAGCGATCCAGTTTCTCTGCATCCTCACTCATATCAACAGCATTTGGTATCACGATTTTTCATTTTGGCTTTTCTGAAAGGCCTGTAGTAATATCTCACTGTAGATTTAATTTGCATTTCTGTAATGGCTAGTGATCATTGAACAACTTTTCATGTGTTTATCTGCCAGCTGTATAACCTTTTACTGAATGTCTGTGCATGTCTTTTCCTTAGTTTCTAATTGGATTATGTTTCGGTTTTGGTTTTTAATGTTGAGTTTAAGAGTTCTTCATATATTTTAGATACACCCAGCTACTATTTTTAATCAGCTGCTATAACATTTCATATGTGGGGGAAATGATGTCATATAGAGTCTCTATCTCACCAAACCACATTAATACTCCTCCCTCTTTGGAAACACCATCTATATCAATTCCAATCCAGTCTTCAGAGAGGAACACTCTTTTTGAGGGGCCTTTTCCAATCTTGGGCAAAATGTTTCATTTGCCATTAATCTGCTCCAAGAATTAGAATGCCAACTCTTCATCCTTCTTTCTCTAGGTTTTTTGTTAGCAGAGCCACAAAAGCAGATGCGACAATATTGAGGTGATAATTTTTCAGTTTGTTTTTAATTTTTTTTCCCGCTTTTCCAACTTTCACTAGATTGGTTTTCTCTGCTCAGTGATGCTCTCTCTCCTTCCCCACTTTAGCTTTCCTCTGCTGTGGCTGTGGCATCATCTCTACATGACCATGCAGTTTAGTTCTGCAGATGAACTAATTTGGCTTCTGTGTCCAAATTCCAGACAAATGGGAGAGATATTAGATCCCCCAATATTGGGGTCAATTGCACTTCTACTAGCACAGCTGTGGCCAGACGAAGTGATGGCAAGAGATATGTGGGCTATCCTTCTGGAGATGTGTACTGTGCAGATTGTCTAAGAAGGAGGTCTGAGCAGGAAATTATTGTCCCTTTTATTACAAGGATCATAAATAATAAGTCTGAGAGGTTAAGTGGTCCCCCAAGGCCTCATATCCCCAGTGGTAGAGCCAAATATAAACCCTAAGCCTATCAAACTCCAAAGCTTATACTGGATTGACTGTGCCAATCACCTCACCAGCATGGTTTTTTTGCTCTCAAAAACCTGGGTCTCTTGGTGAGATAAACAAGTATCCACAATTACAAAAGAGACACGTAAATTCTGACAGAAACATGCAAGGAGAAAGCAGAAGATAGAGATCTACTAAATTAATTTACAGGGCTGGAAAATTTTTTAAAAGGAAAAATATAAGATAGAGATCTACTAAATTAATTTATAGGGCTGGAAATTTTTTAAAAAGGAAAAATAATAAATAAATACAATTTACGGCCAGACATGGTGGCTCACACCTGTAATTCCAACACTTTGGGAGGCCGAGGTGGGAGGACTGATTGAGCCCAGGAGTTCGAGACCAGCCTGGACAAGATGGCGAGACTCTGTCTCTACAAAAAAATTAAAAATCAAGAGATTAAAAAAATCAGCTGTGGCTGGCTGCAGTGGCTCACGCCTGTAATCCCAGCACTTTGGGAGGCTGAGGTGGGTGGATCACGAGGTCAGGAGATCGAGACCATCCTGGCTAACACAGTGAAACCCTGTCTCTACTAAAAAATACAAAAAAAAAAAAAAAAAAAAATTAGCCGGGCATGGTGGCGGGCACCTGTAGTCCCAGCTACTCAGGAGGCTGAGGCAGGAGAATGGCAAGAACCCAGGAGGCAGAGCTTGCAGTGAGCTGAGATTGTGCCACTGCACTCCGGACTGGGCGACAGAGAGAGACTCCATCTCAAAAAAGAAAAAAAAAAAAAAAACCAGCTGAGCACGGTGGCAAATTCCTACAGTCCCAGCTCCTTGGGAAGCTGAGGTGAGAGTGTCCCTTGAGCCTAAGAATTCGAGGCTACAGTGAGCTATGATTGCACCACTGCACTCCAGCCTGGGTGACAGAGTGACACCCCATATCTAAAATAAACAAACATATAGATAAATAAAATACAACTTACAAGTAAAGAAACAATAGCATTATTCCCTTTTTAACAAGTCTTGGAGTATTTTAAATTTATGCTTATATTACTAGCCTCGTTATCAAAATACTTGAGTGTGTTTACAAGCCCTTGGGTGATATGGTCTAGTGACATACAAAATTAATTCCATAAAGTGACAGAAATAAACCAGATGGCACAAATCTCTTTGAACAAGATATATGCTTTTGTGAAAGAACACTTTAATTTTGTGCTTTAATCAGCATTAACTGACTTTCTACTGTTAAACCAATCTTGTGTTTTTAGGATTAAGCCAATGGGGTAGCTGAATAGTATTTTTTAATACATTGTTGGATCTGGCCTACTAAAACTTTCACTTAAGATTTTTCATCTTATGTTCATGAATGAGATTGGTTTATAATTTTTCTTTCTTGAACTAACCTTGTCAAATTTTATATCAAGATTATGACAGTCATTATACTCCATAATTATATAAGACTGTAAATTTTACTTCATTGTGATATAATTTTAAATCCATCTAGCCTGATGGTTTTCTTTTTGAAAAGAATTCTAAATATAGACTAATTTTTAAAATTGGTTATAGACTATTCAGATTATCTATTTTTTCTTGAGTTAGTTTTACAATAACAACTTTACTGAGCCATATTCATATACCATACTTTCACCCATTTAAAGTATACAATTCATTTTTTTTCTGTTTTGTTTTGTTTTTTTGTTTGTTTTTTTGAGATGGAGTCTCGCTCTGTCGCCAGGCTGGAGTGCAATGGCGTGATCTCAGCTCACTGCAAGCTCCACCTCCTGGGTTCACACCATTCTCCTGCTTCAGCCTCCTGAGTAGCTGGGACTACAGGTGCGCACCACTACGCCCAGCTAATTTTTGTATTTCTAGTAGAGATGGGGTTTCACCACGTTGGCCAGGATGGTCTCTATCTGTTGACCTCGTGATCCGCCCACCTCAGCCTCCCAAAGTGCTGGGATTACAGGCGTGAGCCACCATGCCTGGCCCATTGTTTTTTTGTTATTGTTCTTGTTTTTGAGACAGTTTCGCTCCTCAGTCAGGCTGGAGTGCAGTGGTGCGATCTCCGCTCACTGCAACCTCTGCCTCCCGGGTTCAAGTGATTCTCCTGCCTCAGCCTCCAGAGTAGCTGGGATTACAGGCATGCGCCACCACGACCAGCTAATTTTTGTATTATTAGTAGAGACGGGGTTTCACCATGTTGTCCAGGCTGGTCTCAAACTCCTGACCTCAGGTGATCCACCCATCTTGGCTTCCCAAAGTGCTGGGATTACAAGTGTGAGTCACCGCAGCTGGCCAATTCATTGATTTTTAGTAAATTCATATAATTATGCAACAACTACCACTATCTAAAACCAGATTCTAGGAAATTTTCATCACTCCAAAAAGAAACCCTGTATTCATTATCAGTCACTCCCACTTTCCCCCTAACTCCCAGTCCTAGGCAACCACCAATCTACTTTCTGTCTCTATAGATTTGCCCATTCTGGACATTTCATAAAAGTGGAATCAAAATATGTGGTCCTCTGTTTGAAGGTATCCTCACTAGCCATCCTGCCTCAAGACAGCCTGCCAGCCCACCCTGCTGATTTCACTCTACAACGTCAACTCTGACCTCGATTTCCTGGTTTCTACCCTGCTGGTCAGCCCTATAAAAACTTCCAGGCTGCCAGCCCCCATGAGCTTAAATTGATATTTCAAAAATCAGACTAGTATATTCTGGACTGAAGTGGGCAGGATCCTGGGCCTCAAGATGAACAAGCCCTGGTCTGCCCACGCCTGAGCAGGACAGGAAGGGCTTCGTGGATAAGGAGAATCTTGTTGTCTTTAAAGGGAATTATTTTGAGGCTCTTCCCCTGAACTGGCAGACTAACATCTATATAAGGCCGACTTGGGCTTGGAGTATGGCCTGGAGTGCTTCCATTCTGCTATAGGGACAATGACATATTCTCAAAATATTCCTTTTTTCTTTTGAGACAGAGTCTTGCTCTGTCGCCCAGGCTAGAGTGCAGTGGCACGATCTCCACTCACTGCAACCTCCGCCTCCCAGGTTCAAGCAATTCTCGTGCCTCATCCTCCTGAGTAGATGGAACCACAGGTGCGTGCCACCATGCCCATCTAACTTTTTGTATTTTAGCAAAGAAGGGGTTTCACCATGTTGCCCAGGGTGGTCTCAAACTTCTAAGCTTGGGCAATCTGCCCATCTCAGCCTCCCAAAGGGCTAGGATTACAGGCATGAGCCACCTTGCCCAGCTTCCTAACTCTTAAATAGCTTACCAGGTTGTTTTCATGTCCTGGTCTGGCACTCAGTATTTACTCAAGCTTTGAACATGAACACCCTCTGTTGGAAAATTACTAGCAGTCCTAACCCAAATGCTACGAAGGGAATTCCTGGTTTCTGACAAGTTTCAGTGCTCACCTAAGTTATTGAAAAATCACTTCTCTGGACCAGAAGTTTATATTCCACTAGGAACACCGCTCTATAAATTGCCCCAATTACTTGCTTACTAGTATTTTGTGTTTCTTTTTTCCTCCACCCCTGTTAATACAATATCCCTCTTAATAAGTTCATTTTTCTTTTTGGAAAAATAAGATAAAACATGTGGTTCTTTGTGAGGCTTCTTTCACTTATCATAGTGTTTTTATGGTTTATTTATGTTATAACATGTATCAGTACTTCACTTCTTTTTGTTATCAAATAACATTTATCCATTCATCAGTTGATGGACATTTGGGTTGTTTCTACTTTTCAGCTATCAGGGAAAATGGTGTATGAATATTCATGTATGTTTTCATGTGGATACACAGTTTCATTGATTTTGGGCTTATAGCTAGCTATGGAATTGCTGGTTAACCTTTTGAGGAACTGGTAATGGCACCATTTTACATTCCTACCAGCAACTTATAAGGGTTCCTATTTATCCAGATCCTCACTAACATTTGTTATTGTCCATCTTTCTGATTATGGCCTTATAGCCATCCTAGTGGTAGCAGGTGTGAAGTGTTATCTTTTTTTTTTCCTTAGAGACAGTCTCACCATGTTGCCCAGGCTAGAACACGACTATTCACAGGCGCAATCATAGTACACTGAGGCCTTGAACTCCGCACTTCCAGTAATCTTCCCACCTCAGTGGCCTGAGTAGCTGGGACTACAGGCATGTACTTGTGTGCCCATTTTCTTTGTGGTTTTTGCTTTGCATTTTCCTGATGACTAAACATATTGCGCATCTTTTCATGTGCTTATTGGCCACTGGAATGCAATGGTGCAATCATAGCTTACTGCTGCCTCGAATTCCTGGGCTTTAGGCATCCTCCTGCCTCAGTCTCCTGAGTAGCTGAGACTACAGGCATGCACCACCATGCCCAGATAATTTTTACAATTTTTTTGTAGAGATGAAGTCTCACCATCTTGCCTAGGCTGCTCTCGAATTTCTGGGCTCAAGCAATCTCTACCTCAGAGTTCTCAAAGTGCTGGGATTATAGGTGTGAGCCACTGTACTTGGCTATCACTTTCTTGATGGTGTTCCCTGAAACATGGAAATTTTAAATTTTGATGTCGACTTCATCTTTTCTCTTGTTGATTGTACCTCTGGTGTCATATTTAAAGTCACAAAGATTTACATCTGTTTTCTTCTAAGGATCTTATAGTTTTAGCTCTTACATTTAGGTCTTGATTCACTATATGGTATGAGGTAGGGCTCCAACTTCTTTGGGATGTGTCTAGATGTCCAGCACCATTTGTGGAAAACACTATCCTTTTTCCATTAAATTTTCCTGGCACTCTTGTTAAAAATCAATTAATTGTAAATGAGAGGGTCTATTTCTGGATTCTCCATTCTATTCCATTAATCTTTATGTCTATTCTTATGCCATATAAAGACAGTACCACACTGTATAGTAAGTTTTGAAAGTGGAAAGTGTGAATCCTCCAACTTACTCTTCTTTTTCAAGAGTGCTTTGGCTATTCTGGGTCCCTTGAATTTCCATATCAATTTTAGAACCAGCTTGTCAATTTCTGCAAAGAAGCCAGCTGTGGTTTTGATAGGGATTGCATTGAATCTGTAGATAAGTTTAGGGAGTATTATCATGTTAACAGTATTGTCTTCTGGTCCATAACCGTGAGATGGCTTTCAATTTATTTAGTTCTTCCTTTATGTCTTTCAACAATGTTTTATAGTTTTCAAAGTGTAAGTTTTGCACTTATTTTGTTAAATTTATTCCTAAATGTTTTATTCTTTGTTACCATAAATGTCTCAAGTCAATTTTAATAAGCTCTGCTTTTGTAGGTGCCTGTTCATTTCATCAAAGTTTTCCAATTTGTTGTCATAAAATTGTAATACCTTGAATCAGTGTTCAACCAAAAAAATAGAACTGGTAGGAAATATATATAAGATTTCTTGCAATGAATTGGATCACATAATTATGGGGGCTGGCACGGCAAGTCTAAAACCCTAAATCCCATGCCAGACCTTCAGGATTGGCAGGCTAGAAGCCTTGGGCATGAGATGAAGTTGCTACCCACAGGTATAATTTCTTCTTTTTCCTCAGGGGAGCCTCAGTTTTGCTCTTACGGCCTTTGAACTGATTAAATCAGGCCCATACAGATGATCTAGGATAGTCTCTCTGCCTCAAATCCAACTGATCATGAATTTTAATATCCATAAAATACCTTCACAACATATAAGTCAGTATTTGATTGAATATTGGTGACTCTAGCTTAGCCAATTTGACACACAAAACTGACCACAAGCTTCTTCTTTATATCTGTATCATTTGTAGTTAATAAATCTCTTTTCATTCCTAAGATCATTTTTGTGCTTTTCTCTCATCTTGATCAATGTAATATGAATATTAACAAGTGTAACTGTGTCTTCCTTACTTTATATAATAGATATCAAAGACTTATGATTGATTACTAACTTAAAATCATAAGGCACCTTAAACTCTGTCTTAAGTATAAAATGTTTTCACATAATTGTGATTTTAGGCCAAAGACCGAGTTCCAGATGTGGCTAGAAGAAAATAGAAGTAATATTTTGTCTGACAATCCTGACTTTTCAGATGAAGCAGACATAATTTTTCTAATTCATTAATCTATCAAAAGACCAACTTTTGGCTTTTTTAAATTCCATTATGTTTATTTCCTATTCCATCAGTTTTTGTCCTTTATAATACAGTCCCAAAGTGGGTAGAAATTAGTGTCAATCCCAGAATACCACCTTCTACCCATTTTGGCACAGGCCATCCTTCAAATTCTAAGCTTGGGACCGGGAGCAGTGGCTCACACCTGTAATCCAAGCACTTTGGAAGGCCGAGGCAGGCAGATCATTTGAGGTCAGGAGTTTGAGACCAGCCTGGCCACCACGGCGAAACCTTGTCTCTCTACTAAAAACACAAAAATTAGCTGGGCATGGTGGCGCACATCTATAATCCAAGCTACTCAGGAGGCCGAGGCCAGAGAATCACTTGAACCCAAAAGGCAGAGGCTGCAGTGAACCAAGATCATGCCATTGCACTCCAGCCTGGGCAACAGAAAGACTGTCTCAAACAAAGACACACAGGAGTTTGAGACCAGCCTGGGCAACATGATGAAACCCATCTATGTAAAAAAATACAAAAACTAGCCAGGTGTGGTGGCATTTGCCTATACTCCCAGCTACTTGGGGCTGAAGCAGGAGGATCACCTCAGCCCAGGGAGGTCAAGGCTACAATGAGTTGTGACTGTGCCACTGCACTTCAGCCTGGGTGACAGAGAGAGACCCTGTCTTTAAAATAAATAAATAAATAAATAAATAAATAAAAGTATTTACCTCTAATAATTAAATACAATGCATGATTCTCGATTGGATCCTAAACTGGGGGTAAAAATGGCTAACGGCACTTTGAGGGAAATTTTATTATAAAATACAGGCTATGTAATAATATCATCTGTTAAATTTCTTTGGAGTAATTATGGCATTGTAATTATGCAGAAGAAAATCTTTATTCTTAGGGTACATGCTGGGAACTGAGGGATGAAGTATATGCATATTCCAAATGGTTCAGGAAAAATCCTGTCTATAAAGCATACATGATAAAATGTCAACAATAAGACAAACTAGAGGAAGGATATACAGGTGCTTACTGTCAAATTTCAAATTTTCTGTAGGTTTGAGAGATTCAAGATGAAAACTTGGGGGAAAATTATATATTCTGATAATAAAACAGATGGGAAACAAAGAGGGCCCATAAGACAGTCACTGATTAAGATGCTTTCTACATGGATGGGCCTCATCCTTTTGTCCAAAGGGACTACCTGGCATCTGTTCCATGTTAGTGACAGTGACTCACCCCAGGTTGCTGCACAGATATGAGAGGCTTTAGATCATAGCACAGTCCCCAGAGCTGCACATAACCCCAGTGCCTATTCACTTGTTCTCCAAAATAAATCTGTAAAGTAACCTCCTGTGAGGAGTTTTTGCTTTTGGAGAATAAAATTAAGTATATGTCAATTTTCTATAGTATACAATAAGCTCAAGTAGGCAATATTATTGATATGATGATGATTAATAATTAATTTATTTCCATTTTCACTTTCATACTATTCAGTCCCAATTCTCTGGAAAAAAAAAAAAGAACACTGGAAAAAAACAGGTTTACTATTATATAGCAGAGAAATAAGGATAATGTTTCTTGGTTTCAAAGTTCTGATTTGTAAGTTAAACCAAGTCAATACAAAAACCTTCCTTCAGCCAAAAAAAAGTAGGGAAGTAAAAACCCTTTTGTAAATCCTTGTTATTAGGTTGCTATGAATCTGAAATACAATATACACAGATTATATCCTTAAGCATTAGGTTGGCACAAAAGAAATCGCGGTTTTTGCCACTGAAATGGCGAAACTGCATTTACTTTTATATCAACCTAGTATTATAAAATATATACAAAGCAAGTTGAGGAACCAAACACAAAATACATGTCTACAAACATGCTTTCCAATGTACTATAAATAAACCTTTACTTAAGATCTTGAAATCAAAATTAGTTTGTATAGTATTCAGAATCAAACCTAATGACAAAGCAAGATGAAATAACCAACAGCATCATCATTATCAGAATAGTAACTAACATTTATATAAAAGATTACTATGTGTCAGAAACTAAGGGCTTTCATTTCATTCAATTCTCATAACAACCTATAAAGTAGGTACTATCATTATATCCATTTTACAGATGAGTGAATGAAGGCTAGAATTTGGGTCACCGGCCCAACATGACCCAACTATTAGTAGTAGGTAGAGAAGCGGGTCTCCGAACCTAGGTAATCTGGCTTTGGAATCTGTGCTCATAACCACTGTGCTATAATGTCTCTGATAGCAGCTACTAATTAAAAAATAAAAAATGTATGTTTTCCTAACTTTAATCATCACCAGATAAGGAATATTCTTGGTTCATTTATGTCTAAATTTTCAACATACTTTTTCCCTTTCAACCTATTAACTATCCTCAATTTTGAGTCAGCTGATTTTATGTGATTGTTTCCTTCCCTCCCACCCCCAGTACACTGCCTTTATGTGGCTGCATTTGTATTAGTCTCTGCTTAGAAAACCAAAAATGTATGACATGATTAAACCTTGTTTGTTCAATATAAAATAAGAGTTAAATACTTTCCATAACTTTGCTCTCTTCTCAGGCCTTCAAAGTCTTGCTCAGTAAAGTACTGTTGATGCTGATAATCAGAGTATCCCACCAAGAGCACATGATGCCTTGGACTGCAATACTGTCACAGCAGTGTCTTCAGTTCTTCTCTACTGTGTATAATGCAGAGCAAAATGGGGGTGGTGGTAGAAATTATGGTAGTAAATATATATTTTCTAGAAATATATCCATTTCGTGGAAAGATAATATTAAGACCATATCAAGCCAAATATACAAATGAGAAAGTTTCATTTACCTCAAAAAAATCCAGGCTATACAAACAGACAACTGAAAGCCACATAGGAAATTTCCGAAACACAAAAGAAAAAGTCTCACCTACAAGATTATTTACATGTTTAGGGCCAGTATTATTAAAAGACGTCATCCCCTAGGTCTAGTAGAAACATATAGAGAAGTCTATGCTAACACACTTGGAAAGAGGACTATTGTCCTTCCTTGCACATGACAAAAACCAAATGAACCAAACCCCTAGAAGGTATTAATGCACAAAGGTTTTAATACCTTGGCTTTAATGATTTTTCAAGGTTAAGAAACAAATTCAAATTGGTTGGAGCTTCAACTCAGTAATTACAATCACAATGCATCTCTGAAAGGCCCTGCATTTGGAGGCAGAGTAATCTGCAAAGATGATAGTTTTTACATATGTCCTGTTACCTACACCAATATAATTACTACATTATCTTATAAAGACAAACAGTTGCTTCAAACTCTTTAAAAAATATATATATAATGAGTTTCCCAAAGACTCGAGTCTATATTCAAAGATGAGTAAAAAAAAATCCATTACTTCCCTAGGGTCACTTTCTTCCTTTACTCCTGCTTAAATGCAAAAGCTGATAGTTTCTGATTTGTAGAAAAATCTAAAGGTTTCTGCTTTTTAGACAAATTCAGGTTCTCTTTTGCTTTTTCTTCCTGGTTTTCTGTTTCATCACTTTCATCAACCACACGTTTTCGCTTCTTTGCTTCAGTTCCTTCACTTGCCGTTTCTCCTTTGGCTTTGTTAGCCCACACCTTTGTAAAATGGCAGGAGTGAAAAGGAAAGATTTTTAGAAAATAACAAATAAGAAGTAAATGATTTATTTACTTTTCCAGGTAATATTTTTATATATAAAGCAGAATAATTAGCACTTGAATTAAGTGTTCTCATTGTTAACAAATCTTTTATTACTTAAATGCAGAGCACATTAAAGATTTACACTACTTTTATATCTCAATCTAAGCTTTGCTTATATTAATCATATTAGTTGCAAAATACTATAATTGCAGTACTATTTAAAAATGAAACTTTTGGCCAGGCACGGTGGCTCATGTCTGTAATCCCAGCACTTTGGGAGGCCGAGGTGGGTGGATCACGGGGTCAGGAGACTGAGACCATCCTGGCTAACACAGTGAAACCCCGTCTCTACTAAAAATACAAAAAAATTAGCCGGGCATGGTAGCGGGCGCCTGTAGTCCCAGCTACTTGGGAGGCTGAGGCAGGAGACTAGAGTGAACCCGGGAGGTGGAGCCTGCAGTGAGCTGAGATCACGCCACTGCACTCCAGCCTGGGCGAGAGCAAGACTCCGTCTCAAAAAATAAATAAATAAATAAATAAATAAATAATAAAAATGAAACTTTTTATTCTAAGATAATTGCAGTTTCACATGCAGTTGTATGAAATAATACAGAAAGATCCTGTGTAGCCTTCACCCAGTTTTCCCCAGTGGTAACATTTTGCAAAACTATAGCCCAACAATCACAACTATAGGGAACTGACATTGAAACAATCCCATTTTACTTCTACTCATTTGAGCGTATGTATGTATTTACTTTTATTGTGGGTTGGTTTGTTTACCACCACAGTCAAAATACAGAACCTCTTCCCCAAGCCCCAACTCCGACTCCAACCCCTGGCAACCACTACTCTATTCTCCATCTTGATCATGTTGTCATTTCAGGAATGTTATATAAATGAGTATATATTCTTTGGGGTTTGGTTTTTATTCACTCAGCAAGAGCCAGACAAGGTCCATTCATTTCATCTGTCTCTAAAATCTCTTTTAATCTATAATAGTTCCCCACTCCTACTTTATTTCCCTGGCCATTTCAAGGGCTCTTCAAGCTGTAGAATTTCTCACATTAACAAACTGGATTTAAGTAAATGTTTAGGGTTTACCTTAAAAATACTGATTACATTTTTAAGTATTCAAAAACACAATCACAGACTTTGCCAAGTCTCTTCCTCTTTTGCAGTGTAAAGTCTTATTTATTTAGACGCCATTTTATTGAACAACAAATGAGAAACATAAAATTGTAAATGAGGTTCTAAATGACGCTAAAGGTGTTTAAACCAGTTTCTGGCTTCCTCATTATGCAACACCTTTTTCATAAAACCCAATTTACCAAAGCAAGTATCTACGTTACTAGGTGCCTGTGCTGCGCCCTGCCATTCCTGGGGAAGTGAAACCTGAGGATTTAACTGGTACACCACACACATTCCTTCCACTTCTAACTGAGAGATTGTGCCTTCCTTCCTTCACATGGCAGAAGTTTATCAGAAGCAAGCCAGCCACCTGTCCTAATTTCCATGTGAAAGGCTGGAACAGAACACCAGTCTTTTTCCCAAAAGGAATAGTCTCATGTAGTATTTAATGTGTAAGTAGATACAATTTTTAAAAATTCTGCTTGCAAGAACCCTAAAGTAGTATTCAAAAAATGTGAATTCATTTTTACTTATTAATTTTTTTCCCCCTAGAGACCCGGTCTCACTCTGTCACCCATGCTGGAGTACAGTGACACAATCACGGCTCACTGCAGCCTTGACCTCCTGGGCTCAAGTAAGTGATCTTCCCACCTCAACCTCCTGAGTAACTGGGACTACAGGTGTGTGCCACCATGCCAGGCTAATTTTTAAATTTTTGTAGAGATGGTGTATCACTATGTTGTCTAGGCTGGTCTCAAACTCCTGGGCTCAAGAGATCCTCCTGCCTTGGCCTCCCAAAGTGCTAGGATTACAGGCTTGAGCCAACGAACTCAGCTTGACACTTTTGATTTTTAACAAATGCATCTTTTCTTGGGGTATTCTCCTAACTTAAAACATACAGGAACTTATAGAGATTAAAACAGTAAACCGTCAAAAAATTAACCATCCAGCCTGGGCAACACAGTGAGAGGTTGTCTCTATAAAAAAAAAAAAGAGGACAATTGCTTGTGCCCAGGAGGTCGAGGTGGCAGTGAGCCATGATCACACCACGACACTCCTGCCTGGGTGAAAGAACAAGACCTGCCTCAAACAAAAACAAAACAAAAAACCCATCACCATTACATAATAATTACTACATATCCATATTACCATATATCCGCACTTACTTTCCTCTTTAAAAAGTTTGGTGGATGTATTCAATTTCCAAAAACAGAAAAAGGCTTTTCCTTTTTTTTTTAGTTGTCATGATCGTTATTATCTTTGTTGTTGTTATTATTATTATTAGAGACGATGTCTCACTATGTTGCCCAGGCTGGTCACGAACTCCTGAGCTCAAGTGATCCGCCTCGACCTCCCAATGTGCTAGGATTACAGGCATAAGACACCATACCCAGCCAAAAGGCATTTCTATAAGAATTTTTTAAATCTGGGAATTCACTAAGATCTCAATCTCGGCACAATTATCCTTACCTTTCTTTCTTCAGTTGACAATACTCTAAATCGAATCATTCCTTCTTTTATTATGTCTGCTTCATCTGAAAAGTCAGGATTGTCAGACAAAATATTACTTCTATTTTCTTCTAACCACATCTGGAACCCGGTCTTTGGCCTAAAATCACAATTATGTGAAAACATTTTATACTTAAGACAGAGTTTAAAGTGCCTCATGATTTTAAGTTAGTAATCAACCATAAGTCTCTGACATCTATTATATAAAGTAAGGAAGACACAGTTACACTTGTTAATTCATGTTACTTTTTTTTTTTTTTTTTTTTTGAGACAGAGTCTCACTCTGTCACCCAGCCTGGAGTGCAATGGCGCGATCTCAGCTCACTGCAACCTCCGCCTCCTGGGTTCAAGCGATTCTCCTGCCTCAGCCTCCCAAGTAGCTGGGATTACAGGCATGCGCCACCACACCTGGCTAATTTTTTGCATGGGGTTTCACCATGTTGGTCAGGCTGGTCTCAAACTCCTGACCTCACGTGATCTGCCCGCCTCGGCTTCCCAAACTGCTGGGATTACAGGCATAAGCCACCGTGCCTGGCCTCATATTACTTTAAACTGCCTGGAGACTGCAGGATCAATGAACTGGAAAATCCTTTGTAAGGTCAATTCAAAAGGATCACTCACGTTTGTATTTTCCAAGTGCAGCAACCATGAACTCTGTACTTTCAACTTTTTAATGAATGTTGACAGGCTCAAGGTCTCCAACCTCACTTAGCCCTTGTGGCCTACCACATGTCCTTGGTAGGCTCTTTTTCTATTTCCCCAAACCAGCTATTTGAATTCCTCACGACTTTTCTCAAGCCCCTTTGCCATCGCCTCACCCTTGCTCTCAGAGCTGACCTGCATCAGCATTAGGTGAAGCACGGACACAGCACATTTGTACATTTCATTAGATTCCACTCACAATACAAATTGTCTTTAAGTCACACAAGTGAAGGTTTAATGCAAATATTTAACATTTACTGATCACTTACTATCTACCAGGCACTACTCTAAAAGCTTTATGTATAGTACCTCATTTAAATGACAATAACACTATGAGATGGATACAGTTATTATCTCCATTCCATAAGTGAGAAAAGGGAGGCTCAGAGATGTGAAATAACCTATCCCAGGTTACACAAACAGTAAAACTCAGACCTGGGATCCAACAACCAGGCAATTTGACTCCAAAGTCTATGTTTTTTTGTAGAGATGGAGTCTAGCTCTTTCCCCTATGCTGGAGTACAGTGGCTCTGTATTGGCTTACTGCAACCTCCACCTTCCAGGTTCAAGTGATTCTCCTGCCTCAGCCTCCCAAACAGCTGGGACTACAGGTACGCGCCACCACACCCAGCTAATTTTTGTATTTTTAGTAAAGACAGGGTTTCACCATATTGGCCAGGTGGGTCTCGAACTCCTGACCTCATGATCCACTCGCCTCGGCCTCCCAAAGTGCTGGGATTACAGGCGTGAGCCACTGTGCCTGGCCCAGAGTCTCTTATGTTTAACCCAGCAGCTATACGCCCCTCACTAGGCTGAACCTAAATGAATCCTAAATAAAAAGTCTAAACTTTTTAAGGTTAAAAAAATTTTTATTAAAAAATTACTAGTATGACCATAACCATTTGCCCAATTTCTGAAAATATGCAAATTTTAAGTAATCTTAACGTAAACCGATTTCCAGAAAAATAACAGAACAAATCAAAACAAGTAAAAATCAAGGTATAACAAAGGTTCCTGAATTTCCAAAAATTAATGAAGACCCATTTTAATGAAACTTGGGGCAATGTCACAAGTCTACTTAGTGGCCTGCAATCATCTACTTCTAAACAGCTATTTTTAAAAAGAAAACCAAAATTGAACATTTCTTTCTTTGTTTTTTAAAGAGACGTGAGTCTCACTATGTTGCCTAGGCTGGCCTCAAACTTCTGGGCTTAAGCAACCCTTCTGACTCAACCTTCTGAGTGGCTAGGACTACAAGAGTGCACAGCCACCTGGCTAAAACTGGACATTTCTGATTAAGTATATCAACATCTGTGACAAAATATTAGTTTCAATAGTGGTAATTCCTTAAAATTTCAAAAGTAAGTTTTTTGTATAACCAACTGATAGTATGAAAAATTAAATTATCAATCTTCTTTGTTGTTGTTTTAAGAGAAAGGGTCTTGCTTTGTCGCCCAGGCTGGAGTGCAGTGGTATAATCAGCTCACTGCCACCTCAAATTCCTGGGCTCAAGCAATCCTCCTGCCTCAGACTCTCAAGCAGTTGGGACTACAGGCATGTGCCACCACACACACCTGGCTGATTTTAAAACTTTTGGTAGAGATGGGGTCTCCCTACATTGCCCAGGCTGGTTCCAATCTCCTGGGCTGAAGCTAACTGATCATGTTGGCCTTCCAAAGTGTTAGGCTTGGCCAGGTGTGGTGGCTCACACCTGTAACCCCAGCACTTTGGGAAGCCGAGATGGGCAAATCGCTTGAGGCCAAGAGTTTGAGACCAGCCTGGCCAACGTGGCAAACTCCATCTCTACCAAAAAATAACAAAATTAGTGGGCATGGTGGCACACACCTGTAATCCCAGCTACTCAGGAGGCTGAGGCATGAGAATTGCTTGAACCCAGAAGGTGGAGGTTGCAGTGAGCTGAGATTGCACCAGTGGACTCCAGCCTTGGTGACAGGGCAAGACTGTCTCAAAAAAAGTGTTAGGCGGGCCAGGCATGGTGGCTCACACCTGTAATCCCTGCACTTTGGGAGGCCAAGGCGGGTGGATCACCTGAGGTCAGGAGTTCAAGACCAGCCTGACCAACATGGAGAAACCTCATCTCTACTAAAAATACAAAATTAGTCGGGCATGGTTGCGCATGCCTGTAATCACAGCTACTCAGGAGGCTGAGACAGGAGAATCACTTGAACCCAGAGGCAGAGGTTGCAGTGAGCCGAGATTGTGCCATTGCATTGCAGTCTGGGCAACAAGAGCAAAAAGAAAAAAGTGTTAAGCGGAAAAAAAACCATGAGCCACTATGCCCGGCCTATCAATTTTCTTAAATAAAATTTTCACTGTTTAAGACCTAAATTAAATTCAGAACAAAACAGGAAATGTGAAAACCACAGCCACTCCCTCAAACTGGTTAACATAAAGTCATTAAGAAAATAAGATATACTTTATTATTATTTTTCTCCCTGGACTGTTCAGCATGAGAAAAATGAGATATATTATGGTAAAAATGAAATTGTGACTGTTCTTTTCTTTTTGTTTTTTCTGAGATGGAGTCTCACTCTGTTGCCCAGGCTGGAGTGCAGTGGCACAATCTTGGCTCATTGCAGCCTCCGTCTCCTGTGTTCAAGCGATTCTCCTGCCTCAGCCTCCCAAGTAGCTGGGATTACAGGCATGAGCCACCATACCTGGCAAACTTTTGTATTTTTAATAGAGATGGGGTTTCACCATGTTGGCCAGGCTGGTCTCGAACTCTTGACCTCAAGTGATCCGCCCACCTCAGCCTCCCAAAGTGCTGGGATTACAGGCGTGAGCCACTGTGCCAGGCCAAAATTGTGACTTTTCAAATTTAACGGATATATTAAAAATAAGGCCAGGAGTGGTGGCTCACACCTGTAATTCCAGCACTTTGGGAGGCCAAGGTGGGCAGATCACCTGAGGTCAGGAGTTTGAGACCAGCCTGACCAACATGGAGAAACCTCGTCTCTACTAAAGATACAAAATTAAGCGGTTCCAAGATGGTCGAATAGGAAGAGCTTCAGCCTACAGCTCCCAGCATGAGCGATGCAGAAGACGGGTGATTTCTGCACTTCCAACTGAGGTACCAGGTTCATCTCACTAGGGCTTGTCGGACAGTGGGCGCAGAACAGGGGGTGTGGCACACCGAGTGTGAGCTGAAGCAGGGCAAGGCATCACCTCACCCGGGAAGCGCAAGGGGTCAGAAAATTCCCTTTCCTAGCCAAGCAAAGCTGTGACACACAGCACCTGGAAAATTGGGTCACCCCCACCCTAATACTGTGCTTTTCCAATGGTCTTAGCAAACGGCACACCAGGAGATTATATCCCACTCCTGGCTCAGAGGGTCCCATGCCCATGGAGCCTCACTCATTGCTAGCACAGCAGTCTGAGATTGAACTACAAGGCGGCAGCCTCAGCCAGGAAACTCGAACTGGGTGGAGCCCACTGAAGCTCAAGGAGTCCTGCCTGCCTCTGTGGACTCCACCTCTGGGGGCAGGGCATAGCCGAACAAAGGCAGCAGAAACCTCTACAGATTTAAATGTCCCTGTCTGACAGCTTTGAAGAGAGTAGTGGTTCTCCCAGCACAGAGTTTGAGATCTGAGAATGGACAGACTGCCTCCTCAGTGACAGGTGGGTCCATGATCCACAAGTAGCCTAACTGGGAGGCACCCCCCAGTAGGGGCAGACTGACACCTCACACGGCCGGGTACCCCTCTGAGACGAGGCTTCCAGAGGAATGACCAGGCAGCAACATTTGCTGTTCACCAATATTTGCTGTTCTGCAGCCTCCGCTGCTGATACCCAGGCAGAGTCTGGAGTGGGCCTCCAGCAAACTCCAACAGACCTGCAGCTGAGGGTCCTGACTGTTAGAAGGAAAACTAACAAACAAAAAGGACATCCATACCAAAACCCCATGTGTACGTCACCATCATCAAAGACCAAAGATAGATGAAACCATAAAGATTGGGGAAAAAACAGAGCAAAAAAGCTGAAAATTCTAAAAATCAGAGCACCTCTCCCCCCCCAAAGGAACGCAGCTCCTCACCAGCAACGGAACAAAGCTGGACGGAGAATGACTTTGACGAGTTGAGAGAAGAAGGCTTCAGACGATCAAACCTCTCCGAGCTAAAGGAGGAAGTTCGAACGCATCGCAAAGGAGCTAAAAACCTTGAAAAAAGATTAGACGAATGGCTAACTAGAATAACCAGTGTAGAGAACTCCTCAAATGACCTGATGGAGCTGAAAACCATGGCACGAGAACTACGTGACGAATGCACAAGCCTCAGTAGCCAATTCAATCAACTGGAAGAAAGGGTATCAGTGATCAAAGATCAAATGAATGAAATGAAGCGAGAAGAAAAGTTTAGAGAAAAAAGAGTAAAAAGAAACAAACAAAGCCTCCAAGAAATATGGGACTATGTGAAAAGACCAAATCTACGTTTGTTTGGTGTACCTGAAAGTGACAGGGAGAATGGAACCAAGTTGGAAAACACTCTGCAGGATACTATCCAGGAGAACTTCCCCAACCTAGCAAGGCAGGCCAACATTCAAATTCAGGAAATACAGAGAATGCCACAAAGATACTCCTCGAGAAGAGCAACTCCAAGACACATAATTGTCAGATTCACCAAAGTTGAAATGAAAGAAAAAATGTTCAGAGAGAAAGGTTAGGTTACCCACAAAGGGAAGCCCATCAGACTAACAGCTGATCTCTCGGCAGAAACTCTATGAGCCAGAAGAGAGTGGGGGCCAATATTCAACATTCTTAAAGAAAAGAATTTTCAACTCAGAATTTCATATCCAGCCAAACTAAGCTTCATAAGTGAAGGAGAAATAAAATCCTTTACAGACAAGCAAATGCTGAGAGATTTTGTCACCACCACGCCTGCCCTACAAGAGCTCCTGAAAGAAGCACTAAACATGGAAAGGAACAACCGGTACCAGCCACTGAAAAAACATGCCAAATTGTAAAGACCATCAAGGCTAGGAAGAAACTGCATCAATTAATGAGCAAAGTAACCAGCTAACATCATAATGACAGGATCAAATTCACACATAACAATATTAACCTTAAATGTAAATGGGCTAAATGCTCCAATTAAAAGACACAGAATGGCAAATTGGATAAAGAGTCAAGACCCATCAGTGTGCTGTATTCAGGAGACCCATGTCATGTGCAGAGACACACATAAGCTCAAAATAAAGGGATGGAGGAAGATCTACCAAGCAAATGGAAAACAACAAAAGGCAGGGGTTGCAATCCTAGTCTCTGATAAAACAGACTTTAAACCAACAAAGATCAAAAGAGACAAAGAAGGCCATTACATAATGGTAAAGGGATCAATTCAATTCAACAAGAAGAGCTAACTATCCTAAATATATATGCACCCAATACAGGAGCACCCAGATTCATAAACCAAGTCCTTAGAGACCTACAAAGAGACTTAGACTCCCACGCAATAATAATGGGAGACTTTAACACCCCACTGTCAACATTAGACAGATCAACGAGACAAAGTTAACAAGGATATCCAGGAATTGAACTCAGCTCTGCACCAAGCAGACCTAACAGACATCTACGGAACTCTCCACCCCAAATCAACAGAATATACATTCTTCTGAGCACCACATCGCACTTATTCCAACACTGACCACATAGTTGGAAGTAAAGCACTCCTCAGCAAATGTAAAAGAACAGAAATTATAACAAACTGTCTCTCAGACCACAGTGCAATCAAACTAGAACTCAGCATTAGGAAACTCACCCAAAACTGCTCAACCACATGGAAACTGAACAACCTGCTCCTGAATGACTACTGGGTACATAACGAAATGAAGGCAGAAATAAAGATGTTCTTTGAAACCAACGAGAACAAAGACACAGCATACCAGAATCTCTGGGACACATTTAAAGCAGTGTGTAGAGGGAAATTTATAGCACTAAATGCCCACAAGAGAAAGCAGAAAATATCTAAAATTGACACCCTAACATCACAATTAAAAGAACTAGAGAAGCAAGAGCAAACATATTCAAAAGCTAGCAGAAGGCAAGAAATAACTGAGATCAGAGCAGAACTGAAGGAGATAGAGACACAAAAAAGCCTTCAAAAAATCAATGAATCCAGGAGCTGGTTTTTTGAAAAGATCAATAAAACTGATAGACCGCTAGCAAGACTAATAAAGAAGAAAAGAGAGAAGAATCAAATAGATGCAATAAAAAATGATAAAGGGGATATCACCACTGATCCCACAGAAATACAAACTACCATCAAAGAATACTATAAACACCTCTATGCAAATAAACTAGAAAATCTAGAAGACATGGATAAATTCCTGGACACACACACCCTCCCAAGACTAAACGAGGAAGAAGTTCAATCTCTGAATAGACCAATAACAGGCTCTGAAATTGAGGCAATAATTAATAGCCTACCAACCAAATAAAAAGTCCAGGACCAGATGGATTCACAGCCAAATTCTACCAGAGGTACAAGGAGGAGCTGTTACCATTCCTTCTGAAACTATTCCAATCAATAGAAAAAGAGGGAATCCTCCCTAACTCATTTTATGAGGCCAGCATCATCCTGATACCAAAGCCTGGCAGACACACAACAAAAAAAGAGAATTTTAGACCAATATCCCTGATGAACATCGATGCAAAAATCCTCAGTAAAATACTGGCAAACCAAATCCAGCAGCACTTCAAAAAACTTATCAAGTGGGCTTCATCTCTGGGATGCAAGGCTAGTTCAACATTCGCAAATAAATAAACGTAATCCAGCATATAAACAGAACCAAAGACTAAAACCACATGGTTATCTCAATAGATGCAGAAAAGGCCTGTGACAAAATTCAACAACGCTTCATGCTAAAAAACTCTCAATAAATTAGGTATTGATGGGATGTATCTCAAAATAATAAGAGCTATTTATGACAAACCCACAGCCAATATCATACTGAATGGGCAAAAACTGGAAGCATTCCCTTTGAAAACTGGCACAAGACAGGGATGCCCTCTCTCACCACTTCTGTTCAACATAGTGTTGGAAGTTCTGGCCAGGGCAATCAGGCAGGAGAAAGAAATAAAGGGTATTCAATTAGGAAAAGAGGAAGTCAAATTGTACCTGTTTGCAGATGACATGATTGTATATTTAGAAAACCCCGTCGTCTCAGCCCAAAATCTCCTTAAGCTGATAGGGAACTTCAGCAAAGTCTCAGGATACAAAATCAATGTGCAAAAATCGCAAGCATTCTTATACACCAATAACAGACAAACAGAGAGCCAAATCATGAGTGAACTCCCATTCACAATTGCTTCAAAGAGAATAAAATACCTAGGAATCCAACTTACAAGGGATGTGAAGGACCTCTTCAAAGAGAACTACAAACCACTGCTCAATGAAATAAAAGAGGACACAAACAAACGGAAGAACATTCCACGCTCATGGATAGGAAGAATCACTATCGTGAAAACGGCCATCCTGTCCAAGGCAATTTATAGATTCAATGCCATCCCCATCAAGCTATCAATGACTTTCTTCACAGAATTGGAAAAAACTACTTTAAAGTTCATATGGAACCAAAAAAGAGCCCGCATTGCCAAGTCACTCATAAGCCAAAGGAACAAAGCTGGAGGCATCACGCTACCTGACTTCAAACTATACAAAACAGCACAGTACTGGTACCAAAACAGAGATACAGACCAATGGAACAGAACAGAGCCCTCAGAAATAATACCACACATCTACAACCATCTGATCTTTGACAAACATGACAAAAACAAGAAATGGGGAAAGGATTCCCTATTTAATAAATGGTGCTGGGAAAACTGCCTAGCCATATGTAGAAAGCTGAAACTGGATCCATTCCTCACATCTTATACAAAAATTAATTCCAGATGGATTAAAGACTTAAATGTTAGATCTAAAACCATAAAAACCCCAGAAGAAAACCTAGGCAATACCATTCAGGATATAGGAATGTGCAAGGACTTCATGTCTAAAACACCAAAAGCAATGGCAACAAAAGCCAAAATTGACAGATGGGATCTAATTAAACTAAAGAGCTTCTGCACAGCAAAAGAAACTACCATCAGAGTGAACAGGCAACCTACAGAACGGGAAAAAATTTTGCAATCTACCCATCTGACAAAGGGCTAATATCCAGAATCTACAAAGAACTCAAACAAATTTACAAGAAAAAAACAAACCCAATCAAAAAGTGGGCGAAGGATATGAGCAGACACTTCTCAAAAGAAGACATTTATGCAGCCAACAGACACATGAAAAAATGCTCATCATCACTGGCCATCAGAGAAATGCAAATCAAAACCACAGTGAGAAACCATCTCACACCAGTTAGAATGGCAATCATTAAAATGTCAGGAAACAACAGGTGCTGGAGAGGATGTGGAGAAATAGGAACACTTTTACACTGTTGGTGGGACTGTAAACTAGTTCAACCATTGTGGAAGGCGGTGTGGCGATTCCTCAAGGATCTAGAACTAGAAATACCATTTGACCCAGCAATCCCATTACTGGGTATATACCCAAAGGATTATAAATCATGCTGCTATAAAAACACATGCACACGTATGTTTATTGTGGCACTATTCACAATAGCAAAGACTTGGAACCAACCTAAATGTTCATCAATGATAGACTAGATTAAGAAAATGTGGCACATATACACCATGGAATACTATACAGCCATAAAAAAGGATGAATTCATGTCCTTTGTAGGGACATGGATGAAACTGGGAACCATCATTCTCAGCAAACTATCTCAAGGACAAAAAACCAAACACCGCATGTTCTCACTCATAGGTGAGAACTGAACAATGAGAACGCTTGGACACAGGAAGGGGAACATCACACACTTGGGCCTGTTGTGGGGTGGGGGAAGTAGGGAGGGATAGCATTAGGAGATATACCTAATGTAAATGATGAGCACAGCACACCAACATGGCACATGTGTACATATGTAACAAACCTGAATGTTGTGCACATGTACCCTAGAGCTTAAAAGTATTTAAAAAAAAAAAAAAGATATAAAATTAGCCAGGCATGGTGGCGTATGCCTGCAATCCCAGCTACTCAGGAGGCTGAGGCAGGAGAATCGCTTGAACCTGGGAGGCGGAGGTTGCAGTGAGCCAAGATCGTGCCAATGCACTCCAGCCTGGGCAACAAGAGCGAAACTCCGTCTCAGAAAAAATAAATAAATACAAAGAAATCCAGCATAGTAGAGATCAAGAAAATAGGTAACATACTGTGTTTGTGGACAAAGAGGATATGAGCAAATAGGAATACTCATATTGCTAAAGGTGTATAAAATGATACAACATCAATGCAGAACAATCTGGCATTGGAATTATAAGTGCAGATTAACTTGAACCATACATGAATCCATCTTATAGCTATATATGCATCTGTGAGAAATGCTATTCATATAAAATTATTCATTGCAGTACTGTCTGTACTAGCAAAAGACCGGTAACCATCTTTTGTCCACAAGTAGAGAACTACATGAACTATGACATGTCTATTCAATGGATACACAAAGATTAAAGCTCTTATTTTTCTATCTATCCATCCATTTATGTATTTACTTTTTCTGATAGCCTTGCTATAGTATAAAGAAGTTCTTTTTGTTTTTTTGGTTTTTTTGAGACAGAGTTTCGCTTTTGTTGCCCAGGCTGGAGTGCAGCGGTGTGATCTCAGATGACTGCAATCTCCGCGTCCCGGGTTCAAGTGATTCTCCTGCCTCAGCCTTCCGATTTGCTGGGATTACAGGCATGTGCCACCAAGCCTGGCTAATTTTGTATTTTTAATAGAGACAGGGTTTCTCCATGTTGGTCAGGCTGGTCTCGAACTCCCATCCTCAGATGATCCGCCTGCTTCGGCTTCCCAAAGTGCTGAGATTATAGGCGTGAGCCACCATGCCCAGCCAGTATAAAGAAGTTCTTTATGTAGTAATATAAAATAAGCTACAAAAGCTATTGTTAAGTTAAAAAAGTAAGGTACAGAATAATGTGTAAAACAAAAAATAGACAAATATGTATTTGCACATAAATAGAATAATTTTGGAAAGTTCCACAAGAAACTTGTTGCAGTGATTGTTTTTGGAGACAGAAATTAGTTGGATGAAACTACTTATTATCACTCTTCTTTTTGTATCTTTTGCTATTTCTCCCCATTAAACTATTTAAAAACAAACAAAAAATTAATTACAAAATATAATGTCCCAATAAAATATATCCACAATTTAAAAATATACAATTTATTAAAGCATATTTTAATAAATATTATAAATAGACATTAATATTTGTGGCTTCCTTATAGTCACAAGTGTCCAGAATGCCCACTACCAATGCCAATGTATTATTTGTATTAAGGAATAACAGCATTGCATAATTTTGTATTGCTGCTACTGTATACTTTTTACTTGGTCACTGCATGCTAAATTTCTCTATGTACTGACCTTTGGTTTTCAGTGTTTTGAGGAGGACATATAGCTGGGGTTTCAGATAATACATTTTTAAGATTTTCTTCTTTCACTTCCTCAGTTTTATTAGTTTGAGAATTTCTTTTCTGGAAATAGGATGCTGCAGATGCCTATAAAAACAAACATGAATACTGCAATAACATCTAGTATAATTTTATATGTTTTATAAGCACGTTCTGAAAAATGTGAAGAAACATCTATAATTATTGAGAATTCTTATACTAACATGTGAAATCTGGAGTTCTCAGTTGTAAATAAATAGGCAAACACATGCAAAACCAAAAAACTACACTTCAGATTCCATGTTTTCCTTTTTTTTTTTTTTTTTTTTGAGACGGAGTCTCACTCTGTTGCCCAGGCTGGAGTGCAGTGGCGCTATCTCGGCTCACTGCAACCTCCACCCTCCGAGTTCAAGTGGTTCTCCTGACTCACCCTCCCAGGTAGCTGGGATTACAGGCACCTGCCACCGCGGCTGGCCTAAATTCCATGTTTTCTAAATGAATACAATTATATTAAATAGAAAAGATAAGCAATAGATCTATTTTACCAATGACTAATCCGGGATCAAATACTTATCAGAGTGGAAAAATCAGGACTCAGAACAAGGAAAAATTAGGGCCATGTACAATATCAGCCACTATTAAATACGAATATACATCAGAACTATCTGGGTGATTTTAATAAAAATACAGATAAATGTCTGAGCTTCTGGGGTCTGAGTATATATATTTTTAAAAAGTGATCTGTAAAAACAAGGAGAGGGGCAGGATAGGCTGGGTGCGGTGGCTCATGCCTGTAATACCAGCACTTTGGGAGGCTGAGGTGGGTGGATCACTTGAGGCCAGGAGTTTGAGACCAGCCTGGCCATCATGCTGAAACCCCATCTCTACTAAAAATACCAAAATTAGCTGGGCGTGATGTCAGGCCTCTGTAATCCCAACTCCTCGGGAGGCTGAGGCATGAGAATTGCTTGAACCCAGGAGACAGAGGCTGCAGTGAGCTGAGATCCTGACACTGCACTCCATCCAGCCTGGGTGACAGAGTGAGCCTCTGTCTCAAAAAAGACAGGGGGAGCAGGATAGTGATCTTGGAAGTCAGAATCTGCTACAAAGTGTGTAACAACTCACGAGGCAGAATAGGGAGTGATTCTGAAACAAAAAACACAACTGTTTTGGGGTTTGTTTTTTTCAGATGGGGTATCTCTTATGTTTCCCAGACTGGACTCAAACTCCTGGGCTCAAGTGATCCTCCCACCTCAGCCTCCTGAGTATCTGGGACTACAGGTATGTGCCACTGTGCCTAGCTGCAAAAACAGAATTGAACCCACTTCCCTAGCAAGACAATTGTAAACAATCAGAACCTCCTATCCTATATCTGAAACAGTGAACAAAACTGAAGACAAACAGATCCCATGCTGCTTACTGCAGATGAGGGTAGCTGAAACAGTACCTGCTTAGGCTTCGGCTTTGGAATCAGAGGCTTTATAATGGGAGACTTTTCATTATTTGTAGTTCGACTAAGTGCAGTGGATTTCTTGGATGATTTGCCCATATTGTCTAAAATATTAGTTGAACGTGCTGAATTCATTGACATGGCTGGTTCTTTGGAACTGGCTGATACCTAAAGAGCAAACTAGTGTTAGCACTGTATGTTTAAAGAAGAAAAATAAAATCCCAAGAGACTTATTTTTTCTTGAAATTTCTGTTAAGTTTGTATTGCCATCTCATCTTTAGAACTAAATACATTTGGTACAATCCAAATTAAGAATGATACGTATATTCCCAAATACCACATCCCCAAGAAAGACAGAGGTATCTTTCAAAACCATAGGTACTTAGAAGGTAAGTAGAAAAGACAACTCTCAGCCCAAGTGCTGCTTTCTTCTGTTTCCACACAGATCAGTCTTTCATGCCTCCAAGTCTGGGGAGAGTCATCTCATCATTTGGAAATATTTCTTTGTATACAAATGTATTTAAATAATATAAAACATCACTTGGAAGAGTTTACCTTAAAGGGATTTACTCGTCCTTGGCTGCTAAAGGTAACTGCACCTTTCACAAAAAAGAAACCCTTGCTTAATAATGGTAGAAAATAGATGACTTCTGACATCTATAATACTAGACAGAGTATTTTAATCCCCATTAAATGAAAACAAATGTATTTTGCAACTTTTCAAAACTATTAACAACAGATATCCTCTTTCCTACTTCTAAGCCAAAATAAAAGCTATTAAATGTGAACCACCCCAACGTGCCACTATGAAACATATTCAGTATGTACAGATCTTTTATCTTCTGTTACTGCGGAAGAGTGGCAGCTCGTCTGAGCTAAGGTTAGTAATCCCTTTACTTGTGTTCTGCATCCCATGCCCTCCTGCTTTGTCAGAAAACCTGACCTATCAAGTTTCTTGACATCCTACATCTTTGACTTTTCCCTATTTATTGGCCCCTAAAGTCTCCCAACTTAAAAAGAAACAAAAAACAAACCTTCTCTACCCCACATTCCTTCCAGTCACCATTTTCTCTCGCCTCCTCCATCCAGCCATTTTTTTTTTTTTTTGAGACAGAGTCTCGCTCTTGTTGCCCAAGCTGGAGGGCAATGGTGTGATCTCGGCTCACTGCAAAGTCCACCTCCCAGGTTCAGGCGATTCTACTGTCTCAGCCTCCCGAATTGCTGGGATTACAGGCGCCTGCTACCACGCCCGGCTAATTTTTGTATTTTTAATAGAGACAGGGTTTCACCATGTTGGCCAGGCTGGTCTTGAACTCCTGACCTCAGGTGATCCGTCTGCCTTGGCCTCCCACAGTGCTGGGATTACAAGCATGAGCCACCACGCCCGGTCATCCAGCCAAATTTTTCCAAGAACTGTTGACACTATTATCATTTCCTCACCACCCATACATTCCTCCATACAATATAGCACTTCCAGCTCTACCACCCTACAGAATCTCCTCTTGCTAAGGCCCTCAGTGATCTCTACATTGTCAAATCTGGTGGATACCTTTCAGTCACCTTGTTTGCTCTATCAATGGCATCCCACATAGCTGACTGTTCCTTACTTCTTGATACTTTGTCCTCTCTTGACTTCTGAGATACTGCATTCCCTGACTTAGTTCCTTCCTCTCTGGACCTGTGGACTCATTGTGTTCCAATAGTTGGTTCCTCCTCTTCCTCTACCTGATGCTCAAATGTTGGAGATTCCCTAGGCTTAAGCTCATTTTTCTTTTTGCTTTACATTCTCCCCCAATGCTTGCTTACCCATGCTCATGGTTTAAATTGCTATACTTATGCCAATGATTTTCACTTTGTATCTCTTGACCAGAATACTTCCCTGAGCTCCTGATTCAAATATCTGTCTTCACGACATTCTACTCACCTTACAGTAATTCATCATCTTCCTCTCTAAATCTGCTTTTCTCTAGTGTTTCCTGACTTAGGAAATGGCACCATCATTCACTCAAGTACTCAAGCCAGTGTTAACAAACTAATCTCTAATTAAGAGCTTTCCTGGCATGGTGGCTTAAGCCTGTAATCCCAGCACTTTGGGAGGCTGAGGAGGGAGGACTGCTTGAGCCCAGTTTAAGACTAGCATGGGTAACATAGGGAGACCCTGTCTCTACAAAAACAAAAAACAACAAAACAAAAAACCCAAACCAAAACAAAACTAGCCAGACATGGTGACACATGCCTGTGGTCCTAGTTACTTGGGAGGCTGAGGTGGAAAGATCGCTTGGGTCTGGGGGGTTGAGGCTGCAGTGAGCCATAATCACGCCACTGCACTCTAACCTGGATGACAGTCACACCCTGGCGGGGGGAAGAGGAGGGAGGGAGGGAGGGAAGAAGGAAGGGAGGGAGGGAGGCAGGCAGGCAGGCAGGCAGGCAGGCAGGAAATTTCTAGCTGAGCATGGCCACTTGTGCCTGTAATCCGAAAATTTTGGGAGGCTAAGGCAGGAGGGTCACTTAAGCCCAGGAGTTCCAGACCAGCTTCGGCAACAAAGCAAGCTCCTCTCTCTACAAAAAGTACACACAAAAAATTAACCAGGCATGGTGATGCACAACTGTAGTCATAGCTACTCAGTAGGGTGAGGCAGGAGGATCACCTGAGCATACGAGTTCAAGGCTGTAGCGAGCTAGGACTGCATCACTGCACTCCAACTCTGCTCCAGTCTGAGTGACAAAGCAAGATACCCTGTATCCGCACCCCCCCCACCAAACAAAAAAAACAAACAAAAAAACCTTTCCATCTAGCCAATAAAAATTGTTTTATTTATCTCGTTTCTGAAAATACTTTATAAAAGTTTCCCCTTTTGTCTCTCCTGGCAGAGTGCTAGCCCCTTGCGGTTTGGTGCCTCCCTGATTCATGAATCACTGAATGTTCAAATTAATCCTTCAAGATTCAAATGTGCTTAAGTTTTTCTTCTATTACAAGAAACTGAGAATCACTCTTTACGCCCTGAACTCCTACACTCTCTTCATCATCTTCAGAAATAGCTCTCCAACTCTGCCCATTCTTTCTAACATCACCATCACCACCCTAGCTCAGGCCCTTATTCAATCTCATTTGGACTGCCTCTGTAGTTTGTTTGTTTATTTATTTATTTGAGATGGAGTCTCGCTCTGTCGCCCAGGCTGGAGTGCGGTGGTATGATCTCACCTCACTGCAAGCTCTGCCTCCCGGGTTCACGCCATTCTCCTGCCTCAGCCTCCCAAGTAGCTGGGATTACAGGTGCCTGTCACCATGCCCGGCTAATTTTTATGTATTTTTAGTAGAGACGGGGTTTCACTGTGTTCTTCAGGATGCTCTCAATCTCCTGACCTCGTGATCCACCCTCCTCAGCCTCCCAAAGTGCTGGGATTACAGGTGTGAGCCACCACGCCCAGCTTGTAGTCTCTTTATTTTTTAATTTTTATTTACTTCTTCTTATTATTATTTTAGATGAAGTCTCACTCTGTCACCTAGGCTGGAGTGCAGTGGCGTGATCTCCACTTACTGCAACTCCCCACTCCTGGATTCAAGCAATTCTCCTGCCTCAGCCTCCCGAGTAGCTGGGATTACAGGCATGAGCCACCATGCCCGGCTAATTTTTTTTTTTGTATTTTTAGTGGAGATGTGGTTTCACCATTTTGGCCAGGCTGGTCTTGAACTCCTGACCTCAAGTGCTCCACCTGCCTCGGCCTCCCAAAGTGCTGGAATTACAGGCGTGAGCCACCACGCCTGGCCTATTTATTTTTTGATACAGGGTCTTGCTCTGTCACCCAGGCTGGAGTGCAGTGGTGCAACCATAGCCTACTGCACCCTCGAACTCCTGGGCTCAAGATATCCTCCTGTCCCAGCCTCCCAAATACCTGGGACTACCGGTGTGTACTACCATGCCTGGCTAATATTTTTATTATTTACTTTTTGTAGAGATAGGGTTTCATTGTTTCCAAGGCTGGTCTCAAACGTCTGGTCTCAAGTGATCCTTCCACCTTGGCCTCTCAAAATGCTGAGGTTACAGACATGAGCCATCACACCTGGCCAGTAGTCTATTATCTGTTCTTCTTCAGCACAGTGTGCCATGCTATACCTCTGCTTAAAACCTACAACAGTCTCTCAGTGACCTTAGAATAAAGAGCAAAATCCTGACCGGGTGTGGTGGCTCACACCTGCAGGTCCAACAACTTTGGGATGTGGAGGTGAGGAAATTGCTTGAGTTTGAGACCAGCCTGGACAACAGAGTGACACCCCATCTCTATTAAAAAAAATAAAATAAAATAAAAAAAAGACCAAAATCCTTAATATGGCCTACACAGATCTGCATGACTTGGCTCCTGCCCATCACTCCGAAACCCTTCAGCACCACTTTCTCTTTGCTCTCTGAGCTTTTCACACCACCCTTTTGCAGCCTTCAGTTCACACATACTGTTCCTTAAGCCCAAATGCTTCTCTTCTGCTCCTGTTCCCATGCACCTTTGCCTTGCTGACTGTTATTCATCCTTCAGGTCTCTGCTGTAAACACTCCATGAGGCCTGCCTTGAAGTCCCTACCCATCCTCCACCACTGGCTAGATGACAGCTATGTGTCATACGCTCTTTTCATATTCTACATGTTTTTTAAGTTAATTTTTTTAAATCAAAGTAACATATGTCCACAGTTTAAAAAGTCAAATGGTACTATAAGGTTTATGCTCCCCACCAAAAAAGGGCCAGCAGTGCCTTACTTCAACCTTCTCTTATCCCCCAGGCCCACTCCCTGTACGCAACCATTTTCAACTCCTTTTTTTTTTTTTTGAGATGGAGTCTCACTCCATTGCCCAGGCTGGAGTGCAATGGCACGATCTCGGCTCACTGCTACCTCCACCTCCTGAGTTCAAGTGATTCTCCTGCTTCAGCCTCCCGAGTAGCTGGGATTACAGGCACATACCACCACCCTCAGCTAATTTTTGTATTTTTAGTAGAGATGGGGTTTCACCGTGTTGGCCAGGCTAGTCTAGAACTCCTGACCTCGTTATCCGCCCACTCCGGCCTCCCAAAGTGCTGGGATTACAGGCGTGAGCCACTGCGCCCAGCCTTCAATTCCTTTTAACTGTTTCTCCAGTATCCTGCATGCTTCCTCAGTGATACCCAGATCTGTCTTCAACATCTGTCTTCTCAGCTGGGCTAAAATAGCATTAAAACAGAGATCAACCACACATGTCTGTTTGACTTCTGTATCCACCATTAAGTAAAATGCCTGACACTCAATAGGCATTTTATAAACATCTGTTAAATGACCATAGCTTCACAAACAACATCTGAGATTAAAAAAACAAAAACATAAACACACACACACCAAAAGTGGCCTTAAGAGTTAAGGTGTATTTGCGTAGATGTGTCACTTTGCAGATGACTTGCAAAATTTCCTTGATATTACAAATTTATAAATATTTCTCACCTGACTTAGCTGAAACATCAGAGGAATTTGTACTTTTGGAAAACGAGTTCTGTCCTACAGATTAAAATAAAGCAATATAATGTAAATGGGGAAAATATAGTCATCCTCAATATACAACAACCAGATAGCAAAGAGGTCTGAAAAAAAGTATGAGTATTCAATTTCCCTCAGTTAAGCAAAATGGGAAAAGCCACATCCATGATAGTTCTCATGATTTATGGGCTTGAAAATGTATCTCACCAGGCTTATGTATTTCTGGTTTTTCTTCATCATCAGCTTCTCCACTGTCCTCAGCATCTTCTTCAACTTGATTTCTGAACCTTGGTTGGCTCCACTCTGTAGCAGTATTGCTGTAACTAAGAGAAAATAATATTATTCAATAAAGAGCTATGCAAAGACCAACTTAACATTCAAGACAGTAAAGGAAAATTCAAACAACTAAATTATTTCTTACCCAGCATTCAGCTTTTTTCTGAAATCTTCTTCTTCTTCTTCCTCTTCCACCTGGGTTGCTGTCAATTCGGCTGCCTTCTCTACAGCCAGTTCACTTAGTTTTTGAGCCAGTATTAATTTCCGAGAGCGAGAAGCATATTTAATGGCTAAATTCACAGCATTTTGAGTCATTAGATCAGCAAGTTCCACACAACGGAATTCTCGCTCCAGTTTACAAGAAAGCTAATCCAAAAAGGGGGGGGGGGGGGAGATCAAATAACATCAAGTAAAACTTTTTAAAGATACTGACACTACTAGTAAAACTGAGACAATAGTTTTCTAGCTACTCTATCTCCCTAATTCTAAGATGCACATTTTTACAAGTTTTAACATCTCTGAAATTGGAATTACAATTAATTACAATTAATGGTGGGTCAGTTTGGCAGCATTTTTATGTCTCCATGGCTTAAATGAATAAAGTAATGGTGCACTATGCAATAAACAGTGGCTTAGATTTGATGAAATATTACATACCACTTTAATCTACTAATTGCAAGAAAATTAAGAAATTTGTTTAAAAAATTCAAGGGGGAGGCTGGGCACGGTGGCTCACGCCTGTAATACCAGTGCTTTGGGAGGCCCAGATGGGTGGATCATGAGGTGAGGAGTTCGAGATCAGCCTGGCCAATATGGCAAAACCCCGTCTCTACTAAAAACACAATTAGCCAGGCGTGGTGGCGTGCGCCTGTAATCCCAGCTACTCGGGAAGCTGAGGCAGGAGAATCGCTTGAACCCGGGAGGTGGAGGTTGCAGTGAGCCAAGATTGCACCACTGCACTCCAGCCTGGGCGAGAAAGCGAGACTCTGTCTCAAAAAAAAAAAAAAAAAAAAAAATCAAGGGGGCCAGGTGTGCTGGCTCACACCTGTAATCCTAGCACTTTGGAAGGCCAAGGCAGAGGGACTGCTAGAGGCCAGGAGTTTGAGACTAACCTGGGCAACACAGTGAGACCCTATAACTACAAAAAATAAATTAGCTGGGCGTGGTGGCATGCACCTGCAGTCTTATCTACTCAGGAGCCTGAGACAGGAGGTTCACTAGAGCCCAGGAGGTTGAGGCTGCAGTGAGTTACAATCTTGCCACTGTACTCTAGCCTGGGTAACAGAGTGAGACCCTTTCTCTAAAAAATACAAAAAAGAAAAACAACAAACTGAGAAAAGTTGGTATTTTGAAGATTACTAAGGGTCTCCTAATTCATAGTGTATTAGAACTATTTTCTTACTTAGATATTCCATGTCTGATCCATCAGCACAAAAGCTTTAGATATTCACCTGGATGCCCTTTTCAAGATTTTTAGTATCATTTATCTATAATCAGTACTTCTTAATCGGGATGGTACACTGCCTCAGGGGGCATTTAGAAATAAAAAGGAAGCCGGGCGCAGTGGCTCACACCTGTAATCCTAGCACTTTGGGAGACTGAGACAGGTGGATCACAAGGTCAGGAGATCGAGACCATACTGGCTAACACGGTGAAACACAGTCTCTATTAAAAATACAAAAAATTAGCTGGTGTGGTGGCAGACAACTGTAGTCCCAGCTACTCGGGAGGCTGAGGCAGGAGAATGGCGTGAACCTGGGAGGCGGAGCTTGCAGTGAGCAGAGATCGCGCCACTGCACTCCAGCCTGGGCAACAGAGCGAGACTTCGTTTCAAAAAAAAAAAAAGAAATAAAAAGGAATAGTCTGGTTTCCACAGTGACTATTCTGAACTAAAGGCATTTGCCCGGGGGTCAGGAATGCTAAAGAAGAACTCAACAATCCCCTTGAACTCCTGGGCTCAAGATATCCTCCTGCCCTGGCATCTTTGATATGAGTCCCCTGGTATTTTTGATATGAGAAACACTGCCACAGGGAAAAGCTCCTCTAGGCTAAATAGCAAATACATGAAATATGTTTCCTTATATGTGTTGTACAAATAAAAAGGCTACTAGTTCCTGGACCACAAGTAACACTTTATAAAAGGAATAAAACTTTTTCTACAATAAACTGAGTTTTCTTAATACCAAACTTAAGGCCATGTTGCATAAAGGTGACAGTAGTGAGTACTACCTTTTGGAGACAAGAGTGGCAATTTGCTCTGTGGTCTCATATACCACTTTTCTCTAAGAACCTTTTTTCTCCAATTTTAAAATTAAAAGTCTGGACCATTCACTCTTGTCAACAAATATCGAGGTCTACTATGTGTTAAGCCACCATGTCAGTGCCTGGCATACAGCAGTGAGCAGGTCTCTGCCCTCTGGGGCATAAAGTCTAGTGTAAGACAAATAAAGAAGAAATGATACTATACTCCTCTCCATAAACCAACCTTGAGTGGGGACACAAGCACAGGAACTTTAAGACACCCTGCTCCAAAGATAAATGTACTTAAATATTCTAGACACCAAACCTGGCCACTGGTCACAAATAAATTTTCATCACACACAGCTGCCTAACTCAAAGAGGATGACAAAAGGCAGGCATATCTAACAGCCCGATCAAAGTTCTTAAGATTGCCCAGCCCTGGAGATTAAAAAACAGTATATACTCAAACTTTGTAAAATAATAACAGAAACTAGAGCAGTGGTTCTCAGTTACCTTGAGAGCCCGTTAAAACATAGACTGATGGGCAAAAGCAAAAGGGAAGTAGCCCTAGAGATGTTTATTCCTGCACATGATCTTAGCTACAAGGTACTGTTTTATTTATTTTAGGCTGGGCACGGTGGCTCATGCCTGTGATCCCAGCACTTTCGGAGGCCGAGGCAGGTGAATTACCTGAGGTCAGGAGTTCAAGACCAGCCTGACCAATGTGGTGAAACCCTGTTTCTACTAAAAATACAAAAATTAGCCAGGCATGGTGGCACACGCCTGTAGTCCCAGCTACTCGGAAGGTTGAGGCAGGAGAATCACTTGAACCCGGGAAGTGGAGGTTGCAGTAAGCCAAGACTGCACAACTGCACTTCAGCCTGAGAAACAAGAGCGAAACTCCGCCTAAAAAAAAAAAAAGAAAAAAATTTTAACTGCAAGACCAACTAGAAGATAGAACTTTACAAGGGAAAACACCACCAGATAAAACTTAAGAATGGCTGGGTGTGGTGGCTCACACCTGTAATCCCAGCACTTTGGGAGGCTGAGGCGGGCGGATCACGAGGTCAGGAGTTCGAGACCAGTCGGGCCAACATAGGGAAACCCCATCTCTACTAAAAAAAAAAAAAAAAAAAAAAAATTAGCTAGGCGTGGTGGTGTGTGCCTGTAATCCTAGCTACTCGGGAGGCTGAGGCAGAATTGCGTGAACCCGGGAGGCAGAGGTTGCAGTGAGCCGAGATCGCACCACTGCACTCCAGCCTGGGTGACAGAACGAGACTCCGTCGCACAAAAAACAACAACAACAACAAAAAAAAACTTAAGAATCTTAGGTTGTGGGACTTAGTCCTAATGCACAGACCTTTAAGAAATTCAACCTATAGAAAAGCATTTAACTTTAACGTTTTCAGTATATTTATTTTACTCACCGCAAGCATTTTCATTAAAAGTTCCTGTTGCTCTTTTGTTGCTTGATTTTTAGTGCTCTCTTCATATTCATAACCATTTTTAGCTAAATAATCAAGGTGGTTGTGAAATATAACTGAACGCCAAAATTGCTCCTATAAAAGCAAATAAAATTGCTTAAGGCCAACTATCACCTTAATATGAGGCAAGCGTTAAATATTTATCTTAAGATACCAGTTTTTGAATAAAATATGTTCTGAACTCTTCCTTTCTATAAGTTTATTTTACAATTTAAATTCTAGTGTGATACTACAGCTTAACTTTTTCCCCTATCCTTAAAAAAGGCAGCTGGGGAGGAATACAGCATTTAAAACAGTTTCCTAGCTATCATAATTAATGCTCAGAGAATTTGGTAAACAAGATTTTTAAAAGCTAACTTGTTTCTTATTTAGAATAACTAACTGCAAGATTTCAAATGACTTTTGATGACACAAGGCTAGGACTAGGGTCAGGCAAGCCAGGTGTTATGGCACAAAATGTATGGAGGCACTTCTTCTCAGGGACATGCCCCATCCTGAGAGTAAGTCTTTCCCCAGTGGGTCTCTGACAGTCACACCCATTTACTTTGTAGACAAAGTCCCTGGAAGCAGTGATGGCAATCAGGTGGCCTGGTGATCCCAAGCAGTCCTCTTCCCTCCCTGCTACCCCTATTTATGTAATTATACAGTAATGAATATTCAATACTGGCCATCAGGATAATTTTAAAGTGTGTGTATCACAGGTGCTGTATTATCAAATTCAAAGTGTCAAGGTAAGACTTCCACATACCTCCATTTGTCCTTTCTCTGTTGCAATCTGACAGTAAGGAAGCTTAAAGGATAATATAGCAACAGCAGGGCGTGGAAGGGTTGGGGGAAACCGAGAACCTTTACAAGGAATGCACCTGTTAGTAAAGAAAAGTTCCATCATAAAAATTTACTAACATGTCATAAAAACTACAAAATTTAAAAAGTTTTCAAAAGTTAGTAACTTAGAATAGTAATATTATAATAGCTGCCTTAATCATATATAACAAATATCTCTTTTTAAAAAAGTGTTTTAGGCTTGACTAGGCATAAAGACTATCCCTACATGCATTTCAAGAATAGAAAAATTCCTTCTCACATCTCACTTGATTTATTTTTTTTGAGACAGGGTCTCACTGTGTTGCCCAGGCTAAAGCACGGTGGTGTGATCACGGCTCACTGAAGCCCCAACCTCCCAAGTTCAAGCAATCCTCCCACCTCAGCCTCCCAAGTAGCTGGGACTACAGATATATGCCACCATGCCTGGCTAACTTTTGTATTTTCAGTAGCGATGGGGTTTTGCCATGTTGCCCAGGCTGGACTCGAACTCCTGGGCTAAAGTGTGCCTCCCACCTTTGCCTCCCAAAGTGTTGGGATTACAGGCGTGAGCTACCCTGCCCAACCTCACATCTCACTTTATTAAATGACAACCACTAAAAGTGAAATCAGCTCTCTTCATATTTTCCTTAGCAAACTACCACTTTTAAAACATAAAAATTGTACCATTAATACCTGTCATGGAATCCATGTTATCACCAAGATAAATGCTGATGAAGCTGCACATGGAACATACTCTAAGGTCAACCACATGCTTGGCCGTAAAGCAAGTCTCAAAAATTTTTTTTAAATTGAAATCATACCAAGCATATATTCTGAGACCATAGTAAAATAAAAATAGAAATCAATACTGAGGATCTCTCAGAACCACACAAATTACATGGAAAGTAAACAACATACTCCAGAATGACTTTTGAATAAACAATGAAATTAAGCAGAAATTGAAATATTCTTTGAAATAAATGAAAACAGACACAACATATCAAAATATATGGGATGCAGCAAAAGCAATGTTAAGAGGAACGTTTATAGCACTAAACACCTATATCAAGTTAGAAAGATCTCAAATTAACAATCTAACATTGCATCTAGGGAAACTAGATAAACGAGAACACACTAACCCCAAAGCTAGCAGAAGAAAAGAAATAACTAAAATAACAGCAGAACTAAACAAAATTGAGACTAAAGAATCCATACAAAGGATCAATAAAACAAAAAAAATTGATTTTTTGAAAGGATAAACAAGATCGATAAACTCCTAGCTAGATTAACAAAGAAAAGAAGAGGGAAGCTCCATATAAGCACAATCAGAAAATGGCAAAGGTGACACTACAACTGATTCCACAGAAATACAAAAGATCCTCAGAGACTATTATGAACACTTCTATGTGCACAAACCAGAAAATTTAGAGGAAATGGGCTCACACCTGTAATCCCAATACTTTTGGAGGCAAAGGTGGGAGAATCACTTGAGGTCAGAAGTTTGACACCACCCTGGGCAACAAAATGAGACCCAATTGCTACAAAAATTTTTAAAGATTAGCCAGGTGTGGTGGTGTGTATCTGTAGCTCCAGCTGCTCAGAAGACTGAGATGGGAAGATTAATTGAGCTTGGGAGGTTGAGGCTGCAGTGAGCCATGATCATGCCACTGCACTCCAGCCTAGGTAAGACCTTGTTTCTATTTATTTATTTATTTATTTTTGAGACGGAGTCTCGCTTTGTTGCCCAGGCTGGAGTGCAGTGGCACGATCTCGGCTCACTGCAAGCTCCGCCTTCCAGGTTCACGCAATTCTCCTGCCTCAGCCTCCCAAGTAGCTGAGACTACAGGTGCCCACCACCACGCCCAGCTAATGTTTTGTATTTTTAGTAGAGACGGGGTTTCACCGTGGTCTCGATCTCCTGACCTTGTGATCCGCCCGCCTATGCCTCCCAAAGTGCTGGGATTACAGGCGTGAGCCACCGCGCCCAGCATTAAGACTCCGTTTCAAGAAAAAAAAAAAAAAAAGAGAGAGAGAAAGAGAAAGTCCTCAAAAGCAATTGCAACAAAAACCAAAACTGACAAGTGGGACCTAATTAGACTAAAGAACTTCTGCACAGCAAAGAAAATCTAGAGGAAATGGATAAATTCCTGGAAACATAAAACTTCCCAAGACTGACTCAGAAAAAACAGAAATTCTGAACAAACCAATAATGAGTTCCAAAATTGAATCGTAATAAATAAAAAACCTATCAACCAAAAAAAGCCCTGGACCAGAAAAATCACAGCTGAATTCTAGATGCACAAAGAACTGGTACCAGTCCTACTGAAAATATTCCAAAATACCAACTCCTCTCCAAATCACTCTATAAAGCCAGCATTATCCTGATACCAAAATCTGGCAAAGACACATCAAAAAGAGAAACTACAGGCCAATATCCTTGATGAACACAGATATAAAAATCCTCAACAAAACACTAGCAAACCAAACCCAACAGTACTTTAGGAAGTTAATACACCACAACCAGTAGGTTTTACTCCTGGGATGTAAGGTTGGTTCAACATATGCAAATCAATATATGCAATTCACTGCATCAACAGAATTAAAAACAAAAACCACATGATCATCTCAATAGATGCAGAAAAAGCTTTCGATAAAATTCAACATCCTTTCATAATAAAGACCTCCAACATACTAGGCATTGAAGGAACATAACTCAAAATAAAAAGAGCCATCTATGGCAAACCCACAGACAACACCATATGAATGGGAAAAAGCTGGAAGCATTACCCTTAAGAATTGGAATAAGACAAGGTTGGCCACTCTTTTCACTCATATTTAACAGAGTACTGAAAATCTTAGCCAGAACAATCAAGTAAGATACCAAAATAGGAAAAGAAGTCAAATATCTCTCCACTGACTATATTACTCTATACATAGAATTGCTAAAGGGCTCCTAGATAAAAGACTTTGGTAAAGTTTCAGGATACAAAATCAATATACAAAAATCAGTAGCATTTTTATACACCAATAATGTTCGAGCTGAGAGTCAAATCAAGTATGCAATCCCATTTACAATAGTCATACATGTACATAAAATACCTAGGAATATATCTAACCAAGGAGGTGAAAGATCTCTACAAGAACTACAAAACACTGTTGAAAGAAATCACAGATAACACAAACAAATGGAAACACATTCCACACTCATGGATTAGAAGAATCAATATCATTAAAATGACCATACTGTGTCTGCAGCAACCTTGGTTTGCATCGAAGTCACAGCACCAAAAAAAAAAAAAAAGAAAGAAAGAAGAAAGAAAAAGACCATACTCCCCAAAGCAATCTATAGATTCAACACTATTCCTATCAAATTACCAATGTCATTTTTCACAGAATTAGAAAAAACTATTCTAAAATTCATATGGAACCAAAAAAGAGCCCAAATAGCCAAAGGATCTAAAACAAAAACAACAAAGCTGGAGGCATCACATTACCCAACATCAAACTCTACTTCAAGGCTAGTGAAAAAGAACATGGCACTGGTGCACAAACAGAAACACAGACCAGTGGAACACAATAGGGAACACAGAAATAAAGCCACACACCTACAACCAACTGATCTTTGAGAAAGCTGACAAAAACAAGGAACTGGGAAAGGAATCCCTACTCAATAAATGGTGCTGAGATAACTGGCTAACCACATGCAGAATGAAACTGGACCCTTAACTATCACCATGTGCAAAAATTAACTCAAGATGGATTAAACACTTAAATGTAAGACCTCAGAATATAAAAATCCCAGAAGAAACCCTAGCAAATACCCTTCAGGATATTGGCCTTGGTAAATATTTCATGACTAAGTCCACAAAAGCAATTGCAACAAAAACAAAAATTGACAAGTGGGACCTAATTAAACCAAAGAGCTTCTGCGCAGCAAAAGAAACTACCAAGAGTAAACAGGTCAGGTGCAATGGCTCACATCTGTAATCCCAGCACTTTGGGAGGCCAAGGCAGGAGGATTACTTGAGCCCAGGAGTTTGAGACCAGCCTGGGCAACAAAGGGAGACCTGTCTCTACAAAAAAATTTAAAAATTATCCAGGTGTGGTGGCATGTGCCTGTAGTCTTGTGCAATCCCATTTACAATAGCCATATGCACACACACAAAATACCTAGGATATATCTAACCAAGGAGGTGAAAGATCTCTACAAGAACTACAAAACACTGTTGAAAGAAACCATAGATGACACAAACAAATGGAAAGACATTTGCAGATCCTGAGGTGGATCACTGAGCCCAGAAAGTCGAGGCTGCAGTGAGCCATGATCTCATCTCACCACCGCACTGTAGCCTGGGTGACAGAATGAGACTCTGCCTCAAAAAAAAAAAAAAAAAAAAAAAAGACATCCCACAGAATGCAAGAAAATGTTCGCAAGCTATGCATCCAACAAAGATCTGATATCCAGAGTCTATAAGGAACTTAAAAAAAAATCAGCAGCAAAAAACAAATATCCCCAATAAAAAGTGGGCAAAGGACATGAACAGACACTTTTCAAAAGAAGACATACAAGGCTGGGAACGGTGGGTCACACCCATAATCCCAGAACTTTGGGAGGCTGAGGTGGGTGGATCACTTGAAACCAGTAGTTTCAGACCAGCCTGGGCAACATGGCAAGACATGTAATCCCAGCACTTTGGGAGGCCGAGGCGGGTGGATCACGAGGTCAGGAAATCGAGACCATCCTGGCTAACACAGTGAAACCCTGTCTCTACTAAAAATATTTTAAAAAATTAGCCAGGCGTGGTGATGGGCGCCTGTAGTCCCAGCTACTCAGGAGGCTGAGGCAGGAGAATGGGGTGAACCCGGGAGGCGGAGCTTGCGGTGAGCCGAGATCACACCACTGCACTCCAGCCTGGGAGACAGAGTGAGACTCGGTCTCACCAAAAAAAAAAAAAAAAGTTGGCCAGATATGGTGGCTCATGTCTGTAATCCCAGCACTTTGAGGGGTGAGGCAGGCAGATCACTTGAGGCCAGGAGCTCGAGACCAGCCTGGCCAATGTGGTGAAAACCCATCTCTACTAAAAATACAAAAATTAGCTGGGTGTGGTGGTGAACGCCTGTAATCCCAGCTACTCGGGAGGGTAAAGCACGAGAATCTCTTGAACCTGGGAAATTGCACTACTGCACTCCAGCCTGGGCAATAAAGCAAGACTGTCACAAAAAAAAAAAAAAAAAAAAAAAAAAAAAAAAAAAAATGCCAATGAGGCATATTCACTTTCATCCATCAGTTTGGGAATTCTTAGTACTGTCGGTATGAGTTGTCAAAAAAGAGAAAAAAATCAGGCATGGTAGTGGGCACTTGTAATCCCAGATATTCAGGAGGCTGAGACAGAAGGGTATCACTTAAGCCAGGAGACCAGCCTGGGCAACATAGCAAGACTCCATTCCAAAAAAGAGAGACAGAAAGATGGTGAAATGCCTAATATAGGTTAAGTGTTTATTAGATATTGGTCAGAGTGAAGCAGAACATCATTAGAAAGACTATAATCTATATCTACTCTGATAAATATGGTAACAGGTCAACGGGGCAAAGACTGTCTAAACCTGTTCTGAGTAGTCTATATAAGGCATTCAAACACGCCCATCATGAGTAGTGCTCTCGCAGCTGATTTATTAAAAAGCATTAATTAATCACAGAATGATTTATATATATATAGAACTCTTTCAACTTATGTACTCCGATTTATTTATTAGAAAAGCACTGGAAAACCATGACTGCACACTATAAATACCACAGGCAAATTTCATATTTTCATAAAGTCATTTAAAAAGACGAAATCTCTTTTTGAATGCTTACTAATAATCATCCACTTAATTTATAGTATAGCCTTTTAATCAGGACATTCTTGAAGGGAGATACTAAGTAGAAGCTAGACCCTAGGGTTTAAAAATTTTATAAATATCTTCCAGTATTATCAAATGCCCACTAGAGTAATTAGAAAACAAGTAAGTGACAATGTCTAGTATTCTTTTTCAAACTACTCAGGCCCCTTTCTTGTGAGATTCAAATACCCTCCCTTCTTTTTTTTCTGACTATACAATAAAAATACAAATGTTTTTAGGGTTCTAATTTTTTTGAACATACAATTTCATTTATTTCTTCCTTCTCTCCTTTTATGATTTTATAAAAAATCTAGTTTTCACCACACAGTATGAGGTGGCAGTGTGAATACCTCAAGTTTGAAAGAATCTTGTGGCAATTCTGTCATAAATCTCTATTTACAAGAATCACTACTTTACTAGTCATGCAAAATGAAAAAGAGCATGTGCATTCACAAAAGATGAGTCCAGGTACATATATATGTACATTAACAAAATTAGAAGAAACACTGTGAGAAATGTTAATTGCCTAAACATTTTTTTCTAAAATGTCCTGTTTAAAAACATTTTACAGCTCACTTTATTGATTTACACATAGTAAGCAATTATCACAAAGAAAAAGGAAATACTGAGTAGGATTTTATTAAGTTACTTTCTAAGCCACATTTACATCAAAGCAGAGCACCAATTCGCATTTTTTTATCCTTTCCTTAGCTTTAGAGACTTCAACTAAAAAGATGTTTTCTCTGTTAAATATCCCCGTCATAGAAGAATTCAAGGAAAAAACAAACACATTTAAACTGCTAATTTGGTGGGTTTTGATGACGACGGAGTTTCCTGGAAACTATGTGCATAAACCACCTGGAAGAGGAATTTAAAAAAAAAAAAACAATGAAAAACCTGGTTTACTAAAAAGACAAAAGTGGCTGGGCACAGTGGCTCATGCCTGTAATCCCAGTACATAAGGAGGCTGAGGTAGGCAGATCGCTTGAGCTCAGGAGCTCAAGACCAGCTCGGGCTACATAGCAAAACCTCGTCTCTACAAAAAAATACAAAAAATACAAAAAATTTGCTAGGCATGGCAGCATGGACCTGTAGCTTTAGCTACTCGGAAGGCGGAGGACGGAGGATCGCTTGAGGCCAGGAGGCAGAAGTTGCAGTGAGCTGAGGTCACGCCACTGCACTCCAGTCTGGGCAACAGAGAGAGATTCTGTCTCAAAAAAAAAAAAAATTACTTCAATTTGTTTTCAAATTGACCACAAAACCTGTTTTGTTTTGTTTTTTTTTTTTTTGTTATATTAAAGAAAGAGTTTAAAAATGCCAAAATAATCAGGCGTGGTGGCTCACTCCTGTAATATCCCAGCACTTTGGGAGCCAAGGCCGGCAGATCACCTGAGCTCTGGAGATCGAGACCAGCCTGGGCAACCTGGCGAAACACTGTCTCTACTAAAAATACAAAAAATTAACTGGGCATGGTGGCACATGCCTGTAATCTCAGCTACTTGGGAGGCTGAGGCATAAGAATCACTTGAACCCGGAAGGAGGAGGTTGCAGTGAGATGAGATTGTGCCACTGTACTAGCCTGGATGACAGAATGAGACTCTGTCTCGAAAAAATAAATAAAAATGCCAAACTGGAGAAAACTAGGTCGTGTCCAGATTAACCTTGCCCCAGCCAGCAAGTTTTGCTTTTTCTTCTGTGTTGGACCGGACTGTCTTCTGCATTTGAGGGGACTTTGCTCACATCTCTTTTAAAGCACTTATTTGGGAGTAGCATAATGACTTTACAAGCCTACCTCTTCCAGGCCACAGCCTCATTTATCTTTGTGTGGTATAGCACATCTAGTCGGTACTATAATAAATGCTAATTCAGTGAACACAACTAGGAAAAATGTCTAGTTTTCAAGCACATTAAATAACTCTTGTTTTGAAAAACTAAACAGAAAAAGAAAGAAGGTCTCTGTTGGTAGAGAGCAAATTAGACTGTAACACAGCAAAATTTATTAACTCTCAGTTATGTATTAACCAGTAGTGTCATGAAAAAATCTTTAGAAGAAACAATACTTGGTAAACTGAAGTTCAGCTCAAAGGGGGCAGGGATGACATTAATACAGATCAGTAATTTCTCATATTCATAATTTTTTTTTTTTTGAGACAGAGTTTCCCTCTGTTGCCCAGGCTGGAGTACAGTGGCGCAATCTCGGCTCACTGCAACCTCTACCTCCCAGGTTGAAGCGATTCTCTTGCCTCAGCCTCCCAAGTAGCTGGGATTACAGGCATCTGCCACCAGGCCTGGCTAATTTTTGTATTTTTAGTAGAGACAGGGTTTCACCATGTTGGCCAGGATAGTCTCAAACTCCTGACCTCAGGGTGATCTGCCTGCCTTGCCCTCCCAAGGTGCTGGGATTACAGGCGTGAGCCACTGCACCCAACCTCATATTCATAATTAAAGGAAAATAGGAAAATTTTATATTGACTTAAATTAATGCTTTTTTTTTTAAAGAGACGGGGTTTTGCTGTTGCCCAGGCTGTCTGCAAACTCCTGGGCTCCAGTGATCCTCCTGCCCCTGTCTTTTAAGTAGCTGGTATTCAGGTGTGCACCGATGTGACACGCTCTCAAATGAATTTTTAAAAATTATTTTTCACAAAATGTACTTTCTTTTAAAGGATCTCTGAACAAAAAGAAAGCATAAATACCACTGAGTTGGGTTAGAAAATGCATTTAAAGTTAAAAGAATAAAGAAAGAGGTATCACTAAGTCACTTCATCTTCACAGAAATTCTGTGAAATGGGTACACTGTGGTTTTAGAGATGAGGAAACAGTGGCACAGAGCCAGGGCTACTGAACGAGGATTTCAGCCAGGATACCACAAGCAGGCAGTGTCACTCGAGAGCTCGAGCTCTGGACCACTAGGCCACATTGGCTTTCCAGAGAAGCATGTGATTTGCTATCTTTATCACAAACAATGAGAGCAAACAGAGGCATTAAAAATGCAAATAAATATGAAGATGAATTTCTTTATTTCCTTTTTATTTTAGAGACAAAGTCTCCTTCTGTCACGCAGGTTGGGGTGCAGGGGCTGTATAACCTTGAACTCCTGGGTTCAAGTCATACCCTTACCTCAGCCTCCCGAGCAGCTGGGACTACAGGCATGTACCACCATGCCTGGCAGGGTCTCTCTATGTTGCCCAGGCTAGCCTCAAACTCCTGGCCTCAAGTGATCCCCATGCTTTGGCCTCCCGATGTGTTGGGATTACAGCTGTGAGTCACAAAGCCTGGCCAAAAATGAATTTCTTGCTAGCCAAAATAGGTAAGGCTCTTTAAACACAACAGCAGGCTACTAAAAAAGTGATTGCAGAATTTTATTCCCCGAACTTCCATGTACCGCTATCCACAGAAAGGAAATGAATCATCTCTAAATATGCCAACATGTTAAGCAAAACTGGTGTGAAAAGTACAGTAAGCCATACTGAGAAGTGTTGCTTCCAATCTTTGAAAAATATTTAAGGCTATATACCAAAAAATAAATAATAAATAATAAATAAATAAATGTTCTACAAGGGTGTACCAAAAAAAAAGAAAAATATTCTTATTCAAGTTTATTATTCCAGCATAAAGCCAGGAAAATATGAAAATATGAAAACAGTCTGCAGTTATCAATTTATCACATAATATACAAATAAATACATTTCTATCAACAGATTTTTTAGTGTATCTTCTCAGTGCTTCAAATGCCTACTGTATAAGATTCCCCTCAGTAATTCAATTATTCTACAACAAGCTGGTCTTTATAGGAGAAGTATTTATTCTTTCAATCTACTTATCAGCTAACTCCCTTTGTTCCTATATTTTAATACAAAAAAATAAGGTTGTTTTTTTTTTGCCAATAAATAGATGTGTACTCTCTACCAAATTACTTTAATCTTTTTGGACCTTAGTTTTCTCATATGTAAAAATTGGGGAGAAGTGCTGGGGGTGAAGAGAGACAGCAAATAGACCAAAAGAACTTGGTAGTTCCCATTCTTTTATTCCTGTAGGGCTGCTGAGCTATTATAAAGTGTCTAGGAATGCACACAAGCACCATGAATTGTCTGTAGACCAAATACAAAAATAGTTTCCACTTTACATACTAAAATTTTCACATGTATGCAGATAACGTGATTTGTAAATACAATTTTATATTAAAATAAAATTTTCAGGTCTACAGAAGCTTATGTTATCATGCCTGTAATCCCAGCACTTTGGGAGGCCAAGGTGGGAGGATCACTCGAGGTTAGTTCAAGAAAAGCCTAGGGAACATAGCGAGACTGTGTCTCAATAAAGAAATATTCTTTATTAGCTGATACTAAATGTAGAGCTACTAGAGCTACTATTATTTGGAGGCATGAACTGTTCAACATTTAAAAAAGGACTCTTGTTCAAGTCCAGCCTGGATAACGTAAGGAGACCCTGTTTCTAAATAAATAAATAAAAAGGGCTCTTATATTTGAAAATGTCAGGAGCTACTAGTATAGACGGTTTCTAAAATCCTTCTAAGTGTAAAAGCTGTAATTTACAGTCCATTATTTCTTTATCCATTATTGAATATAACAGTTAAATGTTACCAGCTGTAATTATCGTAGTTTTTAACAAGTTAAAATTCTTTACAAATCTTAAATAAAAAGCAAGTAAAAAATGTGTTCCAAAGGGTTGTGTGGAAAAAAAAAAAAAGCATGTTAAGAAAAAAAAAGCCAGCTGGATAAATTACTAAGGGTGTGAAAACTGCAATTGATGAAATACTTGTAATATTAAATGAAATGAAGAAGCAAAATTGTTCATTGCAGATGACTAATTTCATATATTGCAAATAAATAATTTCATATACCTCTAAGATAATGACATTCACTAACAAAATGAATAATCTTACTTGAATAAGCATTAGGCAGAATAGTAAAAATCCTCATAGGTTCAAACCTTAACCTACTATTAAGATAGACTGTGAATTCTTTAATTCAAATTACTAAACTAACTAGATTCCTGAAAATGGACATGCAAGAAATCACTGAGAACAACCTACACTATAAGAACTACTAAAAATAGTGAATGTGGCTTGGCATCTGGCTTATACCTATAATCCTAGCACTTTGGAAGGCTGATGCAAGAGGATCAGTTGAGGCCAGGAATTAGAGGTCAATCTGGGCAAGATGGTGAGACCCCATCTTTACAAAATATTTTTAAAAATTAGCCAGGTGTGGTAGCCTGTGCCTGTAGTTCTACCTACTCAGGAGACTGAGGTGCCAGGATCACTTGAGCCCAGGAATTCAAGGCTGCAGTGAGCTATGACTGCACTACTGCACTCCAGCATGGGCAAATGAGTGATACCCTGGCTCTAAAAAAAAAAAACCGTTAATGAATATACTTCTTCTGATACTAAATATGTCAATATTTAGAATGTAATATTCAGTGATTACAACTGTAAAGGCAAAACACACAGAAATAACCACCAATTCCTCTGTAGTTCTCTACTAATTCAATTTTGCATCCTCTGAGACTATATGTCTTTTCTTCTCAAACATCCCACAATGCCAACCACTGTCTCCAGAAATAACTGAATTCTGCTTCATGATCTGCCAACAAAACAGAAGCCAAAAACAGAAGATAGGAATTTGTTACCTTTTGGCTACCAAATCTATCTGCATTTGTGCCTATTTTTTTCCCTTTCCAGAACTGATGAAATGTCTATTTTCCTATTTTAGACAGGTGATCTAAAAGCTACTACTTTTTTTTCTTTTTTCATTCCTTTCATTGGCTCCTTCTTTTAAATTATCAATCTTATCTTCTTTACTAAATTCATTGCCAAAAGATTACAAAAATGCTATAGAGTCACCTAAGCTAAAAAATCCCTTCAAAGACTTTTTATCCTCCTTTAGGTGCCACCCCAAATCTTTGCTCCTCTTCACACCAAAGTTCTTTTTTTTTGAGATAGGTTCTCTGTCGCCTAGACAGGAGTGCAGAGGTGTGATCATGACTCACTGTAACCTCAACCTCCTGGGCTCAAGTGATCCTCCCCTCTTAGCCTCTCAAGTAGCAGAGACTATAGGTGTGTGCCATCATGCCTGGGTAATTAAAAAAATTTTTTTTTGTTGAAACTGGGTCTCACTATGTTGCCCAGGCTGGTCTCAAACTCCTGGCCTCCAGCATTCCTCCCGCCTTGGGCTCCCAAAGTGTTGGGATTACAGGCGTGAGCCACCTCGCCTGGCCCAATAGTCAAATTTCTTGATAAGAGTTATCCACATATTCTACTTTCATTTCTTTACCTCCCATGCCCACCCCAATCTGGAATTTAACATTTTATCACTTTTATCAGAGTCACCGTTAACCTCCATGTAGCCAAATTAAGAAGTCTTCTTGAACTTAACTTCTGGCCTTATCTGATTTAGTTTATTGAATTGCTGCTTTGTTTAAAAATTCAATTTATTTAACTTTTGAACTAGTAATTCAAAGTTACATGCTCAATTTACATGCTCAAAAAGTATAAAAATGAATACAGAGAAAAGTCTCCTATACTATCCACTGAGTTTCTCTCCGTGAGGTAACTATTATTGTTAGTTTCCTTTTCATTCTTCTAGGAATTCTTTTGCGTATGTAAAGCAAATACAATTACATATTCTTATTCTTTCCCCACTTTTACACAAATGGTATTTATTTCACTTAACACATCTTGCAGATTTTTCTATATCATTATATAGTGTCCTCATCCTTTTTAACAGCTTTGTCAAGATATGATTCACATAATATTGAGTTCACAGAGAATGTACCAGCCATATCATATGGTAAGTATACAATTCAGCCAGGCACAGTGGCTCATGCCTGTAATCCCAACACTTTGGGAGGCCGAGGCGGGAAGATCCCTTAAGCCCAGGAATTTGAGACCAGCCTAGGCAACATGGTGAAACCCTGTCTCTACAAAAAGTAGCTGGGTGTGGTGGTGCGTGCCTGTAGTCCCAGCTACTTGGAAGGCTAAGGTGGGAGGATCGCTTGAGCCCAGGATGTCACTGAAGTGAGCCTGAAGTGAGACATAATCGGGCCACTGTGCTCCAGCCTGGGTGACAGAGTGAGACTCTGTCTCAAAAAAAAAAAAGACATAATTCAGTGGTTTTTTTGTATATTCACAGAATTGTGCATCTATCAACACTAATTTCTGAACATTTTCATCACCCCAAAAAGAAATCCCATGCCACACCCAGCCAATGTATCATTTTATACATATGCCAGCAGCAGTACTTCCCAAACTTTAATGTGCACACGGATCAATATAAAATACTATTAGTCCAGGACCAGGTACGGTGGCTCATGCCTGTACTTTGGGTGGATCACTTGAGGTGGATCACTTGAGGTCAAGAGTTCAAGACCAGCCTGGCCAACATGGTGAAACCCTGTCTCTACTAAAAATACAAAAATTAGCTGGGCATGGTGGCACATGCCTATGTAATCTCAGCTACTGGGGAGGCTGAGGTAGAAGAATAGCTTGAACTCAAAGTGGAGGTTGTAGTGAACTGAGATCACGCCACTGTACTCCAGCCTGGGTGACAGAGTGAGACTCCACATAAAAAAAAAAAAAAAAAAAAAAACTCAGCTGGGCGTGGTGGCTCATGCCTGTAATCCCAGCACTTTGGGAGGCCGAGGCAGGCAGATCACAAGGTCAGGAGATTGAAACCATCCTGGCTAACACGGTGAAACCCCCTCTCTACTAAAAATACAAAAAAATCAGCCAGGCGTGATGGTGCGCACCTATAATCCCAGCTACTGGGGAGGCTGAGGCAGGAGAATGGTGTGATCCCGTGAGGCGGAGCTTGCAGTGAGCTGAGATCACGCCACTACAATCCAGCCTGGGCAACAGAGCGAGACTCTGTCTTCTATTAGTCCTTCCTCCTATTACGATAATTAAGCAAAACATCTCAAAAAGCAGCTTAATTGTATATTTCAATTCTCAATTGAATATATATTGTTTTATTTTCACTTTAACTTTTATATTTATTGTTATTTTATTAAAATAAAAGACAGTAATAAAAGGTGAAATGCCATGTTTAATCAGAATTCCTCTCCCTGTGTGGCTGAAATGATGGTAAGGTCATCCTAATTATTTCTATTTTGTTCAACATGTTTCAAGTAAAGCAAGTGACTGAAAACTTCAGAGTGAATATGAACAAATTCCTAATTTAGTGACTATGGAAAGCAAGTAATTGGACTAAGATAAAAGACAAATACACTTAAAGGGCCTCATAAAAAGAATTTCAACATACTTTTTAAAAAGAGTCAACTTTAGACTTCTTTTAATAGCCCACCTTAGTTGCTGGGGATTTTCATGGATACCAACCACCCAGTAGTGATCAGATTTTCCTTTGCAGTGCTCTCTTGTATTACATATAGGAGTCCACGTATTACCAAGTCCTCTGTTAAGCATTCGAACAATTCCTTCTGAATCCACGTAACAAGGGGTACCTAAACACCAACAGAAAAATCACTTGGAGACATAGCTACATGTTGTTAAAGGAACCCTATTTCAAATATATTATACATACCAAGGATTCAACTTTGCTTTCAAAAGCAAAACACAAAACAGAAGCAAATAATCTAAGATTATTACGTAAAATTTCATTAACCATATAAAGTAAGACCTAACTAAAAAAAGAAAAAACATTGGATTTGATATGACTAAAATTTACACAAATAAAGTGAAAAAACTGAGTTTCAGTGAAAACTATGCCACCTGCTGGAAGATAATAATAATTTCATTTATTTATTTATTTATTATTATTATTTTTTTTTTCGAGATGGAGTCTTGCTGTGTACCCAGGCTGGAGGGCAGTGGCGCGATCTCGGCCCACTGCAAGCTCCGCCTTCCAGGTTCAAGCCATTCTCCTGCCTCAGCCTCCCGAGTAGCTGGGACTACAGGCACCCGCCACCACGCCCAGCTAATTTTTTTTTGTATTTTTAGTAGAGACGGGGTTTCACCATGTTAGCCAGGATGGTCTCAATCTCCTGACCTTGTGATCCACCCGCCTCAGCCTCCCAAAGTGCTGGGATTACAGGCGTGAGCCACCGCGCCCGGCCGATAATAATTTTAAAGCCAATTTTAGTAAAAAATTAAACATGAATCAGAAGGCTCCCGCTTGAGAAACATTTAGAAAAATGACCAAAATCTGATACAAAGTGATCTTTACGAAATTTATCTTTAGTACTCTTCTTCCTCTCTCTTCTTTTTGTTGGCCTTGTCACTACTCTGTCCCCAACTACTAGGTAAGCAATTCTTACCTCGTAAAACAGGGAAGCATTCTTGTTTTCCACCTATTCTGCTTCCAACTCAGGAAATCTGTGGCAAATTACCTGATTATCCCTTTTCTTATCTGTGGCTTCACACCCCCCTCACTCTGCAAACATTAGTTTCCGCAGGGTCTGGATCTAATTGGTACTTCGGAGAAAAAAATCTATACAAATGGAAGTTATCAATGGTTCATATTATTAAAGCCTGAATGACTAATAGAAAACACATTTAGAAATGGTTGATATTTTAAAGACAAAGTGGAGTTTCCAGCAATGTAAATGAAGAACATGAATCTCCAAAAAGAGAAATATTTAAGTCCCCATGAGACAGAGATGACAGGTGATTTAAAATAAGGTACTCCTGGGCCAGGTGCAGTGGCTCACTCCTGTAATCCCAGCACTTTGAGAGGCTGAGGCAGGTGGATCACCTGATGCCAGGAGTTCAAAACCAGCCTAGCCAACATGACAAAACCCCATCTCTACTAAAAATACAACATTAGCCAGGCGTGGTGGTATGTGCCTGTAGTCCCAGATACTCGGGAGGCTGAGGTACGAGAATCACTTGAACCCAGAAGACAGAGGTTGTAGTGATCTGAGGTCACATCACTGCAGTCCAGCCTGGGTGACAGAGTGAGACTCTGCGTCAAAAAAACCACAAACACAAAAACAAATAAAATAAAATAAGGTACTCCTCAGTGTCTTTCAAATCATCTGTCATAAGCCTCTAGAATTTGGTCTAAAATAGCACTTATCCAAAAGAAATATCATGTGAGCCACAAGTGTAATTTTTAATTTCCTAGTGCCACATTAAAAAAAAAATGGCTACATACCATGTATCTGAACAACAAAAAAAAGTTAAGTGAAAAAATTTAGGCTGGGGGCGGTGGCTCACGCCTGTAATCCCAGCACTTCAGGAGGTCGAGGCGGGTGGATCACATGAGGTCAGGAGTTCAAGACCAGCCTGGCCAGCATGGTAAAACCCTGTCTCTATTAAAAATACAAAAATTAGCCGAGTGTGGTGACGCAAGCCTGTAATCCCAGCTACTCAGAAGGCTGAAGCAGGAGAATTGCTGGAACCCGGAAGGCAGAGGTTGCAGTAAGCTGAGATCGCATCATTGCACTCCAGCCTGGGCAACAGAGCAAGACTCCTAATTTATTCCTTAAAAAAAAAAAAATTTTAAATAGAGATGGGATCTCACTATGTTGCCCACTCTGGTCTTGAACTCCTGGGCTCAAGTGATCCTCCTGCCTCGGCCTCCCAGAGTGCTGGGATTATAGGCATGAGCCACCATGCCCAGCCAAAAAAAAAATTATTTTTAAAGAAAAAAAGGATGAAGTTAATGTTAATAATACATTTTATTTCATCGAAGATATCTCAAATATTATCATTTAACATGTAATCAACATAAAAAAATTGATTTTTATATCTTTTTTCATGCTAAGTCTTCAAAATCCAGAGTATTTTACACATACAAGCACATCTCAGCCATATTTCAAGTGCTCAACAGACACACATACTAGTTATTGTAGTAAACAGTGAAGCTCTAGAAAATTCTAAGTTTTCTGTATGATCTGCTGGAAAAGACACAACTTATTATTGATTTGTATCACCTCCTTGCTATTTAATACTTTCAGAAAAATATATTTCCTTCTTTATAAGTTTTCTAATGAGAATTCTCATGAAGAGAGCTCTTAGCCGGGTGCAGTGGCTCGCGCCTGTAATCCCAGCACTTTAGGAGGCCAAGGTGGGTGGATCACTTGCGCCTAGGAGTTTGAGACCAGCCTGGGCAACATGGCAAAACCCTGTCTCTACAAAAAATACAAAAATTAGCTAGGCATGGTGGCACATGCCTGTAGTCCCAGCTACTAAGGAGGCTGAGGTAGGAAGATGGCTTAAGCCCAGGAGGTGGAGGTTGCAGTGAGCCGAGATCATGCCACTGCACTCCAGCCTGGACAACAGAGCCAGACCCTGTCTTAAAAGAACATAAAAATAAAAACAAGATCTTATACATAAAACAATGGCTACCTTGCCTAAAGATTGCAGCTCCCAGTTCTGCCAACATATTAAAATAGAAATTTAAAATATAAAATAGAGATAATTTATTCTTAAATTAATTAGGAATAAAACAATGAAATAATTTTCTTCTTGAAGAATATCTAACACTTTATATTATACTTGTTTTTTTTAAACAAATTTATCTTGCCTTCAGCTGAAAACCCAATCCATGCAAGGTAGGATTTCCTTGTAAGAGGAAGAGGGTCACCATGCAAAATTTGTTTTTTCTTTTTCCCCAGCTCTAGCAGTTGAACTCCAAGGCACTGATCCCCATCAAATCCTGTACCTAATGAGAAAATGTAAATATAAATCAGGCATCAAAGGTTATCCAACTATAACGCAGTCTAAATTATTTTCTGTGAATTGATTTTGTGGTAAATTACTAGACTGACTAGCACTACTTTTTATGAATAACCCATCCAACTGAGGCATCATTCAGGTATTAGAAACACAGTAAGATGTTACATGGACTCTTCACATAAAGTCCTTATAAGTGGGCATTTATTCACTCAAGACATATTTACAGAGAGCTTACTACACGCCAGCATTGGCCTAGATACTGGGGCTACAGCAATAAACAAAGTCACCACTCTTATTAAATTCAAATTTCAGGTAGAAGACAAATTAAAAAACACAAAAAGAACAAAAAAATTATCACAAAGTTAAAATAATGTGATACAGAATGTCAGAGTGGTTTGTTAGACTGGTTAGTCAGAAGTGACCTCTCAGAAAGTAAAGTTTAAGCTGAGACATGAACTGCAAGCTGGAGCCTGCCATGCAAACATTAGGGGAAGGAACACGGAAGTGGATGGAGGGAACAGCTAATGCAAAGTCCTAAGGTAGGAAGAATGGAGGGCTCGAAGAACACAAAGAGGCAGTATGGCCAGAACATGGTAATGAGAAACAACGGTAAGAGATGAGGTTGGAGAGGCAGGCAAAGGTCAGATTATACGGGATCAGTAGATCACCTTGACAGCTATCAGAAGTTTGACTTTGATTCTAAAAGTGAAGGAAAGTCAGAGGGATTTGAGAAGAGGAGCATGATCTATATTTTTAAAAGATCACCTAGGCTGCTCTGTGGAGAATGGACTGTGGAAGGCAAGAACTGAAGCTAAAAGACTAGTTAGGAGGCTACTATGACAGTCCAAGAGATGACATCCAGGTTGTATTAGCAGAAGAAATGAAAAGAGACAAATTTAGAATGTGTTATTCCATAGAATTGACATGATGATATAATTTTACTGTTGGAGTTGATGCAGGGGAAATGGAAAGAGAAGAATCGAGGATAATTTTTAGATTTTTGGCTTCAGCCACTAGATTGTTAGTAAGCCATTTACTAAGATGGGGAAACTACATAAGAAGCAAGCTTGGAAGGAAAAAAATCAGTTTTTATTGTGAGCAAATTAAGTCTGAAATGTCTGTCCAAACTCTAAATAGATTTCAAGTAGGCAACTGGATGTGTAAGTCTGGAGACACAAGGAGAGGGTAGGGTTGGTGCTATCAACTTAAAAGTCATAGACACTGAGATGTATTTAAAGCCATGGATTATGATAAAATTCCCCAGGGTGGTTTCTCAAACTGCATATTTTGACCTAAGAGTCATGGAATCAATTTTAATTTGCAACTAGCATTTTAAAAAATGAAATAAAAAAATTTAAACTGATATCAAAAGAGTAAACATTGTCCAGGAGACTTTTATTTCAGTTACATTTGCAGATATTTATAGAACAGTTATATAGAATATATTTCTTTTCTTCTGTTTTTCTTTTAAAAATAGAAACAGGGGCTTGCTATTGCTATCCAGACTTGTATTGAACTCCTGGGCTAAAGCAACTCTCCCGCCTCGGCCTCCCAAAGTGCTGAGATTACAGGTGTGAGCCACCACACCACACCACACCATACCTGGTCCAGAATCTATGAATCTATTTCTTACTGTGGCAAAGCAGACAAAAAGACTGAAAGACCCTGACCTAGAGAGTAGTAGAGAAAAAGGGGATACACTCCAGCTAAAAGATAGAGCCAACAAAAAAGTAAAAAGGGAGCTGCCAGTGAGGAAAAATATTGAAAGTATGATGTCACAGAAGTCATGAGAAGAAGGTATTTTCAATGGAATTATTTTTTTAAAAAAGCACAGAGATTATCGGTTACCTTGATAAGACCAGTCTTAGCATAGTGACGGGGACTGAAGAAAGACATGAGGGGAGGAAAAAGGAGGCAGCAGCTTTTAAAAAGTGTCACATTCAGAGTTGTTTTGGCCCTTCCTACTAGGAGTTATTTTTGTGGAATTTCAACGCTGAAAGTTCTCTGGTCGTGCTTGCCAAAATGGTAAGATTTAGACATGGAAGTAATTAACCAAATTCCACCTTGGAATTCTCTCTATAATATAGTTCTATTAAGAAACATTTTCATTTTCATTGCTGCTAGTGAACACAACAAAATTATCTACATTTAAAGATTACACGGATTCAAAAGGAAGTATATAATCCAAGACAAAAAGAGTAACAAAAACAGCAAAAAAGCTCAAGTAATTTCCATTTTACTTCAAGTCATAAAAGACTGAAAAAAATCTACCTCTGTGATAAACAATGAAAAGCTGTTCTCCATGTCCTGCCATTGACACCACAGGTCCAGCAAGGCTGAATACCTCTTTTTGAACCCCTCCAATAGTAAACAATCGAAGAAGCAGGGCACTAGTAGCGGCAGCAGCCCATCCTTGACCGAGACATATGGCTTCAATATCCTCATTCTGAGGCAAGTCTATTATCCACTCTTTGCTTGAATCCCAAGAACTAAAGTGCAGGCAGTGAAGCTTGCTAAAAATTAAAACAAGACAGAAACAATCAAACTTTCATATGATATTTACATATATATATATATAAGCAATCATGATATTCAACAAAAAAACCAAATAGTTTACTTCCTATTATACACTAGTATAAGAAGTTGCTTTAAAAAAGTAATTATGAAATACCCTTAAAATGAACTATATTGATATCTTTCCAGCCTTTTTTCTTTGCACATACATATATGTAAGTTATTATTAAATACAAATTCTTTTTTTTTGAAATGGAGTTTTGCTCTGTCACCCAGGCTGGAGTACAGTGGTGTGATCTCTGCTCACTGCAACCTCCGCCTCCCAGGTTCAAGCAATTCTCCTGTCTCTTGCCTCAGCCTCCCGAGTAGCTGGGACTACAGGTGGGTGCCACTGCACCTGGTTAATTTTTGCATTTTTAGTAGAGATGCAGTTTCACCATGTTGGTCAGGCTGGTCTCAAACTCTTGAGCTCAGGTCATCTGTCCGCCTTGGCCTCCCAAAGTGCCGGGATTACAGGCGTGAGCCACCATGCCCAGCCTGAAGGATACAAATTTCAAATCACATAGAAGATAGTAAAATCCATGAAGTGTATCAGTACTATAATCAGCTGAAGAAGGGATCAAGAGAGGGCAATCTCTTGATTAACAAAAAGCTGAAAAAATATTTTCTTTTCTTTTGAAAAGAAAAACATTCTGCACCCATTGCTTTCCCATCATAATTTTTTTCTTGACATCTATCTACCTATTTACTTACCTACCTACTTATCAAAACATGTAAACATCCAAAAAATATTAAGTAGAAAAAGCAAACGGGTGACTAGTACATTTTTTGGTTTGTTTTTCCGTTTTTTTTTCCTTTCTCGAAGAGAGATTTTAAATTTAATCCATCATGACAAAAATGTAGATTAATAGTTGGCCAAGGCTCAGGTTGAATTAACTGCAAAGGGATATAAGAAAACATTCTTGGGTGATAAAGACGTAGTGACAAAAATCTAGACTAATAGTTGGCCAAGGCTAGGGTTGAACTAACTGCAAAGGGATATAAGAAAACATTTTCGGGTGATAAAGAACATTCTGTATTTTGATTGTGGTAGGGGTTATCTGTGTATATACACCTTTGTCAACTCATCAAATGGGTGCATTTTATTGTAAATAAATTACATCTCAATAAAGTAAATTAAAATAAGGGAGGTTCAAATAGAAAGAAATCTGGAAGGATACATATCAAATTGTAAATAGCAGTTATATCTGAGAGTAGAATTCTGGGAGGAGTTTTCATTTTCCGAAACTTCTATACTGTATACTGGTTTTTTTTCTTTACAATGAATGTATATTACTCTTATAATAGTAAAAAAAAAAAAAAGCACTTAACAATGTAAAAAAAAAATCCCATCTCTTGCATTACTAACTATGCCATGTCATTTTGCTATGTAGTTAGAGCATGTAATGAGGGAATCATTATGGCAAAAACAGACATATGTTCTGAGGTATTTTGGGTGTGCTGGTGTTTGTACCAAACTCTTCTGAAATTTCATATTACAAAAAATAAATTTTGTTTTATTAACTTTTTGTCTTTAATTTCAACAACTGTATCTAACAGTTCAACAGTGCCAAATTCTTCCTAATAATCTTGAGTTTACCTTGCTAGTTCATCAGTGCTTTCACATGCCAACAAAATAGCTTCGTGGGAAAGATCTGCTATTGTATAATTCAAAGTGTTTGATAAGTGTGTTGCATGGTGTATGGAGGTATCATGGAACTCCACATCTATGGCATTGTCTTGCTCATCATTATAGCAGCGAATAATTCCAATAGAGTTCCACACCTACAAACAGGTAAGATTAAATATAAGTCTGAGAAAAACTGAAGCTCCTAGAATCAGTAAGCCACAGTAGTACAAATTAACAAATATTATAATTAAATTTGTATTAAGATTTAGGTTTTGGGAGTTACTACATCTCATCTATCTCTAAATAGTTTCTGACAGGAGTCATAATACCAGAGCTACAATTACTTATTATTTCCTTGGTGAGAATAAGATACATATATACTTATTAATTAGCAAATAGAGTATTTAATAATATTTAAAAATAAATTACATGACTGTTACTTTAAAAGCACATTACAGTTGTCCTTTGAACAACCAAACCATTAAATTCCTCAAAAGAAATATTTCAAAAATTGAGTTTTCTTACAAATATGGATGCAAATAACAACAGACTTTTTTCCTAACTATTCTATGATAAAATAAATACATACATTTTAAGAAAACATAATTTTTTTTTTTTTTTGGAGACAGTTTTGCTCTGTCACCCAAGCTGGAGTGCAGTGGCATGATCTCGGCTCACCGCAACCTCTGCCTCCTGGATTCAAGTGATTCTCCTCCCTCAGCCTCCTGTGTAGCTGTGGTTACAGGTGCATGCCACCAGGTCCAGCTAATTTCTGTATTTTTTTAGTAGAGATAGGGTGTTTCACCATGTTGGCCAGGCTGGTCTCCAACTCCTATCCTCAAGTGACCAACCCACCTTGGCCTCCCAAAGTGCTGGGATTATAGGCGTGAGCCATCACGCCCGGCAGAGGCAACATAAATTGATACCACTTGGAAAACTTATCTTCCACTGATGTCCATTATAGGCTCACACTAGGCCCTAGAGTTTCTAATAAAATTAGTGCCAATATTTTATTTAACATAACTATAAATAAAATATTGACACTAATAAAAAAATTAAGACCTATGACTTGATGACTACTGATAGCAATAAAAAGTTTTATTAATATTAATCACCACCCTTAATCTTTACATAAAAATTTATGCCAGGCCTATACTCTTCAAATTTATGCCAGGCCTATACTTTTAAAAAGGCAAAATCCTCAGAATGGAAAACATCATATAACCAACACAGAAAAACTAAACTTTTTAAGAACTCAGGCCAGGCGCGGTGGCTCACGCCTGTAATCCCAGCACTTTGGGAGGCCTAGGCAGGCGGATCACGAGGTCAGGAGATCGAGACCATCCTGTCTAACATGGTGAAATCCCATCTCTACTAAAAATACAAAAATTAGCTGGGCATGGTGGCAGGCACCTGTAGTCCCAGCTACTCGGGAGGCTGAGGCAGGAGAATGGCGTGAACCTGGGAGGCGGAGCTTGCAGTGAGCAGAGATTGTGCCACTGCACTCCAGCCTGGGCAACAGAGCGAGACTCCATCTCAAAAAAAAAAAAAAAGAACTCAAATCTAAGGCAAAAAGCCAATATATTCATTTTGTCTATTCATGAAATATATATTTAATGTGCACTGTATCATACCTTGTTCCAAATCCTAAGAACATATCAGTAAACAAAACAAAAATCTTTATCCTCGTGTAGCTTACATTCTGGTGGGTGGTGGAGTGAGGAAAAGGGTCAGACTTTTCCCCCCATAGTACTTGCCACCTTCTAATATATTATACTAGTAGTTGCCTTCTAAGAAAGCACCTCCTTACTAGTGTTTTGGAGTCAGTATAATCTTCTATGTAACAATGACCATGAAGAATAAGGTTTGAAAGTATTGCCAAGAAATATTGCAAGATAGTAATATTTACTTATGTTCATTTAATGTCATTTTGGAAAGCAGAATTTTATTTAACATCATTTTCAATAAGGTTGAAACAAGATTAAAACTGTGAGCTAACCATAAAATAAACCAACCACAAAACTGTAATCAACCAAAGTGCTCCAGGCTACTTAATCAAAGTTTTTAAAAATATGTTTTATCCAAAAAAATTAACTATAGTAAGAAAAAAGTGCTGAAAACCTACTAAGAAGTTAAGTGTAGATCCAAGTCTTACCATGAATCTGTGAGTGAGATGCAACGGTGTAGAACCTGACTGAAATGGCTTTTGCCGGGGAGTTGGCATGGGTCCATCATAAAATGGCCTTTGGGATGTTACAAGTGGTAGATTGTGAATGCTGCCTTCTTGACCATCTTCCTCCTCCTCTTTGAGAAGACTAGAACCAGTTTTTAGCATTGAAATATCTACAACACAAAGGATCATAATTAAGGGAATCACGAATACCAATGATTTGGAAAAAGGAAAGCATTATGGAATCTAGTAACTTTTTCATTCATATTCAATGACACTGACATGCTATTTGCCTCTTTCACTGTGTTAAAGAGATGCAGTGATGGTGCAAAAGCAATGGTGGGTAAAATTCCTGGTGCCTTGGCACCAATCAAGGCAGTGGCACCTAACTGTATTAGTCGTTACTGCATTGTTAACCACTACTCACTTGCAGTAAAAATATTAATTTTATTAAATCTTGACGCTTACACAGATTTTTTTTTTAAAGTTCTGTGTGCTAAAATGAGAAGTGTGATGGTTGTCTTGAAAAAAAGCACTTATGCAATTGTTTGAGTTGTAAGCTGAACTAAGTGATTTTTTTTCATACAACACTACTTTTACTTAAAAAACACATGCCAGATAAACTACGGTTATGCAGAATTGGATCTTTGGCAAACATTTTCTTGTAAATGAATGAAGTGAGCCTATCAATTAAGAAAAAATAACTGGCAGAATTTGTTGCCAATGATAACATTTGAGCTTTCAGGCCAGGCACGGTGGCTCACACCTGTAATCCCAGCACTTTGCAAGGCCGAGGCAGGCAGATCACTTAAGGTCGGGAGTTCCACGTTGACCAGCCTGGCCAACATGGTGAAACCCTGTCTCTACTGAAAATACAAAAATTAGCCAGGCATGGTGGCACATGCCTGTAATCCCATCTACTCGGGAGGCTGAGACAGGAGAATCGCTTGAACCCGGGAGACTCCGTCTCAAAAAAAAAAGAGCTGGGCACAGTGGCTCAGGCCTGTAATCCCAGCACTTTGGGAGGCCAAGGTGGGTAGATCATTTGAGGTCAGGAGTCCGAGACCAGATTGACCTACATAGTGAAACCCCGTCTCTACTAAAATACAAAAATTAGCCTGGCATGGTGGCGGGCACCTATAATCCCAGCTACTCAGGAGGCTGAGGCAGGAGAATCACTTGTACCCAGAGGGCAGAGGTTGCAGTGAACCGAGATCGTGCCACTGCACTCTAGGCTGGGTGACAGAGCAAGACTCCCTCTCAAAAAATAAAAACAAGAAATTTGAGCTTTCAATTAAAAATTAAGATATTGGAAAGCTTCTATTTGCCATTATGAGCTTCACAACTTTCTAATACTTAGAAACTACTGATGAGATTGGTAACAACACTAGCAGATATAATTTACAGCCAGGTGCTGTGACTCACGCTTGTAATTGCAGCACTTTGGGAGGCTGGGGAGGGAATATCACTTGAGGCCAGGATTTCAAGACCAGCCTGGGCAACAAAGCAAGATTCCATCTCTACAAAAAATAAAAAATTAGATGGGCATGGTGGCATGCATCTGTAGTCCTAGCTACCCGGAAGGCTGAGTGGGAGAACTGCTTAAGCCCAGGAGTTCAAGGTTACAGTGAGGTGTGATGATACCACTGCACTCCAGCCTAGGTGACAGAGCAAGATGCTATCTCTAAAAACAAAAATTAATTAATTAAAAACAACATATAATTAATTAAAAACAAAAACAAATAATTTATATTAGATAATAAAAAGTGTCAGTATAAAGAGGATCTATAAACTTCAGTGAACCAATATTATCAATTCATATGTTACAAAATTAAACATGATTTTAAAAAATCCATTCAACATTCAAGTCAGACCAATGAATTTTTTGATTTTATTTTGTTTTTTTCTGAGACAGGGTCTCGTTCTGTTACCCTGCCTGGAGCCCACTGTTGCAATCATGGCTCACTGCAGCCTCGACCTCTCGGGCTCAAGAGATCCTCCTACCTCAGCCTCCCAAGTAGGTGGGATTACAGGCACACGTCACCACACCTGGCTAATTTTTAAAGTTTTTTTGTAGAGAGGAGGTCTCACTATGTTGCCCTGGCTGGTCTTGAACTCCTGGCCTCAAGCAATCCTCCTGCCTGGGCCTCCCAAAGTGCTGGGATTACAGGTGAGAGCCACCATTCCCAGCCAGACCAATGAATCTTAACATAACAGAGCCGTAAGAGTTCACTGAAGTTTTCAGATTACACTTTGCAAGTAATCTTTAGGAAACGATCATCTTCTGAGTCTTGGTGCAACATCAAAGAATATCCACAATTAATTGAATGTGCTATTAAAAGATTTCTTAAAATACTTCTCCCTTTTCAAATTACATATTTATGTGAGGCCAAATTTTCTTTATACACTTCAAACAAAAACAATGTATAGCAATAGACTTAATCCAGAAAAGTAGATGAGAGAATCCAGCTATCCTCTATGATAGACATTACAAAGATTGCAATGCCACTCTTCTCACTAATTTTTTTTGTTTTTCATAAAAAAGTACTATTCATGTTTACATGAGTTTATTAATGTTATTTTTAAGTGAATAAATATTTTTAAATTTCTGAATTTTAATTTCTAATATGTAAATGACGATAGCCGTAACTCTGTATAAATAAATGCTCTCGGAAGGGTCCTCAAAATTTTTTAGAGTATAAAGGCTACTGAGACCAAAACATTTGAGGACTGCTGTTCTATAAACTCTATATGACTTTAAAAAGCACAACATAGCACTGCACATTGGCATTTTACTTGATAATGTTCAAGTGTTATTGTAGCATGTAAGTTGTTACAATAAGCACTCTATTTGAAGATTTTCAATTACAATCTCAATTTCTTCATTTTACTTGATAATGTTCAAGTGTTATTGTAGCATGTAAGTTGTTACAATAAGCACTCTATTTGAAGATTTTAAATTACAATCTCAATTTCTTTAATAGATACAATACTATTCAGGTTATCTATTACTTCTTGAGTTAGCAGTGGTACTTTGTGTCTTTCAGAAAATTCGTCTATTTCATTTAAGTTGTTAAATTTATGGGCACAAAGTTATTCATAATATTGCCATTATGCCTTTGATATTAATAGTAGCACTGCCATACAGACATATAATGTGAGTTACAGCTGTAATTTTAAATTTTCTAATATTTCTAAAGTTTAAAGAGTAAAAAGAAACAGCCATAATCTTAATAATATAGTGCATTTAAAATACATATTATCATTTCAACATGTACTCAATATAAAAAATTTCCCAAGATTTTTACATTCTTTTTTTCATATTGTCTTCAAAATCTGGTTGCACTCCATGGTGAAACCCCATCTCTACTAAAAATACAAAAATTAGCCAGGCGTGGTGGCGCATGCCTGTAATCCCAGCTACTCAGGAGGCTGAGGCACAAGAATCACTTGAATCCAGGAGGCGGAGGTTGCAGTGAGCCAAAATCACACCACCGCACTCCAGCCTGGGTGACAGAGTGAGACTCCGCCTCAAAAAAAAAAAAAAAATCCGGTTGCACTCATAACATATCTCAGTTTGAACTAACCACATTTCAAGTGCTCAACAGCTACATGTGGCTAGTGGCTACTATATATTGGATAGCACAAATCTACAGATCTATAGTGATGGCCCACCTCTCTTTCATTCTCTATGTTAGTAATTTGTGTCTTCTCTTTATTGATCAACCACGATAGATATTTATTAATTTTATTGATCTTTTCTTTTCTTTGGAGATGGAGTCTTGCTCTGTTGCCCATGCTGGCATGCAGTTGACGCGATCTCGGCTCACTGCAACCTCCACCTCCTGGGTTCAAGTGAGTTTCCTGCCTCAGTCTCCTGAGTAGCTGGGATTACAGGCACGTGCCACCACACCCAGCTAATTTTTGTATTTTTGTAGAGACAGGGTTTTACCATGTTGGCCAGGCTGGTCTTGAACTCCTGACCTCAAGTGATCTGCCCATTTCAGCCTCCCAAAGTGCTGGGATTATAGACGTGAGCCACCGTGCCCGGCCTTATTGATCTTGTCAAAGAACCAGCTTTTGGTCTCATTGACTTTCTCTATAGGTTTTCTGTTGTCAATTTTATTGAATTTTGCTCTGTATTATTTCCTTCCATTTGCTTGGGGTTTAGTTTTCTCTTTTTCTAGTCTGCCATAGCAGAAGCTTGGATTATAGATTTGAAACCTTTTTTAACAAAGTCATTTAATGCTATAAAATTTCCTCTAAGCACCACTTAGCTACATTCTACAAATTCAATAATGACTTTAATAGTGTTAATAAAAAATCTAAAATATTAATCAACAGGGTAATCACATGCACAAAGTCAAATTCTTACCAACTGAGTTTTCATCATCTTCTAGGATGTGACTTCGCTGTCTAGGACGACCTGAAGCCATCATGAGGTCTTCATCATCCTCATCATCATTTATAATCCCTTTTGAAAAAGAAGGGATCTCAACTGCATTGTCATTTAGAAAATCACCAGCATTACTCATATCATCTCCATCAAAAAGATCATTATAATCCTTTTCCACTCTGCTAGATACCTTGAACAAATTAATACAAATTATAAAGTAAAAGTGAATGATTTAGAAAAACTCAATTACTAAAAAGGTAAACTTTTAATATGCACCTATAAATTCTACCAAGCAGCAAACTCACTGAACAGATAAGAATAATTAGTAAATGTATTTATGAGAATTGTATTTATATTTACACAATAAGACCCAGTCCTTATTTCAAATGCCTTGTAGTCTGGGGATGGGATGGGAGTATAGGGACTGACATGTAAACAAATACTGTATATGCCAAAATATAAAATAAGATTTTATTCCTCAGAAGTCATTCCCTAGAAAAGAAGTGATATTAATATGATAAAGTCCCTATAAAGTCTGTCATATTGTAAGACAGTCTCTCATTTACTTTTATTTTGAACAAAATACTGCATAAGATACATTTTCTTTATATTATCTCAGTTAAAGTTAGTGTTTTGATACTTATAAAAATAAAGTGATAGAACCAATAGAAAAACAAAGAAGGCAAAGAAATTCTACATAAAGCCCCAGCATGGTGGCTCACACCTGTAATCTCAGCACTTTGGGAAGCCGAAGCAGGTGGATGCCTTGAGCTCAGGAGTTCGAGACCAGCCTGGACAACATGATGAAACCTCATCTCCACAAAAAATTAGCCAGGCATGGTGGCATGTGTCTATAGTCCCAGCTACCTGCGAGGCTGAGGTAGGAGGGTCACCTGAACCTGGAAGGTCAGGGCTGCAGTGAGCCATGATCTCACCACTGCACTCCAGCCTGGGTGACAGAGTGAGACCCTGTCTCAAAATAAATAAATTTTTAGATCATTTCAAAAAGTGAAATGGTAAGCAGATACACTGCAAAGATCCCAAGTTACTCCTATAGGATGCATAAAAACTACAAATGTTAAGCCAATGGAAATTTATAGTTTGGTATAAGTCTAATGAGAACACCATTAACAGATTAAAAAGTATTACATCATAAACTTTTTATTTTCATTTATTTATTTTTTGACAGAGTGGAGTCTCGCTCTGTCGCCAGGCTGGAGTGCAGTGGCGTGATCTCGGCTCACTGCAACCTCCGCCTCCCGGGTTCAAGCGATTCTCCTGCCTCAGTCTCCCAAGTAGCTGGGACTACAGGCGCATGCCACCATGCCCAGCTAATTTTTGTATTTTTAGTAGAGATGGGGTTTCACCATGTTGGCCAGGATGGTCTTGATCTCTTGACCTCGTGATCCACCCGCCTCAGACTCCCAAAGTGCTGGGATTACAGGCGTGAGCCACAGCGCCCAGCCTTTTTTTTTTTTTTTTTTTTTTTTGACACAGAGTCTCACCCTGTCACCCAGGCTGGAGTGCAGTGGCGTGATCTTGGCTCACTGCAAACTTCATCTCCCAGGCTCAAGTGATTTTCCTGCCTCAGCTTCCTGAGTACCTGGGTTTACAGGCCTACACAACCACACCTGGCTAATTTTTGTATTTTCAGTAGAGACGGGGTTTCCCCATGTTGGCCAGGCTATTCTTGAACTCCTGACCTCAGGTGATAAACCCACCTCGGCCTCCAAAAGTTCTGGGATTGTAGGCGTTAGCCACCGTACCCAGACCCTCATAAACCTTTTAAATGGAAGTAAACATAACTGTGCTCTGAAAACTGATGTTTAATAAAATGAGATGAAAAAGTGTTTCTAAATCCATACATTGAAAAATACTTGATATGAGTAAATTAATAACTAAGTGCTATAAGAAGATATTCAACCATTCCATTTATAGTCCTAAAAGTTTGTGTACTCAAGCTGACAAAAAATTGTTTTTGGATTTTCTAATTAAAAAAAATGGGGAGGCCGGGCATGGTGTCTCATGCCTGTAATCCCAGCACTTTGGGAGGCCGAGGTGGGCAGATCACGAGGTCAGGAGATCGAGACCATCCTGGCTAACACAGTGAAACCCCGTCTCTACTAAAAATGCAAAAATTAGCCAGGCGTGGGGGCACAAGCCTGTAATCCCAGCTACTCAGGAGGCTGAGGCAGGAGAATCACTTGAACCCGGGAAGCAGAGGTTGCAGTGAGCCGAGATCGCGCCATTGCACTCCAGCTTGGGCAACAAGAGCGGAACTCCGTCTCAAAAAAAAAAAATGGGGAGGCCAGGCACGGTGGCCCATGTCTGTAACCCTAGCACTTTGGGGGGCTGCGGTGGGTGGATCACCTGAGGTCAGGAATTCAAGACCAGCCTGGCTAACATGGTGAAACCCTGTCTCTACTAAAAATACAAAAAATTAGCAGGGCGTGGTGGTGGGTGCCTGTTATCCTAGGTACTTGGGAGGCTGAGGCAGGAGAATCGCTTCAACCCAGGAGGCGGAGGTTGCAGGGAGCCACCATTGCACTCCAGCCTGGGCAACAGAAGGAGACTTTGCCTCAAAGAAAAAAAAAAATTTTTAATGGAGGACTGTGCCTCATATTTATGATGAAGGCGATAAAATGTTCACAGATGTGAAATTAGCCCAGCTAATTTTTGTATTTTTAGTAGAGACGGGGTTTCGTCATGTTGGCCAGGCTGGTCTTGAACTCCTGACCTCAGGTGATCCACCGGCCTCGGCCTCCCAAAGTGCTGGGATTACAGCCGTGAGCCACCGTGCCCAGCCAAAATTTTTTTTCTTAATTCACTTTTTGTTTTTACCAATGTTACACATGCATATATATTAGTTAGGCAGTTTTACAAGGCGTGCTATGAAAACAGTCCTCTCCACAGCCCCAATTTACTTCTCTACAGAATAAATCCTTCCAGCTCTTTTAGTTGTTTCTTTGCTACTTCTTCCATACCTGTAAATCATATTCTAGTAGAATTTTTTTTTTTCACTTTTAATCATTGTGTTTAACAGATCCTATTAACTTCCATCTATGGCAGATGAGGATCTGGTACCCTTTCACAACCACCCCAACCGCCATGCTTGCATGTACACTACTCTCCGACCCCAATTCTCCCAATATAGATAGATATATCCTCCTTGTGGTTCAATCAATATACAGTATTTAGGTTATTAAGATCATGTAAATGCTATTCATGGCTGAATAATAAAAATAATAGCCAACACTTATAAAGTATGCCAAACTTATGAAGTGTGCTAGACACTGTTCTAACTATACATAATTCACTTAATCCTCCCAATAACCCCAAGTGGTTGGCATTATTCCTATCTTTTTACACATACAGTATATTATGATCACTGTTCCTTTCTTTTACAACTTTTTGTCTTCCCTGGAGTTAAGAAACTCTCTCTTTACGTCTTTTCTCTTAGACAAATTCCCCAAAGATGATTTTTCCAATCTCCTGCCTGAAATGCATAAGAATGGCTGACAATGTTCTGGGAACCTACTAGAAGTGAGATGATCATTTCAACATTCAAGTATCTAATCTTTCATTTAATCCTCTGTTTTCAGTACAGTATTTCCCCCTTACCCAAGACCACTCAACTGTAACCAGTGTCCCTAGACCAAGGACAGTCTATTTCATCTTTTCTAAAAAAACAAATCTCCAACATTCTGCCAGAATGCATGTGAAGATGGGGGAGGGCAGGTACCCAGCTTTGAACACAGATGTTGAGACTAGAACACTCTATGTGCTTATTAAATCACCTCTCCTGTTTTCAGCCCCACTTCTAGAAGCACCTAGTGCTACCAAATTCTGAATCTCTGGGGATTCAGTGAGGCAAACTGAGTAGCACCTCAACTTCCAGAAACTACAGTTTTAGAATTCAACTTTTTGAGAAGCTGAAGTGAGTTTCTCATCATCCTTCTATTTTCTAGCCTCCACTTTTTTATTTTTATTTTTTAGATGGGGTATCACTGTCATCCAGGCTGGAGTGCAGTGGCACAATCACGGCTTGCTGTAGCCTCAACCTCCTGGGCTCTAGTGATCCTCCCACCTCAGCCTTCTGAGTAGGAGCATGAAACTACAGGCACACACCACCACACTTGCCTAATTTTTATTTTTTAATTTTTTGTAGAGATGGGGTCCCACCATGTTGCCCAGGCTGATCTCAAACTCCTGGGCTCAAGCAATCCTCCCAAAGTGTTGGGATTACAGGTGTGAGTCACTGCAGCAGAGCTCAAAATTATTTTTATAATCATCCCTTCAACTGACTTCTTTAACCTTATGGGATTATGCATTTAAGAAAATGCCTTTAGTATAGTTTTTGTGGGGGTTTCAGGAGGGACAGCTATAAATGCATGTATTAAGTCTGCAATCTGTAACCAGAAGTCTAAACTAAGACTTGAATATAAATAGGTACATCTGCCAGGCAGGGTGAATAATGAACAAAAGCAAGAAGGTATAAAACAAGGTGCCTGTTTAAAGTTGCTCAGTAAAGCTGTTTGACTAAGCAGAGGAGGTGTATAGGTAGTTCTAAGAGTTAAGGCTAATTCAGAGTAGAAACAGTTTGCAGGCCAAACTGAGACCTGATACAAAATAGTATTTAATGAAAGGTATTCCTTGGAAAGGCATTATATGGAGAGAAAAAAGTTTCTTAGTAAAATACACTTGGGAGACATCAGGTTGAACAAGTAAGAAGTTTTCTTACTATAGATTACTACTCAGCATCTACTATAGTAACATGAAAGGTAATTTTCCAAGAAAGTAAGGCAGTTTGTGGTGTCTTCCAAATCCATATGATCACAGAAACATTTTGAAGAAACTGTTGTACCATACTCCCTTTTACCTTACTGCTTGATGTCTTTCCACTGGGGTCACAAACATTCTCTAGAAGCCCTAGATTTCCTTCCGCATCAGTATACGATATTCGACCACAAGTAGGATGCCATGCCAGACCACAAATTGCATAACCTTTCTCATGTTTCACCCTAAAAATTAAAAAGTAGGTTCTAAAAATACTGTCAAGAAAAATATAAATTGTACATTTCTTTAGGTAAATTTTAGTTAGGAAAGAATAAATGACTTTTGACAATAATTTATAAATAATATAAATTTAATTATACTTTCATTCTGACAATCTGATGGCAAATTTGAAATGTTTCAAAATAAAACAAATACAAAACTAATAGAGATGAGCAAAGAAGAGACAAAAGATACACTAAATCATACCTTTCCATGCAGTCTTTGGTTTCCACATTCCAAACTATGATTAGACCATTAATACTACCTGCAGCTAAATATTGCCCACAGGGAGACCAGGTTACTATATTGAGGGTCTGTAAAGAAAAACAGTTAATAAATAATGATTTTGTAAAATTTCAAACTAAATACTCATTTTATTACCAAATTCAATTTTCTTTTCATTTTTTTTCAAGAATTTGGAGGGGAATCAACCAAATTCAAATTTTTATATCCCTGTTCTATATTATTTCTAATTATATTCGATACAAGACAAAGTTTGCTTATTTTCTAACCTCACTTTTCAATAACATTCAAGTATCACTACCAGCTATTACTTTATCATGAAAAAAATTATACTGGCACCATTTTATTTTATTTTTAGAGTCAGGGTCTTGCTCTGCCACCTAGGCTGCAGTGCAGTGGCACCATCATTACTCACTGCAACTTTCAACTCTGAAGCTCAAGCAATCCTCCTGCCTCAGCCTCCCAGGTAGCTAGGGCTACAGGCATGCACCACCACACATGGCTAATTTTTTAGTATTTTTTGTAGAGATGGAGTCTTCTTTTGTTGCCCAAGTTGGTTTCGGATTCCTGGCCTCAAGCAATCCTCCTGCCTCAGCCTCTCAAAGTGCTGGGATTACAGGCATGAGCCACTGTGCCCAGCCACTGGCACAATTTTCAAAGCAAAACCTAAAAAATGTTATTATCCTAGAAAGAGAGACAATTCAAGACATCCTCTTAGCATTCACAATCAAGATGAAGAAAACTAGTAAGTGAAGTGAACTTTAGTAAGCCATTGCTGACCTACTGGGCTTATGTTTCCTTAACTGTAAATATCTACGCATGTAAGAGACAGAGAAAACAGACCAACAACCTTTCTTCCTCTAAAATTTCAGAGTCCATGATCACAAGTCTCAGTGAAACTCACTTAACAATAAAGGCTAACTACTGATCATTTTAGAACAACTTGTTCTAATACTATGCAAGGGTTAAATCTGACTTCTTATAACAAAGACCTATTTAGTATCCAGTTATTGATCAAATGAAGAAAGGATGAGCTGTTAGAAGATGGACCACATACAACAGCCAGGAGTTGTTTTCCATTCCAATAATATTTAACTGCAACTGTATTCAGGCAAACTACGCATTAACTGCTCCTTATAGCCCACTGAAAGTGTCACTTTGTAAAACCTACCTGAGAGATGAAATTATCTGAAAGATCAAATTGATGACTCCAAGATTCTCTTCTATATAGCTTAACAGATTTTTCCACAGGAATTGCCAGTAACTATTAGAAAAGATAAACAACGTAAACAAAAGTTTACATTAAATTGAATTTGAAGAAGGAAAAAGGCACAAAATTCATTCAGATATATTTACAAGACATAAAAGCAAATTAGTTTTTATTGTTTCTGTTTTTAAGAGACGGTGTCTCACTATGTTGCCCAGGTTGGTCTCTAACTCCTGGGTTCAAGGGATCTTCCTGGCTCAGCCTCCTAAGTAGCTGGGACTACAGGCATACACCACTGTGCCAGGCGCAAATCTGTATTTTAATTGGCAACTAATGAAACTCAGAACATTACTTAAAACTTCAATAAGCAAAAAATAGGTGATAATTTGTCATGGGAAGAGAAAAAAATAAAGGTGATCACTCTATTGCTTGCACCCAAAAAATGGAGAACTTGTAATTACTAGTACTTTAAATATGATTACTTTTTTTTCCCCCAAGAGACAGTCTTGCTCTGTCACCCAGGCTGGAGTGCAGTGGTGTGATCACAGCTTACTGAGCCTCAAACTCCTGGGGTCAAAGGATCCTCCTGCTTCAGCCTCCCAAATAGCTAGGACTACAGCCCAACTAATTTTTTTCCTGTTTTTTTGTAGAGATGGGGTCTCACTGTGTTGCTCAAGCTGATACTGAACTCTGGCCTCAAGTGATCCTCCTGCCTCAGCCTCCCAAAGTGCTGAGATTACAGCGTGAGACACCATGCCTGACCTTCAATACTACTTCTTAAGGAATCTAGGTCCTTCTGATATAAAAATTCCTCCCATTTGTTTGAGGAAAATAAAGACAGAATCCTTCAAATATCTTGAAAAACAAGAAATGTATCTTCTTATGCATTATTCTGAAGAAACTGATTAGTAGAAAAAATAAAACTGTGTATTCTTTCCATGATTATCCAAAAAAGGATTAGTAACATATAATAAAAACTTTATTTTAAAAAATTTTTAAATTAGGTTTTTTTGTAAGCAAAGAAAAAAAATACATACTACATTTCCTTGAGCTCAATTATCACTTAAATCTAGAATGTACATTGTTAAAAGTTCACATGGGCTGGGTGTGGTAGCTCAGGCCTATAATCTCAGCACTTTGGGAGGCTGAGACAGGCAGATCACTAGAGCTCAGGAGTTTGAGACTAGCCTGAGCAACATAATGAGACCCTGTCTCTACAAAAAATAAAAAAATTAGCCAGCCATTGTGGGCGCGTGCCTCTAGTCCCAGCTACTCGGGTTGGGGGCTGAGGTGGGAGGATGAACTGAGTCCGGGAGGCAGAGGTTGCAGTGAATCGTGATCATGCCACTGCACTCCAGCCTGGGCAACAGAGTGAGACCATGTCTCAAAAAAAAGGAAAGAAAAAATAATTTTAAAAGCCAATTGTGTATATATGTATAAAAAAGAAAGAAAAACGAACTATATATATATAGTTGCCCAGGCTGGAGAGAAGTAGTGCCATCTTGGCTCACTGCAACCTCTGCCTCCCAGGTTCAAGCAATTCTCCTGCCTCAGCCTCCCGAGCAGCTGGGACTACAGGCGCACACCACCACGCCTGGCTAATTTTTGTATTTTCAGTAGAGACGGGGTCTTATCATGTTGGCCAGGCTGGTCTCGAACTCCTGACCTCAGGGGATCCACTCGCCTCAGCCTCCCAAAGTGCTGGGATTATAGGCGTGAGCCACTGTGCCCAGCTACCAACTGTATATTTTTTATGTACACTGTCTGCTCATGTCTTTGCTCATCTTTCTAATGGGTTTCTATTGATTTGTAAGAATACTTTGCACACTATGGAAATTAGCTCTGTTTTATTGTTTCAAATTTTCTTCCCCAGTTTGTCATTTGTACTGTGACTAATATTTTGTACCATGCAAAACTATTTACTTTTTATACAATCTACTTTATTAATTTTATTTCCTGAAAAATTTCAAAAGAATAGAAAAGTTGAAATAATAATATAGTAAATACCTATATATAGACTCATCATGTAGAAGCAAGCTTCCAAGATGGTCCTCAAAGATTCCCACTCCACTTCCTGGTATTCATATCCTTGTGCTAATACATTTGCTAAATCTCCTTTTCTCTACCTTTATATACACTAACTTTCCATATACATTTGGTTCTATTTATCTCTTTAACAGGTATGTGTCTATTCATAACTCAATAGCAAACTTATAATTCTCATAACTTTATGTTTTATTATCTAACTGAATTATTTGCATCACTTTTCTTTTTCAAAACTTTTCATTTTCCACATGGACTTTCCCTTTTTTTTTAGCAACCAATGTTTATTTTCTTTTTTTGAGATAGAGTCTCGCTCTATCACCTGAGCTAGAGTGCAGTATTGTGATCTTGGCTCACTGCAACCTCCGCCTCCTGGGTTCAAGCAATTCTTATGCCTGAGACTCCCAAGTAGCTGGGATTACAGGCATGTGCCACCATGCCCAGCTAATTTCTATATTTTTAGTAGAGACAGGGTTTCGCCATGTTTCCCAGGCTGGTCTTGAACTCGTGGCCTCAACTGATCCACCTGTCTCAGCCTCCCAAAGTGCTGGGATTATGGGCGTGAGCCAGCGAGCCCGACCCAATGTTTATTTTTCATCAACCTTATTTCCATGTTGCTTAAGAGCCTGTGCAAGAACAGCTTAAGATCACTCAGTGGTTGTTCCTATGCATTCAGTGGTCTGAGCAGTGGGGAGCCGCAGACCAGTCTTCTGTGGCAGGCTGAGCACTCCAGTTTTCAGGAGGGAACTGCTAAATAGGCACAGAGGGCACCTGCACACCATCAGACCAGTCTGCAACCTCAGGTTGAGGAGCACCGAACTCAGGAGCTGGAGTAGTCCATTCACCCTGAAATTCCTCCTTGGTCACAGCCTTTTCAGCAGCAGGCTGCTCTTCTTTTTCAATCTCCTCAGGAACACTGTAGAAGTAGAGATCAGGCATGACCTCCCACAGGAAATGGTGCCACACATGCGAACTTCCTGGATCGGCATCCACCACATCAATCCCACTGAGTGAGCTCCCTTGCTGTTGCATGGGATGGTAGTGTCCACATAGCACAGAGGAAAATCTGTGTGACACAGAGCAATGGTAGGTACGTTAACATAAGATGCCTCTGTGAGAGGCTGGTGATCAGCACTGGGATTAGTCACCATAAGAAGCTGTGGCTCCTAAAAGGCTGCCTGGATCTGGTTAATGAAAGTTCCAGGAGTGAAGCAGCCAGCAACTGGAGTGACTCCAGTGGCAGCAGCAAACTTCAGCATGGCCTTCGGACCAGTATTCCTGGATGATATGACACTGACATTGAAAGAGTTTTCAACAGCAACAATGGCACAAGCTCCCAGGAGAAGCTTCTCCCAGGTCCTCTTCAGATTTATGATGTAGATGCCAACACTTTTCCTTTTATAGATGTACTGTCCCATCTGGAAGACAAAGCTGGTGCTACCTAAGTGGGTTCCTCCTGCAAGGAACTTAAGGACATCCTCCTCCTTCATTTGCAGGACATAGAGGTTCTAGACATTGTGAAAGTTTCCCTTTAAGTTACGATGGGAATCCAGAACAACATCATAAGGATCCTTCTCTGGGTAGTGCAGAAAGCCCTCATGGGCTTTAGAATCAGCTCAATTTGGTCCTCCTAGACATCTTATTGGTACTTTATTTTACTTTGTTTTCTTTTTTTTTTCCTTAGAGCCTTCAGATGAGACATTTTATTTTTAAGGCAGGGTTTTGCTTTGTTGCCTAGGCTGGAGTACAGTGACAAGATCATAGCCCACTGCAGCCTTAATCTCCTGGGCTCAAGTGATACTCCTGCCTCAGTCTCCCAAGTAGATGGGACTACAGGAATATGCCACCACACCTGGCTAATTTTCATTTTTTTGTGGAGACGAGGTCTTGCTATGTTGCCCAGGCTGGTGTCAAACTCCTGAGCTCAAGCGGTCCTCCTGCCTCAGCCTCCCAAAGTGCTGGGATTATAGGTGTGAGCCACCACACATAGGCTGTTGTTTTATATGTGAATGTTATCAAAACTATAGATTAATTTAGGGAAGAACTGACATCTTTATTTATATCAAATAATTCCTTTCTAAGAATATATGTTTCTATTTATCCAAGTCTTCTTTTACTTCTCTTGGTAGCATGTTAAAAGTTTCTTTATATAGATCTTTCACATTTCTTGTACATTTAACCTGTTACTGTATCTTTTTCAATTTAAAAGTAAATGCATTATTTTTCCTACATGCTTTCTAAATGGCTATTGTTTGTATACAGGATAACAATCCTGTATTTGTATAACAATCCTGTATACAAACAATTTTGCTTCCAGTTACCTTACTAAATTTTCTTATTAGTAGTAATGATTTTCTTCCCCAGTTGATTTTCTTGGGATTTACTCATATACAAACATTTCCTTTGCAAATAATGAACATTCTCTTTCTTCCTTTCAAATTTCTCATATCTTTCTGTTGTCTAACTGTATCAGTTAGTACCTCCAAAATGTTAGGTACTAATGGTGAGAATGGACATAATAAGACTGTCTCCAGAGTTGTTCCATTAAGCATGAATGTGAACAAAAATATAAAATTAATTCATTCATGCAAAATTTATACTTCAAAATGAATCTTGAAAAAGTTCAAATGTTTCTTAAAGCATTTCAATACTAATTATTTGGCTTGGTACTCTAAAATTTATAATCCAAATTTTTAAAAAGTAATTAAAAAAACTATTTTTACACTCAAAGTTGAAAAGGACTGAATAAAACAAAGGTTAAAAATAAGAATCATGCCAGGCACGGTGGCTCACGCCTGTAATACTAGCATTTTGTGAGGCTGAGGTGCGTGGATTGCCTGAGCTCAGGAGTTCGAGACCAGCCTGGGCAACACGATGAAACCTCCTCTCTACTAAAAATACAAAAAATTAGCTGGGCATGGCAGTGTGCACCTGTAATCCCAGCTACTCGGGAGGCTGAGGCAGGAGAATTGCTAGAACCTGGGAGGCAGAGGTTGCAGTGAGCCGAGATTGCACCACTGCACTCCAGCATGGGAGACAGAGTGAGACTCCATCTCTAATAAAAAAAAAAAAAAAAAAGAAAAGAAAAGAAAAATAAGAATCACTTACCTTCCCACTTTTTGGCTGCCAAGCAAGTCTGCAGATTGATTTTGCATTTATCACATCGTTGCATTTTTGTAGCAGTGGCCAACTAATAGCACATGTCTAATTGGTAAAAAAAGAAAATTTCTTTCCTTTATGAAAATCCCCCCCAAAATATATGCAGAACTGAATATATTTAAAGGTTCTTCAAATCAATATATATCTCAGAAAAATGCAACTTAATGCACCTTAATTATAATAATACCTGATATACCTAAACTGCTTTAAGTCCTTCAAAGGTATGATGAGTACAAATCTTAAATAACTAGAGTATTTTCTGTGCAGAATAAACAAATGATATACTCATTGAATAATCATACACACATACACAAAACCCCAATACGTGAAATTCTTAGAATGACTACAAAAATAAAACTTCAATGGTCTACTATAAAATGTTAAAGTGTCAAAGTCGCTTCTTTTAAATAGCTCAAGAATGAAGGGAAGGAACTGTGGATATTAAGGCATATTTGTGGAGGATATTTCTCTAGTCAATTACATTCATATTCTCTCTAGAAATGCCAAGCCATCTTGGATTGCCTTGGGCAGACTTAACTGTTCCCTCTGCCAATCTGGAGAACACCTTATTTCGTACCTCCTTTAAAACCTTTATTAGGCTGCATTTGAATAAACTGTATATGTGACTCTCCAAATCAAATGTGACCCATAATTTTTTATCCCCAACCATCTAACCCAAGGCCCAACGCATGGTCATTACATTGTAAATATAAAATAACTGAATTTATTCCCTTCATTTACAAAACTTAAAAAGTTAAATATAAGATTATCATTCCCCTTGTGATTAGGTAAAAATGCAATTAGTCTTCAACGTATTTATTTGGCACTAGAATACTGTGGACTTTGATCACAAAAACAGTATTTAATGGTACCAAAGAAACAAATTCCAAAGAAAAGCAATTATTAATTTGGCCCAGTAATACGACATATAACAATTTATTACAGAAATGGGCAAAAAACTTTAAATTTAAATTGCTGAGTTTACCTGATCTGAAATTTGCCACACTCTGACAGATCCATCACAACTAGCTGATGCCTGCAGGAATAAACAATACATTTCTCTATAGTCATAGCCATAATACTACATGGAAAGTGGTTCAATTAATTAAATCAAAAAGCCCTTTTATCAACTGGGTGAAATTTCCTGCTAACTCTCTTACTGAATAAAACAAAGGTTGAAAAGTTGAGTTAGCAGAAAATTTTTTAGAGAGTTAGTAGGAAATATATTTTTAAACATATTCAGGAAAAACACAAAAAGAGAAGGAAAAAATAATTACCAGAAAGATGTCCTTAGGATCAAAGGAAAGACTTAAAACAGGGGCATCATGTCCTCGAAATGTTTTCTGTTGGCTGCTATCCATCACATCCACAATTTTGACTAGAAAATCACTAAGAACAAAAAGAGTAACGCAAATGAATAAATGCTAACACAAAGGCCTCTCCTAAAAGCTATGATCCAAATATTTCTTTTTTTTTTTTTTTCTTTTTGAGACGGAGTCTCACTCTGTCACCCAGGCTGGAGTGCAGTGGTGCGATCTCAACTGCAACCTCCGCCTCCCAGGTTCAAGCGATTCTCCTGCCTCAGCCTCCCGAGTAGCTGGGATTACAGGTGTGCACCACCATGCCCAGCTAATTTTTGTATTTTTAGTAGAGATGGGGTTTCACCATGTTGGTCAGGCTGGTCTTGAACTCCCGACCTTGTGATCCGCCCACCTCAGCCTCCCAAAGTGCTGGGATTACAGGCATGAGCCACTACGCCTGTCCAAGTATTTTAAAATCACAAAATCTTTATGGCAACTTATAAAATTTGGCACCCAAATTTAATGGCTTACCTTTTAGTTTTGCTCTATAAATATGTTGAAAACACAAGTCAAGATTTCCCATTATGCTAAAATACAAACACTTCCTAAATGGCTTCTTTAGTTACATCTTAAGCTTCTATTATTTGCTAATCTAATTATAGCTACAACCATTTTTAAAAGTACTATACCTTTCACTTCACCTCAGCAATTCAACCAACTATATTGTTTTCCTATGACAAAGAAGCATCAAGAGAAACTCCAAAATATTCTGACTGTACAGCCCAAGTTCTAAGTAAAATAATTTTTTTTTTTTTTTTGAGACAGAGTTTCACTCTTGTTGCCCAGGCTGGAACGCAATGGCGTGATCTCAGCTCACGCAACCTCTGTCTCCCGGGTTCAAGCAATTCTCCTGCCTCAGCCTCCCAAGTAGCCGGGATTATAGGCACCCGCTACTATGCCCAGCTCATTTTTGTATTTTTAATAGAGACGAGGTTTCACTGTGTTGGCCAGGCTGGTCTTGAACTCCTGACCTCAGGTGATCTGCCCACCTTGGCCTCCCAAAGGGCTGGGATTACAGGCATGAGCCACGACGCCAGCCCTAAAATAATTTTTTTAAATTTTCCATCAAGCTATGCTTTCAGTATTATAAAATAGGCCATCTGCCCATCTGCAGAGCAGTATATTTCTTTCCTTTTTTTCTTTTTTTGAGACAGAGTCTCACTCTGTCGCCTAGGCTGGAATGCAGTGGCACCATCTTGGCTCACTGCAACCTCTGCCTCCTAGGTTCAAGTGATTCTCCTGCCTCAGCTTCCCGAGTAGCTGGGATTACAGGCACCCGCCACCACACCCAGCTAATTTTTTGTATTAGTAGAGACGGGGTTTTGCCATGTTGGCCAGGCTGGTCTTGAACTCCTGAGCTCAGGTGATCTGCCTGCCTTGGCCTCCCAAAGTGCTGGGATTACAGGCGTGAGCCACCACAACCGGCCAAAGCAATATATTTCAATTCAAAAAGAAGCCCAAGTTTGTCCTCAAAAACCTTTACTAGATAAAAGAATATATGAAGAAACAACAAACAACAAAAAATTAAGTCACGGTCCTGAAAACACTACCCTGAAACAAATAAACAAGGCCTTTTGTTCTAACATTATTTCCTTTTCTGATGTCAAAGAGCCTTACCTAGATCCAGCAGCAATTTTAGTACCATCCCCATTAAAGACCACATGGTTTGCATTTGTAGTGAAGCGAGTCAATATACCATCTGGAACTCCTTCAGGAAATGTGTGGACTTGAATAGTATTATTAGAAACTGCAGTGACCAGTTTTCCACTCTAAAAGAAAAATTAAGGTAAGAAACATTAGCAAAACAAATCCAAATGACTGGGAGTCTCTCCATAGTTAAAAATCCGGTAAAAAACAAAAAACCTTAAAAATCTAGTTCATATCAAGAGAAAAATTATCACTAAATGTACAACTTTGCTGGAATGTGCATTAGCAAGAAAAATTTGCTAGCTTTAGAAAAATTAATTCTACCTTAAGCAGCCTATCTCTTAGCCTCTAATTTTTCTTTTACTTCTGGTAAGAAAAATGTTTGAATAGTACTTCTATGGATCCTAAGTGTTATAAAAAGGAAGGAGACTCAAGAGAGCTTTTCAGAGAAAACAGAGCTAGTCTCAAAATGAGGAGAAGGCATCAGAAGGCACGGCCACAATGGCCACTGCCCTATGTTTCCACAACAAAAGACACATCACATGTCTTTTTAGAGTAAAGTCTAAATGCAGCATCCATGCCAGAGACTGCAGTGATATACCTACAAGGCAAGGAATGTTGAGGATTGCCACACCACCAGAACCCAGAAGACAGGAATGGAACATATTCTCCCTCAGAGCCTTGGGAAGAGCCAACCATGACGACACCTTGATTTCAGACTTCTTGCCTTCTGAACTGTGAGATAATTTTCTGTTGTTTTAAGCCACCAACTTTGTGGCAATTTGTTACAGCAGCCTTAGTAAACTAATACAAGACCATGTTTACTTTTTCCTCCTTTACAGTCTTCTTCATATACAAAGGCAGTACATGCTCACTGAACAGAAAAAAATGACAATATGAAAGTATTGGGGCTGGGTGTGGTGGTTCACACCTGTAATCCCAGCACTTTGGGAGGCCAAGGCGGGTGGATCACGTGAGGTCAGGAGTTCGAGACCAGCCTAGCCAACATGGTGAAACCCCATCTCTACTAAAATTACAAAAAAATTAGCCAGGCATGGTGGTGGGCAGCCAGCTGTTTGGGAGGCTGAGGGAGAAGAATCACCTGAACCCGGGAGGCGGCGGTTGCAGTGAGCTGAGACTGCGCCATTGCACTCCAGCCTAGGCAACAAGAGTGAAACTCTGTCTCAAAAAAAAAAAAAAAAAAAAAAAAAAGTATCCTGAGCAGAGGGTGAGTTCCTTATTTTATGAATTAATCTCCATTAACATTTTGGGGTTAAGTCTTCTTAATTTTGTTATATTCGTGTGTGTGTTTGTGTGTATATATATATGTATTTATTTATTTTAACAAACATAAGATTACACTATATTAACTGTTCTGAATCTCATTTTTTTTACTTATTGTAAACTTATTTTCAACTTATTATAAATATATTTTCTGATGAAAATAGATACCCTACTTTTATAATGGCTGCATAGTATTCCATTATATGGCTCCACCAAAATTTATAAACTAACTTCTCAATTGAAAGACCCTTCAATTGTTTCCGACATTTGCTATTGTTATGAATTGTGCTTTTACTATCCTTTTCCACATAAACTTGAAAATAGCCAGAAATGACTGTGTACATTCTAATTTTAATACACGGTATCAATTTGCTCTAAAAAAAAAAAGTTTCTCACTTATGTATCCAGCCACTATGTATGATAATACTTACTTCTCAAAGCCCTCACTATTACTGGGATTAGCAATATTTTTCATCCTTGCCAATCTTATGGGGAAAAAAAATCCAATTTTAAAATTTGCATTTCTTTGCTTACTAGTAAGATTTAGCTTACATTTAATGTATGTTGGTCATTTACATTTTTTCTTCTGGGAACGCATTTTCTAATTATATATGATCATTTTAAAAAGAATATCTAAACATCATCTTATCTACCTTAAATGCGCCTGGGTTTGGAAAAAATATGAATTCTGTGGAAAGATTTTTCTACCTAAACACAATACACTCAAGTTAAAAGTCATCACAAATAAAAAGCTTAGGGGTTTATAGATAATTAATTTCCAAAGTCCTTCTGAATAAGTCTTCTTTCTCCAAGTAACCTACATCTCATTCCCATATTTGCGTTACACAAAACATCAGAAACACATATGAATATATATTGGGAAAGTTAATGAAACATTCCCGTTTTCTAGAACAATTCCTTAAGTTATCTGAATCAGTAGGTGTTTTAGTCTGTTCTGTACTGCTATAAGAATCCCACAGACTGGGTAATTTACAATGAACAGAAATTTATTGTCTCATGATTCTGAAGGCTGGACACTACAAGATTGAGGGGTTGGCATCTGGCAAGGGTCTTCTTATTGCATCATCCCATCTTGGAAAGGTAAAGAGAGGGCGAGAGGGAGAGCAAGAGGATCAAACTCACCCTTTTATGATGAACCCACTCCTGAGATGGTGGCATCAATCCAATCATGAGGCCAGAGCCCTCATGGTCTCATTACTTCTCAGTAGACCCCACCTCCCACCACTGTTATGTTGGGGATTAAGTTTCCAACACATGCTTTTAGGGGAACACATTCAAATCATAGCAGTGAGCTAAAAACACCACTGAGTTTTCCCTTAAAGGAAAAAAGGGAACATTTAAACCTTTCTTGGAAGTATTATTTTCCTGCATTTATTTTAATTGGTTCACCATTCATGTCCATTAATCACTTTTAATAAACCACAAATTTTGGGGTGGTCAGGTATGGTGGCATGCACCTACAGTCCTAGCTGCCCGGGAGGCTGAACTGGGAGGACTGCTTGAGCCCAGGAGTTTGAGACCGGTCTGAGCAACATGGCAAGATCCCGTTTCAAAAAAAAAAAAAAAAAAAAAAAATTGGTGGGGCAAGTTATGGCATTATCATGCATTTTAAAATATTATTTCATGAGATTAAAAAAAGGTATATCTATATTCAAAAATATTTTTCACACCCCATCTCAAAAAAAAATGGTAGGGCAAGTTACGGCATTATCATACATTTTAAAATATTATTTCATGAGATAAACAAAGGTATATCTATATTCAAAAATATTTTTTCACTCAAGCATAAAAATCACATGCCAGTATCATTTCATATCAATTGATATAACTGTTTTTACTACCTTCAAAGCACATGAATATGCCTTTTCTCCAACATTAATGAACTTAGGATCATCATCATCCAAGTCTTCCCAAATCCTCACATCACCATCACTTCCACAAGTCACAATAAAACTGTGAAGAAAAGACACAAATTAAAGTCATCGGGCATGGTGTCTCATGCCTATAATGCTAGCACTTTGGGAGTACAAGGTGGGAGGATTGCTTGAGGCCAGGAGTTCAAGACTAGCCTGGATAATACAGAGAGACCTAGTCTCTACAAAAAATTAAAAAATTAGCCAGGCATGGTTATGTGTACCTGTAGTACCAGCTACTTGGGAGGCTGCAGTAGGAAGATAACTTGAGCCTGGAAGGTCAAGGCTGCAAGTGAACCATGACGGCACCACTGCACTCCAGCCTGGGCAACAGAGCAAGACTCTATCTCAAGGAAAAAAAAAAGTCACCTAGTTTCATATACATTAGTTTTTTGGAATGCTACTTCTATATTTACCACTTTTTCACAAAATGAAGACATTAGCCAGTATTTTTTCTCATTTTATACACTTAAACTTTAAAAATAAAGTGCTAATTTCCTTCTATAAAATAAAAGATGAGTTTAATACTCTAGTTCTTCTTTGGCATAAAATTATAAAATTTTGAGGCAGAGTCTCATTCTGTTGCCTAGGCAGTATCATGATTATAGCTCTCTAAACCCTCCGCCTCCCAGGCTCAAGTGATCAAACCACTTCAGCTCCCCAGGTCGCTGGGACTACAGGCGCATGCCACCATGCCTGGCTAATTTATTTTTTGTAGAGACAGGGTGTCCCTACGTTGCCCAGGCTGGTCTTGAGCTCCTGGGCTCAAGGGATCTGCCTGTCTTGACCTCCCAAAGTCAAGGGATTACAGACATGAGTCACCATGCTTGGCCAGCATAAAATTATTTATTTGTAAGAATGTAAGAAAGATGGGTATATAATCTGCAACAATAAAATAGGGACCGTATCTTCCTTGTCCACCATTGTATCCCTAGCACCAAACAGTCTCTGACAGAAACCTTAATAAATGTTTGTTGAATTAATAAATGAATAGATGTATGAGCTCAACTATCCAAACGTGTTTCAAATAACCATCTGTATCTATCATAACTTGTTTTAAACTTATCTTCCAAATGCTTTTACTCATTTAGTATGTGCCCTATCTACACACATACAAAAAAGCAAATAAAAACACAAAATATAATGTACATAATAAAATACAAAAATAACATATAATAAACAGCAAAAAAAATCTATATAAAGAGCTGTGGATGTTCAAAAGAAAAAGATTAATTCTCACCTGAGAAAGTCAAAAAGATTCATAAGAAAGATGGTATTTACACTGGGAAGTCAAAGAACAAGCAGGACTAGATATGCTAAGACTGGTGACAAGGGCAGTTCCAGAGAAAACCACATGAAAAAAAATATAGTTAATACAGCATGGGGGAGTTTACCTGGAGCAGACAAGCCAGGAAAGAAAAAGGAAAATGAAGTCTAGGTCACCTATTTAGAATAACCTTAATGCCAGAGTAAGGTGGTTAGGCTCCCTTCTATAGAGAGTAGATAGGAGGACTATAAGTCTCAGTTTGCCTGAGATACTCCTGGTTTATGTGTCCAACTGGCCTGGCATTGTCCAGGAATTTTCACTTTAAAACATATTAGTATTAGTTGCATCAAAATTGGCTAGGGTGGAGCCTGACCAACATGGCAAAACCCTGAGTCTACTAAAAATACAAACATTAGTCAGACATAGTGCTGTGCACACCTGTAATCCCAGCTACTCCAGAGGCTGAGGCATGAGAATCATTTGAACCCAGGAAGCAGAGGATGCAGTGAGCCGAGATCGCACTACTGTAGCCTGGGAAACAGCATGACACTGTCTCAAAAAAAAAAAAAAAAAAAAAAAAAAGGCTAGGGTGGGTTTGGCAGACCTCTTCTTTGTACTTCCAGCTTCTGCCATGGTCTCATTTGGTAACATAACACACATAACACATGGTTAAATCTGTAAAATGACTAGTGATAAGCTATCTCCCCTTTTCCTACCCTTTCCTGATGCAATGTGACTAACAAATCCTTTCGGGGACAACATGTGAGGCATTCAATAAAAAACGGAATGGATTCAGATGTAAGACCCTAGGGATAGCTACTTCTTTCAGTCCCAATGGTGATGAGAGAAGTATTTCACGTTTTTGTTCCAATGGAATTTTTTTTTTTTTTTTTGAGACACAGTCTCACTCTGTCGCCCAGGCTGAAGTGCAGTGGTGCTATCACAGCTCACTGCAACCTCTGCCTCCCGGGTTCAAGTGATTCTCCTGCCTCAGCCTCCCAAGTAGCTGGGACTGCAGGCGTGCGCCACCACACCCAGCTAATCTTTGTGTTTTTAGTAGAGATGGGGTTCCACCATGTTGGCCAGGCTGGTCTTGAACTCCTGACCTCAGGTGATCCACCCACCTCGGCCTCTCAAAGTGCTGGGATTATAGGCATGAGCCACCACACCCAGCCCCGATGGGCTTCTTGGTGTATCAGCAGATGCACTGGAGGAGACGTACAAAGTTACAGGTGCCAGTTGGTGGGACCAATGGAAAATTATAGTGAAATATAGTAGAATTAATAAGAAATAAAGGCAGAAAATAGAGTTAAGCAATCTTCTAAAGAGCTTTTAGAGTAGTCTGAATGTTTTTCTAAATGGTTTTGTCCTTTATTGTATCAAATAACTAACTACATATTAATTTTATTGATTGCTATGCTTTTGAAATTTTGGGAAAAAAATGAAAACCAACACAACCCTTTCAGTGGTAATGAGCTAAAAAAGTATATCAAGTACATATTTAATAAAAGATTAAATACTAAATTTCTTCTTCTCAGGAAAGTTGATAATGAAAATATAACTTGAATAAAATGTTTGTTGACATTTACCACGGGGCTACAGTCATACTATAGTGATAACACCAACCACAAGAAAATTAGAAGAGAAAGAAGTCCCGAAGAAGCATCAGTATCTATTCAAGTTAGTAGTTATCTTGAGAAGGCTGCCTAAAAACTGTGATTCTACTCCTGCAGAAGGTGATTTATATCTTGTGAAGCATGATTCTTCCTAAGAACTCAGTGCTCTCCAAAACAACTTTCTGAGGTGATGAAAATGGTCTATACCTGGTACTGAGCAATTGAAATGTGGCTAATGTGACAGACAAACTGACTTTTTAACGAAGTTAACCTTAATTGATTTAAACCTACATAGCTGCATGTGGCTAGTAGCTACTGTATTGGACAGCGCAGCATTAAAAGAAATGTCAGTTGTTCTAAAATAATTTTGTTCATTTTTCATTCCAAGTTTTCTGGTGCAAGCATAAAAAGTGAAGTGACTGTTAATGGGTTGTCTCCATTATCAAAAGAACTTTCAGATGAGATCAGGTGCGTTCAGGGTGGTATGGCCATAGACAGCAAAAGAACTTTCAAACAGTTAAATGATAAAAGTATTATATCAATGTCATCAGGAGTTTTAAATAGAAAATCGCCCGTATTAATTCCAATAATAGTTTAGTTTACTCTTCAGTTCATGGAAACAAAGTAAATCTTCTGGAAGTTCATTCTGCTGAAAGTGAAATATCTGACATCAGTGGGGATTCTATCTAAATTTATTTGAAAAGTTTAACACTAATGATAAAATTCTTAATTTTTACAGTAATACAAATACAAACTTTGGCAGGAAATAGCGTTCAGCAGTCCTGCGAAAGAAGTGCTTTTAGAGTAGTCTAAACATTCTTCTAAATGGTTTTATCCTTTATTGTATCAAATAACTACATATTAATTTTATTGTTTTCTACAGTGCTGTAGGAAAAATCAATATTCTTTTTTTTTCTTTTTGAAACAGGGCCTTGCTCTGTTGCTCAGGCTGGAGTGCAGTGGCACCATCTCGGGTCACTGCAACCTCCACTTCCCAGGTTCAAGTGATTCTCCTGCCTCAGCCTCCCAAGTAGCTAGTATTACAGGCACGCACCACCCACACCTGGCTAAATTTCGTATTTTCATAGAGATGGGGTTTCACCATGTTGGCCAGCCTGGTCTCGAACTCTTGACCTCAAGTGATACACCTACCTCAGCTTTCCAAAGTGCTGGAATTACAGACGTAAGCCACTGCACCCAGCCAGAAAAATCAATGTTCTTACTATATTAGGAAATCTGTGAAACACAAAAGTACTTGAATTTGGAATTACAATTCATGATTCTATCCAAATGAGCTGCAAGATAACACACCAACAAAAAAGAAGCCATACTTGTCAAATTTTCAGATTTTATTTATATCTAGAATTGCTGAACAACAGAATTTTTGAAAAAAACATGTTTTGTTTCTGTTTTTGTTGCCCAGGCTGGAGTGCAGTGGCCCTACCACGGCTCACTGCAGGCTTGACCTGGGCTCAAGCAATCCTCCCACCTCAGCTGCACACAAATCAATGTGATATACAGAAAAACTACTAGACCTCCTGGCCTCAAGCAATCCTCCCACCTCAGCAGCGCACAAACCGATGTTAATTAAATACACAAAAAATACTAGCATTGCAGGACATACTTTCTCCCTCTGCTTGGAGTGATTGGGTTTTTAAAATCTTTAAGCCTTTGAAGAGCGAGCGACTCTGTAAAACAACCTAAGTGTCCTACTGTAATAATGGTATTATTATTATTAGAAACAAGTCCTCTAAATCTTAGTTGCATTTAGTTGAAAACAGACATCTTTAATCAAAGCATTAAACTTAAGCTTTTGAAGCTTTTAGTGAAATGCAATTCATGAAAACAAAACTTATGCACAGGAAGACACTGAAATTTATCCCTACAAAAGCAAATAAGAATTGAACAAATTGTACATGAAAAGCTGAAATGGTGAATGATTTCATTTTAAAATTCTGTAACTGTACTTTGGAATATCTTGACTTGTGGGAAGAATATTTTGATAGAACTCCTATTTTTAATTGTATTAATTTATGTTCTGTGCCAGAATGAAATAAAAGAGTAGGCTTAAAATCTGTGAAACATCCAAAAGAATCATAGACAACTTGATGAATTTTGTCCTTAAAAACAGTGAAGACCCTATTATTGAAGAAGTGTACCCTGAATGGAGATAAAAAGACAGAACCTATAAAAATACTGAGGCTGAAGTATTTACCCATTTCAATTAAAACAAATTCTTAAAAATTATGACTCTCCCAGCTAGTAGAATTTGCTCTGAGCCTGCCAAGTACCTTAGAACCTAACATTTTTCTCATTAAAAAATATTATAGTCTAGGCCAGGCATGGTGGCTCACGCCTGTAATCCCAGCACTTTGGGAGGCGAGACCAGCCTGACCAACAATGGAGAAACCCCATCTCTACTAAAAATACTAAATTATCCAGGCATGGTGGCGCATGCCTGTAATCCCAGCTACTTGGGAGGCTGAGGCAGGAGAATTGCTTGAACCTGGGAGGCAGAGGTTACAGTGGGCCGAGATGGTGCCATTGCACTCCAGCCTGGGCAACAAGAGTGAAACTCTGACTCAAACAAATAAAAAAAAGAAAAGAATTGAAGATTTAACTTCAAATTTATTCAGCATAAAATGCAACTCTAAACAAGGCTACAGCTAATTTTTTATGAGAAAAATTAAAATAACACTGTATTAAAAATATATTTTTCAGAAAAATATCAGCAATACCATGGGACAGACAGGCTAAGAAACTGATTAAAGCACATAAATATGTACCAGAAATGATTATCTTACATATGTTAACATTTAGATCATATGTTTAATGTTTGGATAATCAATGTAAATAAATATTTTTATTTTTTTCTTAGGTAAACTGGGTAAGTTGTTAATTTACATATTCCTAGAAAATTATACCTTTGTTTCAAATTTTCAAAACTATTGGCATAAGGGTGTCAATGTATTCACGTATTTTGAAGCCTATATTGTACCTTTTTTATCTCTAATATTATTTTATTTGTGCCTTCTCTTTTTTGATTCATGACTCTTGCTAAAGCATTGTTCTACTAGGTTCTACCCCCAATAAACCAGATTTTAGTTATAAGATGTATGGGATTTACTTTAAAATAATAAAGAGTAAGGCGGGGTGTGGTGGCTCATGCCTGTAACCCCAGCACTTTGGGAGGCCAAGGCTGGTGGATCAATTGAGGTCAGGAGTTCAAGACTAGCCTGGCCAACATGACGAAACCTTGTCTCTACTAAAAATACAAAAATTAGCCAGCTGTTGCGGAGGGCATCTGTGATCCCAGCTACTTGGGAGGCTGAGGAGAGAGAATCACTTGAACCCAGGAGGCAGAGGTTACAGTGAGCCGAGATCGTGCCACTGCACTCCAGCCTGGGCGACAGAGCTAGACTCCATCTCAACAAAAAAGAAATCCGCTATCAGTGTCTGGGCATGAAGATTAATTATATCAAGACTTCATCAGCTTTATGACATAACCTCAAGGAGTCAATGATTACCAACGCATTTCTTACTACCTCAACTCTATCCTCAGAGAGCAACATTCCTTCCCTAATCTGACCACCTCTTCTTGACTCTTAATCATTGAGTCTCATGAGGTTCATGGTGAGGCACAAGCAAAATCTCTATATACTCAGCTTTCTTTCTGGTCATTCTTCTGGGGTCACTGCTTCCTCTTCAGCCCTCTTAAGTAGTGACTGATTACTTTCTATACCCCACTGGTACTAGAGACAAAATCAAAACCACGTAGTGTCAACCTCACTAATTCAAATTCCTCCCCTTCCATTATCTTGAATCCACTTCAAGGTTTTCATTCTTACCATTCCATAAAACTTGCCAATGGCCTCCACATTGCTAAATCTAATGGTGAATTCTCAGTCTTCAACCTGACTCACCAGGAGCATTTGACAGAGTCTATTATTTCCTGTTCCTCAAACACTTCATTTGGCTTCTAAACATCCTTCTTGTCTTTCAGTTCTCTACTTTTCTAGCTACTCTTTCTTAGTCTCCTTAGCTGGATCCTCTTTAACTTGATCTCTAAATATTTTGGAGTATCCTTGAACCTCTTTTCTTACCTATATTTACTCCTTCCCTAGGTGACTTCATCCAAGTTCACAGTAATAAATATTATGTTTATAAGGACAATTCTCACATTTATATTCTTAGCCAGAACCTCAACCCTGAACTCTGGAAGGTATCAGCCAAAGATGTAAAGGTGACCCTTGAACAACATGGGCATTACAGGTTCCAACCCCTAAACAGTCAAAAATCCACATAGAAGTTTTGATTATCCTAAAACTTTACTAACAGCCTACTGTTGAGTAGAAGCCTTACTGATAACATAAACAATTAACACATATTTTGTCTATGTATTATATACTGTATCTGTACAATACAGCAATATAGAGAAAAAATATATCAGGAAAATCATAAAGAGGAGAAAAAATATTTACTATTTATTAAGTGGAAGTAGATCATCATAAAGGTCTTCATCCTTATCGTCTTCACAGTGAGAAGGCTGACGGGGAACACGAAGAGGAGTTGGTCTTACTGTCTCAGAGGTGGAAGAGGGGGAGGAAGTAGAGGAGGAGGCAGGAGAGGCAGGCATACTTGGTGTGACCTTATAAAAACACATCATAATTTCCGTCTGACTCTTTTCCTTTTTAATTTCTCTAAAAATGTTTCTATACAGTACCAATCCTTCTTCCACCATTTCCTTTAGTTTCAGTGCTCATAACATAGAAGGGTCTATGTTGTAAAATAAGTCAAAAGCAGTCTTGAATAATCAGAACCCTTCTGCCAGATTGCCTAAAGTCAATTTGTTTTCTGGCACTACTTCTTCTACATCTTCTTCCTTATCACTTGGCAGTAGTTAGGAAGAACTCATTTCTATCAAATTGTCTTCTGCTAACTCTTCGGTTTAGTGTCTATTAGCGTTCCTTTTTTTTTTTTTTGGAGACAGAGTTTTGCTTTGTTGGCCAGCCTGGAATGTGCAGCGGCACAATCTCGGCTCACTGCAACCTCCACCTCCTGAGAGAAGGTGGAGTGTGGGATTACAGGCGTATGCCAACATACCCAGCCAATTTTTTATGTTTTTGGTAGAGACCGGGGTCTCATCATGTTGGCCAGGCTGATCTCAAACTCCTGACCTCAAGTGATCCATCTGCCTGGGCCTCCCAAAGTGCTGGGATTACAGGTGTGAGCCACCGCGCCCAGCCATGTCTGCTACCTCTTGAATGTCTCCAAGGTCTATATCTTGAAATTACTTCGCTCCCTTATCTTTTTTGCCATACCCACAATCTCCTTCATGATTTCCTTGACTGGCTCTGCTGTCAATCTTAAGTCATGCACAACGTCTGGACACAGTTTTCTCCAGCAGGAATTTGTTTCGGGCTCGATGGCCTTCAGAGCTTTTTCTATAACAATGATGGCATCTTCAATGGTATAATCCTTCCAGACTTTTAGGATGTTCTCTCTACTGGGGTTCTCTTCCATAGCAATGACAATCCTTTCCATAGATTAGTTTATGTAATGAGCCCGTAAAGGCCTGTATGAACTCCTCATCTAGAGGTTGAATTCGAGACATTGTGTTTGGGGGCAAGTATACCAGTTTGACACCTTCAGTATTGAACTTATGGTGTTCTGGGTGGCCAGGGGCATTGCCCAACATTAAAAGAATTTTAAAGGCAGTCCCTTACTAGCAAGATACTTTCTGACTTCAGGCACAAAGCATCAGTGAAACCAATCCAGAAAAGAAGGTTCTCATTGTCTAGGTCTTTTTGTTATACAACTAAGAGACTGGAGTTTATCTTTTCCCTTCAAGGCCCGGGGGTTAGTAGCTTTATAAATAATGGCAGTTCTGATCACAAATCTGATTGTATTTGCACCAAACATTAGAGTTAGCCTTCCTGCCTTAAATCTTAGTGCTCACTTTCCTTCCTTACTAATAAATGTTCTTTGTGGCATTTTTCCCCCCACAGAATAGGGCACTTTAGTCTACATTAAAAACCTGTTCACCAGCCTGGCCAACATGGCAAAACCCCGTCTCTACTAAAAATATAAAAATTAGCTGTGTGTGGTGGTGTATGCCTGTAATCCCAGCTACTCGGGAGGCTGAGGTAGAAAAATCGCTTGAACCCAGGAGGCGGAGGTTGCAGTGAGCTAAGATCGCGCCACTGCACTCCAGCCGGTGAGACAGCTAGACTCCATCTCAAAAAAACAAAACAAACAAACAAACAAAAAACCTGTTCAGGCAGATGTCCTTTCTCCTCAATGATTTTCGTAATGGTGTCTGGGAATCTGCTGTCTCTTGGTCAGCAGAAGCTGATTCTATTGCCATCTTGACCCTTTCTCTTTCTTTTTTTTTTTTTTTTTGAGATGGAGTTTCGCTCTTGATCCCCAGGCTGGAGTGCAATGGCATAATCTTGGCTCACTGCAACCTCCACCTCCCGGGTTCAAGTGATTCTCCTGCTTCAGCCTCCTGAGTAGCTGGGATTACAGGTGCCTGCCACTGTGCCTGGCTAATTTTTTGCATTTTTAGTAGAGACAGGGTTTCAACACGTTGGGCATGCTCTGACCTCAGGTGATCCACCCACCTCGGCCTCCCAAAATGCTGGGATTACAGGTGTGAGCCATCACACCCGGCCATCTTGACATTTTCGAAGCCAAATCTCTTTCTGATATTATCAAACTATCCTCTGCTGGTATTAAACTTTCCAGCTTTAGATCCTTCACCTACCTTTCACTTTAAGTTGTCAGATAATGACTTCACTTTTTCTGGAACCACATTAGAGTCTATAGCTATGCCTTTCTATTGCAATCCTATACCCACATAAAAGCTGCGTTTTCAATACAAGATAAAGTTATTTCACAAAAAGTGCAAGGTTTTCATGCCTGCTGGCATAGCTGCAGTAACAGTGTCTCAAATTTCCTTTTCACAGTGGTCCTTACACTGGATTCATTTATCTTGAAATTGTGAGCAACCGCAACTGCAGACCTCAATCTACAGTACATTATCAGGCAATTCAACTTTTCTCTCTTAATGTCATGACTTTTGTCTGCTTCTTAGGAGTATGTCCAGCATCACTAGTGGCACTTCATATGATTCCCATGGTGTTATTCAAAGTTTACGGCATTGGACTAAACATGATGAAAAATATATGAGAATCACCAGAGATGTCTTTTTACTGGGATAGGCAATTTACTGGAGAGACAAACTGCTCATGAGCATCATACAGTGTTTTAAGCAGATACAACCTCATACAGTGTTTTAAGCAGATACAACACTTAAGCTTACCGAAATAGCAACAGGAGGTGGCTATGAAATTATTACAGTAATACAGTATATACTACAGTTAATTTTATGTAGTGACGATTTAACACTGCATCTTTATGTTTGTTTACATTTCTCTTGACTGCGGATGGTCTGGAAATGTTTGAGTGTGTAAATTTTAGTACATTTCAACTTTTTATAATAGATTTGTGTATATTTTATGGTAGTAAATGATAAAATACGCTAGTATCTACATAGATTTTATGCACTCATGACATACTTTTTCTTAATTTTTCCATATTTCTAGGCTACATGGTTCGTCTGCTAGTTTTTTCAAATTGTTAGAAACTGCCAAAAATTTTCTAATATGTGTATTGAAAAAAATCCACGTATAAGTAGACATACACAATTCAAATTCATGTTAAGGGTCAATTGTATATTTCTATCTCTAGCTCACATTTTTCTCTGAGCTTGAGACACAATTATCCAACTGTCTACTTTATCCCTCTAGGTGAATATCTCAAAGAAATCCTACAATAATCACATCCAAACGCAAACTCAATCTCCACCCACAGCTCTACCTCTGAAATACGCCCTTCTTCAAGTGTTCCTGTTATTTGCAAGTGGAAGCATCACTTTCTCAACCGTAACATTCAGAAATGTAGACGTTATCCCTGTTGCCTCTTTCTCCATCCTTAATATCTGATCCATCCTGTTGACTTTATCTTTTTAAATATTTCCTGAATGTTTACTCTTTTCTACACACCCATGTTTACTCTAGTCCAAGCTTCTATCACACTTACCCAAACTTGTGGGGAAAAGCAAGAGAGATCAGATTGTTACTGTGTCTGTGTAGAAAGAAGTAGACATAAGAGACTCCATTTTGTTATGTACTAAGAAAAATTCTTCTGCCTTGAGATTCTGTTAATCTATAACCTTACCCCCAACCCCGTGCTCTCTGAAACGTGTGCTGTGTCAACTCAGAGTTAAATGGATTAAGGGCGGTGCAAGATGTGCTTTGTTAAACAGATGCTTGAAGGCAGCATGCTCCTTAAGAGTCATCACCACTCCCTAATCTCAAGTACCCAGGGACACAAAAACTGCGGAAGGCCGCAGGGACCTCTGCCTAGGAAAGCCAGGTATTGTCCAAGGTTTCTCCCCATGTGATAGTCTGAAATATGGCCTCGTGGGAAGGGAAAGACCTGACCGTCCCGTAAAGGGTCTGTGCTGAGGAGGATTAGTAAAAGAGGAAGGAATGCCTCTTGCAGTTGAGACAAGAGGAAGGCATCTGTCTCCTGCCTGTCCCTGGGCAATGGAATGTCTCGGTATAAAACCCGATTGTATGCTCCATCTACTGAGATAGGGAAAAACCGCCTTAGGGCTGGAGGTGGGACCTGCGGGCAGCAATACTGCTTTGTAAAGCATTGAGATGTTTATGTGTATGCATATCTAAAAGCACAGCGCTTAATCCTTTACATTGTCTATGATGCAAAGACCTTTGTTCACGTGTTTGTCTGCTGACCCTCTCCCCACAATTGTCTTGTGACCCTGACACATCCCCCTCTTCGAGAAACACCCACAAATGATGAATAAATACTAAGGGAACTCAGAGGCTGGCGGGATCCTCCATATGCTGAACGCTGGTTCCCCGGGTCCCCTTATTTCTTTCTCTATACTTAGTCTCTGTGTCTTTTTCTTTCCTAAGTCTCTCGTTCCACCTTACGAGAAACACCCACAAGTGTGGAGGGGCAACCCGCCCCTACACAAACTAATACAGGTATCTTCTAACAGTCTTTCTGCATCCATGAGTGCTCCTTTTCCAATTCATCCTCCATGCATTTTCTCAAAAACAAACCTGATCACATCTCTCTGCTTCAAGCCTTTAATACCTTCTCAGTGCTTTTAGGATAAAACGAGATTCCTTAATAAAGTCCAGAAGGTCTTGGATAGGACATCCATTGCCTAACTTCACAGATTCATCTCTCACTAAACTCTGCATCACTCTCCACATTTTAGTAAGGCTAGTTTTCCTTCAGTTCTTTGAGCATACCATGATCCCTGGCCCCATTGGGCCTTTACACACAGTATTGCCTCTGCTTACTATGCCAACATCACCACCCCACCGCCACCACCACTCATCTCTTTATACTGCTTAATGCCTGCTCCGTCTTCAGATGGCGTCTCAAGAAACACTTGTCCAAAGAAGCCTTCCCTGACTCCTTTAACTAGATGAGCTTCTCCTCATACATGTTTATCACTGCACATATTACTTGTTTCTAAATACACATTTATTTTTGTGATTAATTTGTGTTCAATGCCTGTCAATCCAAAAAGACCTTAAGCTCAAAGGAGGAAAAGACTGTGTCTGGTTCGCTCTATTCTATCTGTAGTCCCCAGCAAAAGAGACACACAAGTATTTTTTCAATGAATCAATCAACATAGAAGCGACAGTGGAAGCCGTGCAATCGAGCAGTAGTGCGTAAGAATGGGACTTGGAAAGATAAAAGGGACCAGAATAACCGTAGGAAAATATTATAGTTTAGGAATCAGAGGAAAAAATTGTTTTAAGCCGTCAAAAAGTTAAAAAAAAATAAGCAAAAAGGGAAATAGCATCACTAAAGGCATGGAAGGATATCATTCCAAACAGAACAGGCCACTGAATTTGACAAGTAGGCAGTAACTAGTGATCTGACAAAATTAATAATGTAAGATGCAGGGAAGGGGAAAATATATGGAGAGAAGCTCGCATCTTTCCAACTCCTCTGGAAGTACGATTATAACTTTGTCGATATACTACAACTACCATGACGGCCCGAATCAAACAATAATCTAAAGAAATATGTGTGCCATTTTAGATTTCAACATTATTCCTCTATCCGCATGAGTCATTTTTAGCTGACTGCACATATAAAGTTTAAGGATAAATGTTTTAACATTTGCACCTAAAACGTTGTTTCTCAAAGAACCTTACCTCCCAGAATCATCAAAACAGACCTCCGTGTGTCCCTCTGTATGCCCATATCTCATTGGCTTCCGTGTGGCAGGCATGTTTTCCTTTACCTATCTGAAAATGTTTTATAAAAGCCAGTCTTATTATTTCAAAAGAGAAAAGCAGCGAGGCTAGGGATAGGAAGAGAGCTTAGTCTCCTCTAGGGCCCGTTCTCCGCAGCCCGGTTTCCCCCACCCGAGTGACACCAGCGGGATAAGGCAGAGGGTCTGTCAGACAATAAGCCGGAAAGGGAACACGCATCTCCTTGGTGGACGCGGGCAGCCGGAGTGGGGACTCACCCGGGTGACCGAGCCTCCGCCACTGAGGATCCACAAGAGCTGCTTCCCGCGCTTCGGCTCGCTCACCACACTGCGCCTGCGCCGACCCGCCCACGCCCAGCGCAGGTCCCGACAGAGGTCGCCGGGTGGTGGCGTCAGCTGCGGCGCCCTCCGCGTGGAAATTAGCCGGTTGCCCGGGCAAATCAGGGAGGAAGGGAGGGAGCTGAACACGGAAGTGGTGGCGGCGCCCAGGGAACCGGCGGAGGCGATGACCGTGACGGCTGGGTTGGGACCGGAACGCCGAAGCGGGGTTGGGGGTGGCAGAAAAGCATCTGCTTTGTAAGACCTACACGAGGTGCAGGAGTGGTTGGGCCTCCCCTCTCCACTTAAGCAAGCGCCCAGACTGATGGCGATGGTGATGGCAGCAGTTACTCGCACAACCCCAGTTAAGCTGCGCTCCGGGAGGTGAGTGGGGGAAGGGTGGCCGCTGCCTGGCCTCGCAGGCCGGGGTCTTGTTCCTGCCCTCCAGGCTCTCCTCCCAGGAAACAATATCCGGATCCCTAAAAGGATCCGGTCTCTTTCTTGGGGCCCAGTTAGCAGACAGATCTTTGAGCATCTTCTCTGGAAAAGAAGGCGAGATCTTCTAGAGCCTCTAATCTTGGCATCCTTCGTGCCCTCACCTTGTCGCTTCTGTAGAGATAAAGAAGGAATGACTTAATTTCTGTTCCGGTTGGTTCTCTTGGTACCTGAAGGTATAATTAATTAATGCTCAATTAATGCTTATTCTTTGCGACTCTATATATCCGTTATGAAGAAAGTAACTTGTGTTCTCTATTCAGATCCCACCTAAAGTTTACTGAAGTGAATATTTATAACCAAAAGAAGAGTTATAACTTAGTAGCCTTGAGCACTTACATTTGATCCATGCAATATCTGCTAAAGTCTTGGCCACTAAGTTTAAGTTTATGCTTTTCTTGTATCTTCATTCTCCATATTGGTACAGCAGCCTGTGATGAAAACCTTCAGAATGATATTCTTTCATTTGTACTTATCTTTGAGAATTTTTCTGCGTTTTTGTGATACCTTCCAGTATCAATCACATTTATTTTATTACCTGAGACGTTTTTCTGTTGAAGAGGTTTCCCTATTGTTTTTTTCAATCTAGTTCCATTGTGAAAAGTTGCAAACACACAGGCAAACCGTCGTGTTCTTACCGTGGGTGGCATTGTGTGAGGCGTTGTTTTTAGTACTAGAGCTCCAGATAGCCTTGCTAGACGCTGAGGTTTGTATATGAATGAAGAGGAAGAATGATTGGCTTAAAAACAACTTGGGATTTGTGGAAAAATAACCCACTGTTGATCTCCCGAAAGAGCAGTGGTACCAGAGATGATGCTTTCTGAGTGACCTAATTTTTTTTTTTTGGAGATCATTTGTTTTTTGGATAGACTGGCTTATAAATTTTTTCGTTCAAGTAACAATATCATTGGCTAGAGTACATAGAGTTCAAGATGAACTCTCATAATATTCGTCTCTATGTTGAATAAAGCGTGGTGAGATTTCTGGTTAGTACTATTCAGAGCTCAGCATAAGAAGAATCTGCAAATTGGAACAAGTTATAGCTACAAAATGCCTTCACTATAATATCTGTAATACCCATGAGACTATGATTGATGTCCACACATCTGTCATTTTCTCTTATCAATCAAGCCATTTGATTCATAGGTTAAAGAACAATTTTCTTTGCAGATTTTGCATGTATGGTAAAAGCTTGAGCCTCCGAGTTTAACAGTCCTGGGTTTTAATTCTAACTGACACATTGTGTGACCTTGAATATGTTCCTTTACTGAAAATCGAATTCCTCATCTCTAAAATGGAGATGACACCTACCTCCGTCGCATTGTTAGAGTATATAGGAGATACTCATGGATGTATAAAAGTAATTGTTATTAATATCTCATGTTACTAAAGGGGTGCTTTGGGTGGGTATTTAGTGTTTTTTGTTTAAAGTGGGATTTGTTTAAATAATTATCCAGTAAATTTTTCAAATATTAAAAAATGTATTCTTGTTTTTGCTAGTATCATGTTTTCACAATTCCATTTGTTTCAGTCAAATGGCTACAAATTGTAATACCTTCAGTGAGTTTATGGTCTTGCTGAGGGAAATAGACATTCAAACAATATGATCAAGATGATAGTGCAGTAATGAAAGATGTGTAACTTAAATATTAGCAAAATTGTCTAGTTAGTTAAAATAACATAGTTTTTTAAAAAGAAATCAGTGTAGCTGTGTCACTGATAGGAGTATCAAAAATTTTCCAAATGTAGTTATTTGTCATTAACAGTGCTTATCTCATAGGTGTGGGTGGCTAAATGAACTGACTGAAAATGATGCCAAAGTCACAGATTGAATTGCAGTGATGGTTAGTTAGCTTTGCTGTGTTGTAACCACTCATACTACCCTTAGACTCACAAATATTTTTGCTCCCAAGGACAATTGGGTGAGAAAACATGGGTACATTGCCATTCTACCAATGATGGTATTACCTATATAAAATCATGTGATCTTACAGGATTTATCTAAGAGGATATATCAGTATTGGCTTATGGAAGGAGTTTAAAAAATTATTTTCTAGTAAAATATGTACTTGGTGTAAAAATGATTAATCTTGTGAAAGGTAAGGCTAGAAGAGTGTAACAATAGCCAAGGAGACCAAAGTATTGAAAAAAGAAACATTGAAGGCACTTTAGAAATGTGAAGATTTTTATATTTCCAAATGTGTCCTGAAACTTACTAGCCTATTTAATAATTTTGGGGTAAATAGTACTTGTCTGTATGTATACTTAATATGATATAAAAGGCAATACAGTAAAAGTCGTCCTCCTACTCATACTCCCAGCCATCCAGTTCCCCTGGCTAAAGACAGCCAGTATTTGATTCTTGTATTACATTAACACTAGATCCTTACTACAGCAAGATGAGATAATCAGTGTTATATAGATAGAAAAACAGAAAAGTTGTGATTTATCTAGTCTTTATCTAGTCACACACCTGCGAAATGTCAGAGCTAGAAATAGAACCCAGGTCTTTCACCTAGTCCAAGGTAGTCTACCGCACTGATTCTCCAAATCATAGCTGTTGCCACAAAACTTAGAATTTAGTAAAACATAAAGTGTAGAGTCACCTTTTACTAATTTGTACGTAAAACTTGTTACCCAACCTTAAATGTAAGCATATGTAATTGTTATAAAGCAGTGAAGAAAATATAATACAATCTTATAAAATCTTTGCCTGTTTCTACTTAAATCTATTTACTAAGCTTCTAAAAAACTACAATTTTTTGTTTTAAAGAATTTAAAACTTTTTAAAAATAATATATTTAACATCAGGAATAATATAAAGTGCTTTGTGATATTTCAGAAATGGAAGAGCCTCCTTGACTTCAGATTTCTGAGGCACGTTTTTGTGCAGATTTTCTAGCCTTACATATAGCCTTTGTTTCCCCTCCCCTTTTTCTTAAAAAAATAGTGTTCTTTAAAAAAAGTGTTCCCACCTCTCATTTTTAGAAATGTACTTCTTCTAACATGAAAAGTTCTGAGTAATACTAGGAAGCAGTTAATATTTCTTTTCATTAAGTTCAGTGTATGTTGTTTTCATACCTTTTACTCCTGGCAGTAAAAACATGAGGTAGCTGGCATTATCCAGATTTTACAGTGGGAGAACTTAAGCTAAATTAGATTTTTTTAAACCAGGTAACATACCTAGTGAGTGGAAAAGTCTGAATTGTAGCCCACATTTGACAGTTCAGCAGCTCATGCTATTTCATCTTCACCATGTTTATTTTCAAATATGGTATAGTGAAAAACAGTGTAGGTTGTTAATTTTTTACAGATCTTTAAAACTTTAAAATTTTCTCTTTATGCTTAATTGGTCTCACAAGAAAAAAGAATTCAAGGAAATAAGCCAAAATGTCAAAATTGCTTGCTTTTAAATAATGGAATTATAGCTTTTTTCCCCCTCCTTTTTAAACTTTTCTGAATGGTCCATGTATTATACAATGAGCATATATTGTTTTTATCATAACAAATTACAGATTGGAAGAAAAAATAAATCTGTTCAATCTAATTTATTCCATAAAATGGTTCAGTATTATATCTTAAATATTCTGTTTCTTAAATTCTGTTAATCTTCCTTCTGCTTTTAGAAGTTCAGGTACTGCCAGCTCGTAGTTTCTGCTTTCTTCACTCTAGATTAGCCCCTTCAGTGATGGGTTCCTAGACCTCTCTCCTTATCTTTAGCTAATAAGCTTAGGGAATGTACACTGATGTTAACAGATTAGCCCATTAATGTTTCCCCAAACTTTCTTCCACAAAAGGATTTATGGCAAAGTAAAGACAGGAAGCTATGGTTTATGCAGATTTCTTTACTGAAGGATCTCCTGGGAACGTTTGCTAAATATGCACTGTAATCTTTGAGAGAAGAAGCATTTCCCAAACTTATTTGACAAGAGAACCTTTTTTTCTCCAGAATATGTGTTAACATCTTTCAGAACTAGTGTCCACAAGAGTACAGAGTGGGGAAAAGTGACATAAGCAAACTATAATTAGGAAAGCATGGAAAAAGTGGGGAGAAAGGGAAAGGAGGGTGTAGTGCTACTAAATCAATGATTCTTTTTTAGAAAATTGCAATTAAGTCCCATGAGCCCTGGCTCAGTAGCATGAAAAAAGGAGATACTTTAAAATATTTACTGGAAAATGAACCTGTATTGCTTCTGTAATGAGAAAACATTTGTTTTTTAGGTCAGATATTTTCCCATACAAACAAACCTGTTTTCAGATTTTTTTCTTAACATTCCAAGGAGTTCATCTGTTGTCTGCTCTCCAGTGACTTCCGTTTGTGGAGCCTAAGTGTTTCTACAGAATCCAACTCAAATATCAAGGACTATGATCAGAATGCTTTCAAGGAGTTTTTGGGCACATGATGGCAGGTAAACTTTGGAATCATGAATTTCGTAGGGAAAGTCCCCAGGCTTAATTACTACCAGAATAATAATATATTTGTGAATTATTAATGTAGTATACTGAATTATTCTTTATAGGATCAAATGTATTCCAATTTAGTATTTACATTAGTTGTGGTGTTAGATGTATGTCAGCATCATAGACATAAGTAGTTCAATGAATAATTAACGTATGCAATAATGCTGTTATCCTACATCATAGAGGATACTAATTAATTTCCAGATAAATGAAGCTTATCCTTTTAATTATTGGATTTGAATTGTTTCCTGTAGAAATTTTGAATTAAAATCACCTTCTCAGCCTTAGTCAGTATTACTAAATGTTATTTAAATATTTTGTAATGAAAATTGACATAATGGGCACTCATTTTGTTATTGTTGTCATTGTAATTTGTGGTAGAACCTGGGACCAAATAGTGGCAGAATCTGGGTACTTGTTTTCTTGAGAAGGCTTTTATATAAACTTGCTTTTTAAACATTTGCTTTTTGCTCATTAAGAAATATGACTTAAAAAAAAAAAGATGTCATTCTGTACTCCCCAGGGCAATGTAACATAGCTGCCTTCGTAAAAAATTAATTATTGAATCAAGAGCCAAAGCAGCCTTTTCCCAAGTGATTCTTTCACCTTCTTTTTAAAAAGCTTTTTTGCAGCTACAGTCAAAGATCTTTGATTTGTCACCATCTTTCAAACCATCATCTTTGATTTCTGTGTCACATGAAATTGTTGGTAAAGCCACCTTATTATTATTCTACCTCATGTATACAAAGTTTTTTTTTTTCTTTTGAGACGGAGTCTCACCCAGGTTAGAGTGCAGAGGCACGATCTCAGCTCACTGCAAGGTCCGCCTCCTGGGTTCATGCCATTCTCCTGCCTCAGCCTCCCGAGTAGCTGGGACTAGAGGCGCCTGCCACCACACCCGGCTAATTTTTTGTATTTTTAGTAGAGATGGGGTTTCACCGTGTTAGTCAGGATGGTCTCGATCTCCTGACCTCGTGATCCACCCACCTAGGCCTCCCAAAGTGCTGGGATTACAGGTGTGAGCCACCGCGCCCGGCCCTATACAAAGTTTTTATAAAATTTTAAGAATTAATGATAGGCTATCTGGAACAACTTGTTCGGATTCAGAACCCTACACTTTTTTTTTACATTCAGATTTTACATGTATGGACAAGATACGAAAGCACAATTTCAAAAAACTAATCTTTAGTCTTCATAACAATAAAAATAATTTTTCTCTCACTAAAATTAAGTTATTTTTATTGAAAGCAACATGATTGATTTTTTTATATTTTAGAATTTTGGTTCAAAGAAGCTTCTGGAAGAGATTAGAAAATTCTCTTTATATGTGTTTAAGTATAAAGATATGAAAGTTTGATAGACTTCTCTCATTTTTTTGTAACAGAATCAAATAATGGTGAAAGAAATTCTAAATATCTTTTTTCTGATAAGATCTCTCCATAGCACACAGTTATTTTTTAAGCAGTTACTTTCTCAGTAATTGTTAAGATGTTACCTATGCCGAAAAGTGAATGATTAAATGTATGTGTTTTTAAAAAATATATCTATCTGCTAAGTAGCTTCTGAGAGCCACTTGTTATTTCAGTAATGGTTATGAAATTTAGAACACTTGTTATTTTGTAAAAGAAAAATGCACAACTCCTCTTAAAAGTTCAACAACTTATGTAAGTACTTTGTCTTGAGATAATTAGCAGACCTTGCATGTTATAAAACGTCTATGGTCATGTCTCATTACAAAGTATTTTAAAGATTCTCTTGTTTAAAATAATACAATCCACGAAATATTCTAGTAAGATATAAACAGTAAAGCTGGGCACGGTGGCGCATGCCTGTAATTCCAGCACTTTGGGTGGCCGAGGTGGGTGGATCATTTGAGGTCGAGGAATTCAACACCAGCCTGGCCAACATGGTGAAACCCTGTCTCTACTAAAAATACAAAAATTAGCTGGGCGTGGTGGCACATGTCAGTAATCCCAGCTACTGGGGAGGCTGAGGCAGGAGAATCACTTGAACCTGGGAGGTGGAGGTGCAGTGAGCCGAGATCGCACTGCTGCACTCCACCCTGGGTGACAGTGAGACCCTGTCTCAAAAACAAACAAACAAAAAGATATAAACAGTACACTGAAAGTTAATAAAGAAATGGAGAGGGCTGGCTGCCATAATTTGTCAGCTTTTTGGAATTCCCATTCTTCTCTTAGGAACAGCACAGACAAATGACCATCTGACAATGCATGATGGTAACATTATCAACCATATTTAGTACTAATATTAGTTTTTGTATGTTTTAGACAAATATAAATAGAAAAATTTTCTTCCAACTTTGAAGACTAAAATATCTGATGACATTCTGGATCATATATTGATGGGGCAAAAGATAACATTTTATAAAAGTAGGACTTCTTGAGCATGAACTTAACAGTTCTCTAGCAAAAGAATAGCTACGCAAAATTTATATAAAGCTCTAATTCTGAGATAGATACAAAACAGTAACTAATCAGAAAGTTTTCAGGCCAGTCGCGGTGACTCATGCCTGTAATCTTAGCACTTTGGGAGGCCGAGGCAGGTGGATCACGAGGTCAGGAGTTCAAGACCAGCCTGGCCAAGATGGTGAAACCCCGTCTCTACTAAAAAAAACTACAAAAATTAGCCAGGCGCGGTGGCAGGTGCCTGTAATCCCAGCTACTTGGGAGGCTGAGGCAGGAGAATCACTTGCACCCAGGCAGCAGAGGTTGCGCCACTGCACTCCAGCCTGGGCGACAGAGTGAGACTTCACCTCAAAAAAAAAAAAAGTTTTCATTGCATTAACTCTCTCTCTGTTTTTTTTTTTTTTTCCTTGACATGGAATCTTGCTCTGTCGCCCAGGCTGGAGTGCAATGGTGCAATCTTGGCTCACTGCAACCGCCGCCTCCCAGGTTCAAGCCATTCTTCTGCCTCAGCCTCCCAAGTAGCTGGGACTACAGGTGCACGCCACCACACCCGGCTAATTTTTGTGTTTTTAGTAGAGAGGAGATTTTGCCATGTTGGCGAGGCTGGTCTCAAACTCCTGACCTCAGATGATCCACCCACCTCGGCCTCCCAAAGTACTGGGATTACAGACATGAGCCACCGTGCCCGGCCTGCATTAGCTCTTTAAGTACAGGTGAACGTGTGGAAAACTCAACTAGGGCAGTGATATTTTTCACTTTATTTTATGGACATCTACAGCATTAGCACACGTAAAAACAGTTACCCTAAAATCCAAACACACTTGATTGACTGGTACCTGTAACATACAAGTTGGGAGTCTTGCAAAAGAAAACCTGTTTTGTTAGCGTGTAAACTTGTTCTTTGGGGGAAGATGTCAAATTTTTCTGTAACTTCATGGTCTATGAGTTTCACCTGTATCTGACATGTGGATCCTTTTTCACTTTGAAACATTAGTTTTCCTCCTGAAAATTATATTTGCTCATGAAAATCTCTTTACCTTGTAGTAACACTGCACTAGAGACAGAGGTATTCTGTGATTTCTTCATTATGAAGAAAACTGTAAAGCCAATAAGACTGGCTTAGGTGCTTTAACAAAACAACATATGTAATCTTTGTTTCTTTTTAAAACAAAAAGAAAATATGAACATATATGTTAACATATATTGAGTAATTAATACATTTAGGACCTGAGCTGAATACATGCATTATTTTATCCCCAACAGCCCAGTGAAATAGATAGCATTAGTACCTCCATTTTACATGTGAATGCACTGATGTTTCAAGGTTATATGGCTAGCACAAAACAGAAACTGGACTTAAACCATGTTTCTTTTTTTTTTTTCTTCCAGAAATATTTTAATAAAAATTGGCCATTTCCAAGAAACACCCACTGCATGCCCATGAATAAAAGAGAAACATAACAAAATAGAAAATTTACCATATGGCTATGATTTAAAGAAAAAAAAAATGCGGACACGAGCACATTAGCAAAATATTAAAGTCACATGTCTTCTTATGGACTCAAACCATGTTTCTAATGCCTGCCGCCGCTATGCTGTGGGAATGCATCCTTGCCATCCATATACATATATAGAGATACTGAGAATGTTAAAGTGGTTACTGCTGGGTGGTGGGATTATGGATATATTTACTTTTTCCTTATAACTTTATGCCTAGTTTGGGTTTTCCATGGTGAGCATGAATTTTCCTTCTCAGAAAGACTTAGTATCTCCTCTTTATCTCTAGGCTTCTAAAATTAGAATAATGTACTTTGATGTTGAGTGGGATCTTTCAATATGGAGGTGCCTGTCCTTTAGTCCTGGGACATTTTCTAACCTTTTTTTTTTTTTTGAGATGAAGTCTCACTCTTGTCCCTCAGGGTGGAGTGCGATGGCATGATCTTGGCTCACTGCAACCTCTGCCTCCAGGGTTCAAGTGATTCTCCTGCCTCAGCCCCCCGAGTAGCTGGGATTACAGGTGCCTGCCACCACACCCAGCTAATTTTTGTATTTTTAGTAGAGACGGGGTTTTACCATGTTGGCCAGGCTGGTCTAGAACTCCTGACCTCAGGTGATCCACCCGTCTCGGCCTCCCAAAGTGCTGGGATTACAGGCTTGAGCCACCACACCCGGCCATTCCTGGGAAATTTTCTAATATAGTTTCTTTAATAATTTCTCCCGTCCATTTTGTTGTTGTTTTCTGTGAAATGCCTATATTAATCTCTAATTTTCTTGTCTTTTCTGTCTAGTTAACCATTTTTTCCTATTTGCTGTATTAGTTCCTAAGCATACCCACGAACTTTTCTATTGAATATTTTATTTCAGGCCAGGTGCAGTGGCTCACACCTGAAAATCCAAGCACTTTGGGAGCCAAGGTGGGCAGATCACTTGAGCCCAGGAGTTCAAGACCAGCCTAGATAACATGGCAGGACCCCATCTCTACAAAAAAATACAAAAATTAGCCAGGCATGGTGGCATGCACCTGTAGTCCCAGTTATTTGGGAGGCTGAGGCAGGAGGATCACTTGAGCCCTGGGAAACAGAGGTTGCAGTGAGCTGAGATCAGTGCCACTGTACTCCAGCCTGGGTGACAAAGTGAGACCCTTTCTCAATAAAAAAAAAAATTATTTTAGCAATCATATTTTTTTTTTTTTTGAGACAGAGTCTCACTCTGTCGCCCAGGCTAGAGTGCAGTGGCATGATCTCGGCTCACCACAGCCTCCACCACCCGGGTTCAAGCAATTCTCCTGCCTCAGCCTCCCGAGTAGCTGGGACTACAGGTGCCTACCACTGTGCCCAGCTAATTTTTGTAGTTTTAGTAGAGACAGGGTTTCACCATCTTGGCCAGGCTGGTCTTGAACTCCTGACCTGATGATCCACCTGCCTCCCAAAGTCCTGGGATTACAGGCGTGAGCCACCGTGCCTGGCCTAACAATCATATTTTTAATTTCCAAAAAAATTCTTATTCTAGTTGTCTCCACCTCTTTTTTTTTATTTTTTTTTTAGAAGGAATTTCACTCTTGTCACCCAGGCTGGAGTGCAGGGGTGCAATCTCGGCTCACTGCAACCTCCGCCTCCCGGATTCAAGCGATTCTCCTGCCTCAGCCGCCCAAGTAGCTGGGATTACAGGCGCCTGCCACCACACCCAGCTAATTTTTATATTTTTAGTAGAGACAGGGTTTCACTGTGTTGGCCAAGCTGGTCTTGAACTCCTGATCTCAGGTGATCCTCCCGCCTCGGCCTCCCAAAGTGCTGGGATTACAGGCATGAGCCACTGTGCCCGGCCCCTACCTCCTTTTTATACCATCTTACTTATTCATAGTTGTAATATCTTTTCTTGACTTGAAGTAAGTCAATTTTAGTTTCTACTCTTTCCATGGTTATTGCTTTCTCCAAATTCTGTATATTTTGTTATTTCATATATGTTAGAAGCTTTCCTCAAAAGTCTTATATTAGTCTGTTCTCATGCTATTAAAGACATACCCAAGACTGAGTAATTTATAAAGCAAAGAGATTTAATTGACTCACAGTTCCACATGGCTGGGGAGGCCTCATAATCATGGCAGAAGGTGAATGAGGAGCAAAGTCACATCTTACATGGTGGCAAGCAAGAGAGCTTGTGCAGGGGAACTCCCATTTATAAAACCATCAGATCTCAAGAGACTTATTACCATGAGAACAGTATGGGGGAAACTGCCCTCATGATTCAATTATCTCCACCTGGCTGCACCCTTGACACATAGGGATTATTGCAATTCAAAGTGAAATTTGGGTGGGACACAGGCAAACAATATCAAGTCTGATAACCCAGGAGTGTTCTTTCATAGTTTAGAGTGTACAGCTATGTTGCCTGGAAGCTGTGTGTGAGTAGCCAGGGCCTGTGGATATGTGTGCTTCACTGTATGCTTGGGTGGTCTTCTAGCTTTTTATTGGAGGATTCCCAGCTATCAGCTTTGACAGATCTTTTCTCTTTGGCCATTCTCTTTCTCCAGGAAAGTATCTGCCACTCTTCTGTTAGGGAGGTATAAATCTAGCTGCTGGAGTTCTGGGAGCTGGATGGCAGAAGAGAACAAGGAACTTTTACTTTGTTTCTGTTTTTTAGGCCCAGTCTTCCCCTCTACCCTCTGCTGTGTCTGGTATTTAAAGTCCTGAGCCCACCTAGTTCAGTTTCTCCAAATAATAAATGTCCCATCTCCTCTAAATGTGGATAAGAAACTGAGAAATCTACCTGCTCTTAGGCAGAATTTCAACTTATCTCCCCATGTTCCACCCTGTTCTCCACCCAGACTTTCTGTAGCACCCAGTGCCTGTGGGTCCTGAATTGTACCTGCTCTGTTGGCTTGTGTCTTATCTGTGTTACCTCTGTGCCTGATGTCTGTCACCTGCATCTCTGCTGCTGAGTCAGTTATTGTTCATTTGTTTTCTGTACTTCTATTTTATGACTCAGGTTATAGATATCTGTTCATTTCATTGAAGAAGAGGTTTGTGATTTTATTTCTCATATTTTCTTGTTGTTTGGACTGACTTCTGAGAGAAGGGTGGGGCAAAAAGATTTTTACTCAGCCATTTTCTGACTGGAGTAATTTTTGTTTTATAATGAGAAAAAACCAAAAAGCTGTCTTCATCTTGAGGGGAAATTAAGTTACACTACTCATTGAGAAATTTAGGGCTGGGCTCAGTGGCTCATGCTTGTAATCCCAGCACTTTCACTTGAGCCTGGGAGTTCAAGACCAGCCTGGGCAACCTAGGGAGACTCTGTCTCTACAAAAAAATTTTAAAAATTAGTCTGGCATGGTGGCACGTGCCTGTATTCCCTACTACTCCAGAGGCTGAGGCAGGAGAGTCACTTGAGCCTGGGAGGTCGAGGCTGCAGCAAGCCATGATTGCACCACTGCACTCCAGCCTGGGCGATAGAGACCCTGTCTTAAAAAAATAAAATGAATTTAGTAGAAATGGGAACAGTTACGACCAAGAAAGCATTATAATAATCACTGAAACATTTTATAAGCAGACTTAGTTGTTTTTGAAGGTAGCAAGAAGTTTGAGAGAGAAATTGAAGTAGGGCCTTGGTAAAGGTGAGAATGTCATCAAGAACACAGGTAGAGGCCAGGCGCGATGGCGCATGCCTGTAATCCCACCACTTTAGGAGGCCGAGGTGGGCGGACCACGAAGTCAGGAGATCGAGACCATCCTGGCTAACATGGTGAAACCTTGTCTCTACTAAAAATACAAAAAAAAATTATCCGGGCATGGTGGTGGGCACCTGTAGTCCCAGCTACTCTGGAGGCTGAGGCAGGAGAATGGAGTGAACCCAGGAGGTCGAGCTTGCAGTGAGCCGAGATCGTGCCACTGCACTCCAGCCCAGGCAACAGAGCAAGACTCCGTCTCAAAAAAGAAAAAGAAAAAAAGAACACAGCTAGAGAGCTTAGCTCTCATATGGAAGTGAAGGAAGAAATGCCACAATTTAGAGGTAGCAAGGAGACAAGACTAGAGGTCACACTCATAAGTGAAGTTCATTTAGTAAATAAAAGCGCCAAGCATTTCAAACCTTATTAATAAATGACTCTTCATATTCTTCAGCCCATCTTGTTGCTTCTAATTTTTGTTCAATGGAATTTAGTCAATGAACAGCCAAAGCAGGCAGTTGAATACAATTTTGGCTGTGCTAAGTGATGAAGTTTCTTTCAAAATTAAATAAGAAATACTTTTCCTTAAAGATCTTAAATGGTTATATATCATTGAGCACACTAAATCAAAATACAGTTGTCTCTGCGTATCCAAGGGAGATTGGTTCTAGGACCTCTGCAGATACCAAAGTCCATGGATGTTCAAATCCCTTAAAATAAAATGGAGTGATATTAGCACATAACCTACACATGTCCTCCCAAACACTTTTAATCATTTCTAGATTACTTATAATACTACAATGTAAATGCTATATAAAGAGTTATTATAGGCCGGGCGCACTGGCTCATGCCTGTAATCCCAGCACTTTGGGAGGTCCAGGCAGGCAGATCACAAGGTCAGGAGATCGAGACCATCCTGGCTAACACAGTGAAACCCCGTCTCTTCTAAAAATACAAAAAATTAGCCGGGCGTGGTGGTGGGCGCCTGTAGTCCCAGCTACTCGGGAGGCTGAGGCAGGAGAATGGCATGTACCCGGGAGGCAGAGCTTGCAGTGAGTCGAGATCATGCCACTGCACTCCAGCCTGGGCGACAGAGCGAGACTCCATCTCAAAAAAAAAAGAGAGTTATTATACTGTATTGCTTTTAATTTATTGGGGATTTTTTCCTTGAATATTTTCAATCTACAATTGGTTGAATCTGAGGATGGAGAACCCATGGATATGGAGGGCTGACCATAATAACTATAATCACCAGATGGTTTTTTTTTTTTTTTTGGAACTGGGGTCTCACTCTGTCACTCAGACTGGAGTGCAGTGACACGATCATGGCTCACTGCAACCTCTGCCTCCCAGGCTCATATGATCCTCCCAGGCTCCTGTGTAGCCGAGACCACAGGCGTGCGCCACCACACCCAGCTAATTTTTTGTATTTTTGTTAGAGACAGGGTTTTGCCATGTTGCCCAGGCTGGTCCCAAAGTCAGCTCAGGTGATCCACTCACCTTGGCCTCCCAAAGTGCTGAGATTACAGGCATGAGCCACTGCACCTGGCCTTAGAAATGGAGTTCTTTATATGGCAAGTCTTTATTATTAGTTCACACTTTTAAACACTTGACAGTCATATTTTCTGATATAGATACTTGTTTCAAATCCCACTACTTTGAAAATGGATTCAAGTGTCTGTAGACATTTACTTGACTGTTGGGATTTTTAAATTTTCCTGTGACATAATCAGACAATCATATCAGACTGTTGAGTATGACTGATTTTTTTTGTTGCAAAATTTATTTTTCATTTGTAAAATATTTGAGATTATAGGACCCCTTCCCCAAGTTCCTGGCGTAAATCTTTTTTTTTTTTCCTCCAAGACAGAGTCTTGCTCTGTCACCCAGGCTGGAGCGCAGAGGTGCGATCTCAGCCCACTGCAACCTCTGCCTCCCGGGTTCAAGCAGTTCTCCTCAGCCTCCCTAGTAGCTGGGATTACAGGCACCCGTCACTGTGCCTGGCTAATTTTTGTATTTTTAATAGAGACAGGGTGTCACCATGTTGGCCAGGCTGGTCTCGAACTCCTGACCTCATGATCCACCCGCCTCAGCCTCCCAACGAGCTGGGATTACAGGTGTGAGCCACCGTGCCCAGCCAACCCTTAATCTTTTTTTTTTTTTTTTTTTTTTTTTTGAGCTGAAGTCTCGCTCTGTCCCCCAGGCTGGAGTGCCGTGGCGCAGTCTTGGTTCACCACAACCTCCACCTCCTGGGTTCAAGTGATTCTCCTGCCTCAGCCTCCCGAGTAGCTGGGATTACAGGCGTGCGCCGTTGCACCTGGCTAATTTTTTGTATTTTTAGTAGAGATGGGGTTTCACTGTTTTGGCCAGGCTGGGCTGGTCATGAACTCCTGACCTCAGGTAATCCGCCTGCCTCAGCCTCTCAAAGTGCTAGTATTACCACCTCCCCTGGCAACCCTAAATCTTATTCTGCATAAGAATACTTAAGTAAATTCCATTTACAAACAATCATTATCATTAGTCTTCATGAAACTCGGTATTTTACATTGCAAATTCTAGTATGTTTTACCAACTTCAGAGGAAAGGCAGTGCCTTATAGAAATTTATCTGCTTGTTTTCAAATGATCAAGAATACAAATGAGTATGTGTTTAAAATGGCTAATTTTTATCAATTTTGTATTTTCTAAAAATTGCCTAGACTAATGGTAAAGTTGACTAATTATTGAAGTGAGTTTAAAACACTGTATTGGGAATGCTTACTGAGCATTTTTGCTGTTCAATGGTGATTGTTTATTTAATAAATTCTTACAGCTTTACAACTTAAAATTGTTCATATTTTAATCAGTAGGGAAGGAAATAGGGAGAAGAAGGTGAAGGAACTATGTAGGGTAGTAGTTCTCAAATACCAGCTCATAGATTTGTGTCTGTCTTCTACAAATAATTCACTGGTCTGCTGTGAAATAAGAAAACTATGGTAAGGAGAGATGAGCATAAGATATACTTCAAGACTAGAAACTATTCACATTTGAGTATTTATTATGGTTGATAGAGGAGGCTTGGCTTTTTCTTATCCACACTGAAAATTAGCTATGAGAAAGGAACTCACTCTTCACTCTATGGCACTATTAAGTTATCATGTATATTATATAATATATAGCATGTTATTTAAGTGGGAACAAAGTGTCTTGGGACTCCCTTCCAACATCTCTTTTTCATGTACTAACTGTGCTTTTCCCTCTTGTGTCTAATAGAAGCTTAATATGTAAACTAGACAAGGTAGATGACAAATGGTTAATGACTTTTTTTTGTTTTCTTTAGATACATCCAGAAAGTGCCCAGAAGAAACTTCCTGCTGGAAAAAATGAAAAAGCAGTATTTATAACATTAGAATCTGGATAATTTGTTAACATGGCAGAAAATAATGAAAATATTAGTAAAAATGTAGATGTAAGGCCCAAAACTAGTCGGAGCAGAAGTGCCGACAGAAAAGACGGTTATGTGTGGAGTGGAAAGAAGTTATCTTGGTCAAAAAAGAGTGAGAGTTATTCAGATGCTGAGACAGTGAATGGTATAGAGAAAACCGAAGTGTCTTTAAGGAACCAAGAAAGGAAGCACAGCTGTTCATCCATTGAGTTGGACTTAGATCATTCCTGTGGGCATCGATTTTTAGGCCGATCTCTTAAACAGAAACTGCAAGATGCCGTGGGGCAGTGTTTTCCAATAAAGAATTGTAGTAGTCGGCACTCTTCAGGGCTTCCGTCTAAAAGGAAAATTCATATCAGTGAACTCATGTTAGATAAGTGTCCTTTCCCACCTCGATCAGATTTAGCCTTTAGGTGGCATTTTATTAAACGACACACTGCTCCTATAAATTCCAAATCAGATGAATGGGTAAGCACAGACTTGTCTCAGACTGAATTGAGGGATGGTCAGCTAAAACGAAGAAATATGGAAGAAAATATAAACTGTTTCTCACATACCAATGTTCAGCCCTGTGTCATAACCACCGACAATGCTTTGTGTAGAGAAGGTCCTATGACTGGCTCTGTGATGAACCTGGTTTCAAATAACAGTATAGAAGATAGTGATATGGATTCCGATGATGAAATTCTAACACTTTGCACAAGTTCCAGAAAAAGAAACAAACCCAAATGGGATTTGGATGATGAAATCCTGCAGTTGGAAACACCTCCTAAATACCACACGCAGATTGATTATGTCCACTGTCTTGTACCAGACCTCCTTCAGATCAATAACAACCCATGTTACTGGGGAGTGATGGATAAATACGCAGCCGAAGCACTACTGGAAGGAAAACCAGAGGGTACCTTTTTACTTCGAGACTCAGCACAGGAAGACTATTTATTCTCTGTTAGTTTTAGACGCTATAGTCGTTCTCTTCATGCTAGAATTGAACAGTGGAATCACAACTTTAGCTTTGATGCACATGACCCCTGTGTCTTCCATTCTCCTGACATTACTGGGCTCCTAGAACATTATAAGGACCCAAGCGCCTGTATGTTCTTTGAACCACTTCTATCCACTCCCTTAATTCGGACTTTCCCTTTTTCCCTGCAGCATATATGCAGAACAGTTATTTGTAACTGTACAACTTATGATGGCATCGATGCCCTTCCAATTCCTTCTTCTATGAAATTATATCTGAAGGAATATCATTATAAATCAAAAGTTAGAGTACTCAGGATTGATGCACCAGAACAGCAATGCTAGTAACAGGATGGGAACATGGGAATGATAATATATATTTTTTCTTTTAATATTTTATTTTTCTTTTTATGCCACTTTGGATTTTTCTACAAAGGCAGTGGTGTCCAAAATAAAATCTCTGCCCTAAATTTTACTAATAAATCCATTTTTCTAGTGATACACAAATTGTTTAAGGTTATACACTCGAGCTTAAATAGATATTTTTAACCAGGTGTTTGGTTTTTGTTTTTACCGTGTAGGTTGTATACTTACATTTTTTCTTTCCTTAATTTATACATGATCCTTTTTCCTTAATTTATACATGATCCAGGCACATTTGAAATTTGGTAGGCATTGCAAACACATTTGAATATTGTGTATTTCATACTATTCTTTAAAAGTAATCTTATGTCCTTTCCTACATGTAAAATATTTTGTTAATCTATGCCATTAGTAGTATTATATATAAAATATAGTTCCCCGTCCCCCTTTTCATTGAGTTTGATATTCTTCAGTAAAGCTGAATGTTGTAATTCACCATTCATACTAATGTTATTGACTTTTGTAACTTACTAATAGGGATGTTAAAAGTAACAAAACCAAGTCAAACTTGGTGTATTTTTATTTTAAATATTAACTCTAAAGCAGGATTACTAAATTTGATTAATCTGGTCAATGAGAATCAAATGGAAACATATCATTCTGGAGGTGCACTTACTCTTCTACAATGTGGCCGGATCATTTGTCATTCCTGAATAGGTCTTTCTCTCAACCTGCAAGAGCTAAACCATCTTCAAAACATAAATCTTGTTCCTTTCTCATTGGAAGCTTTGAAAATAATGATAACACTATTAGTAGCTAGTAGTTACTAAAGTGCTAAAGTAATTGTGGGGTTTTTCTGTATTAGCTTATGAACTGTTGCTTCTACTTAGCCCTTTTATAGAAACTCTGAGCTGTTACTTTGGGGAAATTCCACAATGTATTAGCAGCCACAAATTTCCACTGGTAACCAAAGAGTACCTAAGTAGTTTTTCATTATTTTAAGTTGAATTTGAATAAAGATTCCAGAAATAAACATGGAGCTCAGTATTCAGGAAGCTTAATACTGTTTTTGATCTACAAGATCCAAATAATTATCCCTATCTTCAGAATTAACTTAGTCTGTAATGTGGCTTCAAAAAAAGAAAGCCTTTTGACAGCTACATGACTTACACCATACAGAACAGTACTGGACAAAAGGGGTGATATTTTAAATTTACTATCCCAGAAACAGGGCAACGTTTTTAGAAACATCTTTAGCCCAAAGTAACTAGTAAAAATAAATGGAGTGGTATCCTATCTTCTTTTTTTAAGGAATCAATGAATAATAAATGTAGATAGACAATTTTCTTCTGGTGAGCTGTCTAACCCTTTGTACACATTGACATTTTTAATATCGTAACTGATTTCTTGATGCTAGTTTAGCTATATTAGGAAACTGCTTCTACCTAGATTGAAAGAAATTTGACTCATAAACTTCCAAGTTAGAACAAATATTTCTTCATTATTGTTGCTTTTATGTGAGTAGCATTTCCCTATCTTGCAGTTCTGTTAACATGAAAATGGCATTTTTCCATAATAGCTTTAAAATAATTTTTTAGTAATTATTACAAAATTAAGGAAAATCTCTATTACCGTTATCTTTTAGCATTTTTTTTTTCCTCAGTGATCTCAAGATTGTCTTAGTCTCAATGAGATGTAGCTACAAAAATGGCACCTCTTAGCAGTGATGAGGCTCAGGATATCGGATATCATAACACCAATGTCAGGATAAATATCTCTTCTAAAGACGATATTTACCTTTTACAAGGTTAGAAAAGTCTCATACTACCTCATCTTTATTGTGGCGCTTTTGTAGATCACTGAGAAGCTTATCTTATTAACCAATATACCACTTCCTAAATATCCATCTTTGGTGAAAGAAAATAGTGTGGTAAGAGTACCCATGATTATAGTTTTTTATCAGAATTTGATAAGATTTTCTGTTTCTGTGAAACAATTATTTTAAATATTTTTCTTTTAAAAATAACTTTTTATCAGTACAGAAAAACCTAAGGGATGACTAGCTTACAAATATTCTGTTAAGGGGTAGTTTTATAAAGAAAAATGATATATAGTTATGTTGTCTTTTATAGTGTTAAAATTAGTATTTATATGAAAGTCAAGATCTAAGTACCTTTTCATATAATTCAAACTGATTGCTTGTGATATGTTTTCTCTGGCTTTTTTATTTTTTCAACTTCAAGGTATTAACAGCTGTTAACACTTAAAAAGTACTGCCACATATGTAGCCTTGAAGTAGTTGATCTAATAAATGAGAGCAGGGAGGAGATTCATTGACTCTGAAATGATTTTTATTTTTCCTTTGGTATTTGCTACAGTGAAAAGAAGTTTGGAAAGTAGATACATAAAGACTTGAGAAGGGAATTGTTTAAGGGAAAAGAAAAGAGTAATAATTTTTTTTAAAACATTAAGGAATTGGAATTCAGAAAGGTTACCCCCTTCCTCTGTGTCTTTGTAAGGATACATTTGGAAGAACATACAGTATTCAGAAACTAACCTATATAAAATGTAAACAATATATTGATTGCACTATATAAATGAGTAAATTTTGAGAGGAACAATGTGGGAATGTATAAATTTGTCTAAAATTTTATAACTGTTGAACAAAGGGAAGATTTGAACAGTGTAAATTCCAGAGTTGAGAAAGCATTTAGCATGGTGGAAATGTGGAGAGCTTATTGGTGAGAGAGGATGGAGCTAAGAGAAATAAGATCAAATATTAAAATTAGGAATTTAGGCATTACCTCAGGGAAAAGCCTTGACAGTGAAAAGAAACTACTTAATCGCTAATAGCTAGTCTGGACCAGACACTTAACTGCGCTTTGGGAATCATCCTGGGCTAATCAGGAAATAAACTTGACTTTTCTATTTTTCTCTGAAGCTTTACAGGACATACTCCCACTCCCATTTTTTTCTAAGCCTACAGCATCTTGATTCATAGTATAATTCCTGAAGTATGCTGAATGGACTTTTTAAGGTTCCTTTAGCATTTTTGTATAGAGTTATATGTGATCTTTCTATAACCATGCCATTCACTTAAATAATTCATGAAGGGAATGGTTTAATTTAAAGGAAGACCTAATAGGAAGAAGATTAAAGGAAGCTTTTAGTCAGCCTGTGGCTAGATTTATTGATTTGGTGATCAAACCTGTGCTATTTCCTGAATTTCAGCTAATGGCCAACTGTGGTCAAAGAATGGCTTTCAGTTAAAGTTTTGACTTCTTATTATAAATAATATAAAGAATGTCTCAGTAATTAGAAATCCCTTAATAAGTAGAACAAATGTGGCAAGTAGGACTCCTATCGGTATACAAATTCCATTTCTTTTTATAAGAAAAACACATAAACCATTATCATTTATTCATGAGCCAAAGCCATTAAGAAGATAAATCCAGTTATCAGCTTCCTGTCTCTGAAGTTTGGATCATTTTATAGATCCACGCAATAGAGAGCTTCCTTCCTATGAAACAAAAACCTTGAGATCTCTTTTTTTTTGAGACAGAGTCTCGCTGTTGTCAGCCCAGGCTGGAGTGCAATGGCGCAATCTCGGTTCACTGCAACCTCTGCCTTCCAGGTTCCAGCAATTCTCCTACCTCAGCTCCCAAGTAGCTGAGATGACAGGCGTGTGCCACCACGCCCAGCTAATTTTTGTATTTTTAGTAGCGATGGTGTTTCACTACATTGGCCAGGCTGGTCTCGAACTCCTGACCTCAGGTGACCACCCGCCTCAGCCTCCCAAAGTGCTGGGATTACAGGCATGAGCCACTGTGCCCGGCCAAGATCTAACTCACGCTTACTTTTCATTAAAATATTTCTTGTCGCTTTTAGCTATTGTCAGAATCCAATAAACAGCTTACGCATTCATTTTGGTAAAGCAAATTTCACAGGAAAATAGACAAAATTATAAGAGATTCCTGGAGACAACACAAGGAAAACAATGTTTAAAAGCAAAATAGCCTGTGTAATGTTAGGTAATGTAATGCCCAAGTGAATAAAAGATTTTTCGTCAAGCAAACTACTGTTTCTACTTTGGGGGAAAAAAGTCAGTTTTACATTTGTAATTTAAGGAAAGAACAGAAAGCACAAAGGTTTTTCTTTTCTTTATTAATGGCCTACTAGAAATGAGCAGTGCAAGAGTCTACCTGTACTATTCTAATACAGTAAGATATTGGACACAAAATGGAGGTAACTTTTTAAAATAGATTGGCTTGGAAGTTGAAATGTAGATTAATGGATATAACCCAATAGAAAGGGATTTTCAAATAAAACCAAAGTCTATTTTTTTATTTACTTTCTAATTTTGAACAGATGACTCAGTCCTAAATCTTTGCCTTTATTTCCTATAAAATGTAGGTGATACTTGTAACTCGACTTCCTGGAGTTAATTCTTCAGCAAGAGGTGACCCTGGGAGCGTACTTTAAAATAATTGCTGTACAGCCATTGAGTACTAACATGATGATAGGTTTTCAAAATATCTTTGTAGTGGATGCTGCATAATTACATTCACTTCTCTTAGACTGTAAAAGACTTTCTTGACTTGTTTTAACAGTAGAGATAGCAGTACAATTTGAATTTATGGTTTAGGCTCTGCAATTAGAGGAACAATTGCAGTTTCCTCCTACCCTTCATATGGTCTGTGTAAAACTGATGTTTGCTTAACTTATTTTAAAAGTTGATTACGTTTTCAGAAAATAAAGATAATCACTTTTGCCATGGTTATAATCAAATCTAAGCTTTCAGACTTGAGAGCCATGGTGTAAAACTCAAGGAGGTTTATTTAAATTATGCTGACTTTGCTAGAATTGGATAAATTCTGTATAAGCCAAGTATGAGTTCACATGTACTCGAATATACAGTTTTCACAAAGCTATTACTCTCATCAGTCAGGCTTGTATGATCTATTCCTTACCACAAAAGAAGTAGACAATTGCCACTTTTATTTCTAATCCTTAAGTTGAATGTTTCTTCTTGGATGTAAGTTCAAATAAATTGATCTGGATAAATTTTCATTTCTACTTAATTAAAACTTCCTATGTAAAATCCAAAGGCTTTGTGTTTTATTTTAAAAACATAGTCTTTACTTCACACATTCAACTTAGAATCTGAAAAAGATAGAGAAACCCATATTCTTACATATTTTCTAATTTATAATACACTCCTTTTAGTTTTTTTGTGTTTGGGACTTCCAGAAGCAGGTGCCAAAATGTGATTAGAGGTGCAAGAGATTTATTTGGAGTGAAACACCTAGAAAGATAGAGAAGGGAGCAGAAGGTGGGGAATTCTTCATACCACACAGAAAGTCTGACACCTAGAAGGAAGGATTGGGTAGGGGAGCTTCGGACTTCAGTGCATCTTGAGACTGCTAGATGAGGACTTGGTTCCCAAGCAAAGGTTGCCTGTAGAGAAGCCCACAGGGACAGGAATGGCCTAGATCTAGACCCCTCCAACGTGCTCAGCTACTGGCTGATTGCAGGCAAGGAAAAGTTGGAGGCTATCCATTACTGGTACACAGCGCCAGGACTAGGGTATGGTGAGGCACTTAGGGACAAATATTTGACTATACGACTAAGGAAGACAATGTTTTGGTACAATATTGTAATATCTGAATTGATGCAAAAAAGCCTATGATGAGCAAGATACCAAATTTCAAATCAAACCTGACCAGATTACTGATTTCTTGTTGCTTCAGGTTTCAGCATGGCTCAAGGCACTGCTGATTCACTGTCACCAGTGAGAACAGGCTAGGTCCACACCAGTCGTGTAATTTTCCATAGGCCTGTGTGCCCTTACCCAAAAATAAGACTCTCGGCTTAGGTATTTGAAGTTCCTCTGTTGCCCCTTTTTCAGTGTGAGAATTGTGTGTGCTGTGGAAAACATCCAGGGATGTCTTCCTTTAAACAAGTTCATGGTTAAATGGCCACCCACTCACTCACTAATGCCTTACACAAAGCAAGATGCAAGTGTACCACATACTTTTAGGATATTTTTATATCTTAAAAAATGTATATTGGCCGGGCACAGTGGCTCACGCCTGTAATCCCAGCACTTTGCCGAGGAGGGCGGATCACAAGATCAAGAGATCGAGACCATCCTGGCCAACGTGGTGAAACCTCGTCTCTAAATACAAAAATTAGCTGGGCAAGGTAGCGCGCGCCTGTAGTTCCGGCTACTTGGGAGGCTGAGGCAGGAGAATCGCTTGAACCCGGGAGGCGGAGGTTGCAGTGAGCCGAGATCGCACCGCGCCACTGCACTCCAGCCTGGCGACAGAGCAAGACTCCGTCTCAAAAAAAAAAAAAAAGTATATTGCATATATGTATATATTTTGCACACCATATAATTATCACGACATCTTTATTGCTAGTTAGTAGGTTCCTTGACTGGGGTCATGTCATCTGTGCCTGACACAGGAGGTAATGTTTATTCAGAAATGAAGATGGCGGCTGGGCACGGTGGCTCACACCTGTAATACCAGCTCTTTGGGAGGCCGAAGCGGGCAGATCGCTTGAGGCTAGCAGGGTGAGACCCCATCTCTATCAAAAACACAAAAATAAGCCGGATGTGGTGGCACATGCCTGCAGTCTCAGCTACTCGGAGGCTAAGATGGGAGGATTGCTTGAGACCAGCAGGCAGAGGTTGCAGTGAGCCGAGATCGCGCCACTGCACTCCAGCGTGTGTGACAGAGGCCCTGTCTCAAAAACAACAAAAAAGAACATGGGAGAAGAGGCATTGATGAGGAAAAATCTACAAAGAAAGCAAATATCAATTTGTCAAGCTATTTGCAAACGTCTTCCCTTTCCTGTATTAATATTTTCCCTCTCCCCACTTTTGGCCCGAGGATCTGAGTCCTCGGGTCAGGCCGAAATCAGACCGCGTCCATACCCAGCCTCCTTCGAGGCCTAGCTGTAAAAACCGCTGAGCAAAAGGAATCCAGAATCAGCCCTCAAGCAACTCAAGACAAGTTAGCAATTTCCGCCGGGAAGCCGTGAACATCGGCAGCCACTGGCGTTTCCTCCGAGTCCTCGGAACTCCGGAAACTCTGGGAGCTTTTAGCCCGCCCACCAGGGGAAAGCGGCCCGGAGCCGGCGCCAGGTGGAGCCCATCCCCCTAGGCCTGGCGGGCCGCAGTACCGCCAGGGGCCTGCGGGAGGCGCACGCGGCGCGGCCTGAGGGGAGGGGGAGAACGGGCGGAGGCGGTGCGCTCGGCGCTTCCTGTTCCGGCGCCAGGAGGAGCCGCGCGCTGCTGGTGCTGTTGCCGCCGCTGCTCTAGCTGCCGTCAGTCAGGCTGCGCCCGCGTCTTCAGGGCCCAGTCCCTCGGACCCATCGCCGCTTCTAGACCCTACTGCGGTCTCGGATATTGCCGGGTGAGGCTGCTTCGGTACTAGTGGGAGTCGTGAAGGGGAATCGGGGAGCTGGGGTTGCGGAGCCCGCGGGCGCGGCCAAGCGGGAAGCGGGCGCGGTGACCGAGGTGCATCGAGTCACGTCCAGTGCTCGGGCCGTGGTCGCCTGCCTGGCACCAGGACTAAGCGTTTCTATCGGTCGCCTTCCTCCACGCTGCGGGCTGCCTGGGGATCGCCCCCCAGGGAGAAGGTGTCGGAGGCCGCTGACGTCGCGCCCGACGGGTTTCTGGGCGCCTGACGTCAGGTCTGGCTGCGGGGCGGGGCGGGCGCGGGCCGGCCCCTCCCCCACCCCTTCCCGGCGGGCGCGACCCGCTAGGAGGCCGGTTCGCTCCGGTTGATCCCGGACTCCCTTTGTTCGTGCGTCCCTAAACGGCTGCCGGCCTCGCGCCCCTTGGCCCCGATTTCCCCTCTACCCCCACCCTATTACACTCATTCATTAATTTTTAATAAAAAGGGAAAGGCCTGAAAAGATTCTTACAAGAGTCTCGGGCGCTTGTTAATCCGCAGTGTGACAACGTTCTGGTTATGACTTACTAGAGGAATTGCTCACGGATACATTAGATGAATACCCAGGGCAAACCACGAGAAGGGCAGAATTCAGTGATCTCCTTTTTTAGGACTGAGGAGCACATACCTGCGATAGCGTATGCATAGCTGGACCGTTTTCCTCTTTACCTTGAAAAGCAAGAGTACAGCTTTTAATAGGTAAAGATTCCAGTGTTAAAGCATGAAGCCAGGCTCACTCGACCGCAAGAATTTTTTTTAGTTTTACTACTAGAGAAATACACACCTGGGGGTTGTAAAGGTCTGTTTCGAAAAGGAACCCTCATTACAGGCAAAGGTAGCCTTCAGAAACATTTCATAAGTTCTTTGTTCACTGGTGTTCTTTGGGGGAAGAATAGAAATTTTTCATGCTGGCATCTCTGAGCCCACAATGCAAAGCGAGTTTGCTTCAGAAACTTGGAGTGAATTGCAAATATTGGAATGTTCTTTTCCTCACTCCAGGCGGAATGGGTAAAATCCATCCCCAGTCTCTTAACTGAAACTTTTGAAGCTAGTGTGTTTTGAATTCAAAAATACTTGGATTTTATCTTCATCTTTTTAGAAAGTCATGTTAGACGAGAGATAACACCCCCAGCAGAGTGGGGCACCCCATAATCCAACATTAATATTTGCAGCAATAGATGTGAACATTCATTCTAAGTGGGGGCGAATAGAAACTATAAATAGCTTCAGGTCACATTTTGCCACCATGTAAGTTTTGTGCCAAACTAGGGCAGATAAAGATTTATGGACCTAAAAGTAGGCATCATAAAAGCTAATATTTGTTGAGGTTTTGCTATATTCCAGGCAGCGACTAAGAGATTTGTTTATTAAAAGTTTTACAGCAAATCTATGATGTGGGTACGATTCCGATCTTCCTTTGCCTCAAGTTTGGAGAGTTGGACTTGTCAACTCTGGCCGAACCAACCAGTGAAGAGCTGCAGTTATAGCTAGATAATCATACTTTAACGTTTACTTTTTTACCTATAAGCTAGATGTCCACATACAAAGAAAAGAGAATTTGGTATTTGTTTTCCACCCAAGCACTATTTTTTTAGGCACTTGATTGGACAGAGTCCCATTTAGTTCCTCGCAACATTACTGGCCTGGTTTTTATTTGTTTTGTTTTTTAAACTGCGTGCTTTTTACAAATAGTATGGCCTGTTCTTTATAGTTCGGGTTCATTCAGATGAGCCGACTTTTAGTGAAATAATTCAAACCCTCGTCTAAGGTCACTCTGCTAAGACTTTAATACAACCCTTCCCTTTCTCGCTATATTCTAACCCATCTGAACTGCTTATACCTCCCCAGAGATTCTCCCAGTTTTTACACTAACTGCTCTTCTTTCCCTAGGGCCCATTTCACCGCCCTCTACTCCCGGCTCTTTCCTTATGGTCCTTATGGACTGCAAAAGACAGCACATCTCAGGAATCTCCATGTAATACTATAATTTCTCTAAAGGCCAACACATTGTTTGGCATATATGTTCCAATAAGTATATAACTAAATGCCAAGAAATATTGCAGGTTGCATATCCTTTATCCCAAATGCTTGGGACCAGAAGTGTTTCAGATTTTGGATTTTTTTTACATTACACCAGTTGAGCATCCAAAATCCAGAATGCTCTAATGAGCATTTCCTTTGAGCGGCATGGTGGCACTCAAAAAGATTCAGATTTTTGAGCATTTCAAAACCCCCGTTTTTGAGTTGCCCAAATGTAAAAAATGGAACATAAGCAGATAAATGAGCCAATACTAAAAACTAGCATGTATTCTAATTTATAATTTATATTTTCTTTTTTTTTTTTTTTTTTGGAGACGGAGTCGCTTACTGTAAGCTCCGCCTCCCAGGTTCCAGCGATTCTCCTGCCTCAGCCTATCGAAGCGAAGTAGCTGGGATTACAGGTGCCTTCCACCACGCCCAGCTAATTTTCTGTATTTTTAGTTGAGATAGGGTTTTACCATTGGCCAGGCTGGTCTTGAATTCCTGGCCTCAAGTAATCCACCCACCTCGGCCTCCCAAAGTGCTGCGATTACAGGCTTGAGCCGCCGCACCCGGCCATTAATTTATATTTTCAGTACGATACATATCATCCCCCCATACTAAACAAATCAACCCAAAAATTTTGATTTCGCTTAATTTCGCCTAACAAATATCTAACATGTATATAGCACTTTATAGATTAAGTGTGTTACTATTTTCTGTGCAGTGGGCAGGAATTATAACTTCTACAGATGGAAAATGGTCTCTTATTGAGAAGTTTTTTGTCAAAAGATAACCGTCAAAAGGATTCATGTCCGGGTTTCATCACTGTGTAGTCCCATACTGTTTATCACTCCATCACAATTTGAAGGCTGTCTGAAATATCCATGAACTCCACTGGTAATTCATGGAGTTCAACTCTCTTAACCACCCTCCTCCCTGACCCATGATTTTTACCCTAACAGCCATGAGAGTTTCCAAAAATGTTATGTTTTACTTTTCTAGTGTATGTCAAAAGACATTTTGTACTGTTTTAAAATTACTATTCTTGCTATTCAAAGAATAAAAAGTATTGTTTTTCAGATGATGGGTGGATCATGCTATAAAATGGTAACAAAGTTTTGGAAATAATAGCTTTAGATTATTCCAAAAAGAAAAAAAAGAAAGCCTTTCTTGAGTATAAATTGTTTTTATGAGTTCAAGGTTACATTGGCCTCATCTTAATAATTAGCGATGATTCAGATATTTTGGAATAGCTTTATATTTTTATTTATTTTTCTTTTTGAGACAGAGTGCCACTAATATTGCCCAGGCTGGTCTCTTAACTACTGGCCTCAAGCGGTCTTCCCACCTCAGCCTCCTGAGAAGCTGGGATTACAGGTGCACACTACCAAGCGCGGCTTAGAATAGCTTTTTAGAAAACCTAAACTTTTTATGTTCTGCAACTCTCCTCATATTGAAACGTTCATGTCCAACTGTTTTTCACCTTTTCTAATGAAAGTATTCTCCAAAGAACAAATTGGAATGCTTCCAATTATAGTTGTTCCCCCTTATCCTAGGGGGACACATTGCAAGACTCCCCAATGAATCCCTGAAACTGAAGTCTGTATACACTGCCGAAGCCTAAGTATACCATGTTTTTTAGATCTAATAACCAAGATGGGCTGATAGCGTATACAGCATGGATACACTGGACAAAGGGATGATTCACGTCCTAGGCAGGAGGGGGCAAACTTTCATTTTGCTACTCAGAACATGCTCTTGCCCCATTTAAAACTTAGGAATTGGCCAGGTGCAGTGGTTCATGCCTAATCCCAGCACTTTGGGAGACTGAGGTGGGCGGATTACTTGAGGCCAGGAGTTTGAGACCAGCCTGGCCAACATGGTGAAACCCCGTCTCTACCAAAAATTAAAAATTAGCCGGGCGTGGTGGCACGTGCCTATAATCCCAGCTACTTGAGAGGCTCAGGTAGGAGAATCACTTAAACCTGGGAGGCGGAGGTTGCAGTGAGTCAAGATCACACTACTGCACTTTAGCCTGGGTGGCAGAGCGAGACTCCATCTCAAAAACAAAACAAAAAACTTACGAATTATTTATTTCTGGAATTTTTCATTTAATATGTTCGGACCTTAGGTAATTAAAACCACAGATAAGGGGGGATCACCCTAACATGAACGCTGTTTATTCTAGGAATGGAGAGCTGGTCACTTTACTAAGACAGTGCCGTAGAACAGAACTTGTTACTAATTCCTATGCTTAGGGCTTTGTTTTTTAATCACAAGATTCTAGCACCTCCCCTATCTTCCAGACTTGGATTTTGAACTTTAAAATTTTGAAGTAGTGTTGTGAATCAGTTGAATATTATTAACTTGTAGAATAATTTATGTAATTCCATGACTAGGTAACTGTATAATTCTGAAAACCTGAACAGTCAAGGCCATTTGGTTCACTTTGATTCTCAACTCCAGAATTAATATGAACTTTGATACAGAATCATTTTCTATTTCAGAAAGGCTAACCCTGTTTAAAAAGCATGTTAGCCTTACAACTTACCGTATATTTTCTACACTGTTAGTCCTAAAAATTTTATTGTGTGATGTGATTGACGTTAAACCTTAACATGGGAATGGGTTGTATGTGGGTTTTTTTGTTTTTTTGTTTTTGAGACGGAGTTTGCACTGTCACCCAGGCTGGAGTGCAGTGGCTTGATCTCAGCTCACTGCAAGCTCCGCCTCCTGGGTTCGCGCCATTCTCTTGCCTCAGCCTCCTGAGTAGCTGGGACTACAGGTGCCCACCATTATGCCTGGCTAATTTTTTGTATTTTTAGTAGAGACGGGGTTTCACCTTGTTAGCCAGGATGGTCTCAATCTCCTGACTTCGTGATCCGCCCTCCTCGGCCTCCCAAAGTGCTGGGATTACAGGCGTGAGCCACCGCGCCCGGCCATGTTTTTTGATATTCTGAATAAAAAGGATATAGCAGTTGGGATAGGCTTGGGTTCTTGTCCTTTATGTTCTTGTCCTTTCCTCATGATAATCAAATCATAATTAGAAATAAGATGCTAAGAATACAAAGGTGGCTCTATGTTAATACTGTATTGATAGGTCAAAGGAGAAAAAGCATGAGATCAATTCATTAGATACTGAAAAGTCTTTTGAGGGAATTTAATGTCTTCTTGCTTTCTTTATTAACAGAATAGGAATAAATAATAGCATAGGCATAAATTAAAAATAATGTAATTTTTTAAAATCTCAAACTAAAAATGGGAATCATACTTAAACATTAGCATTCCCAGGAGAGTTGGAGCAAGACCTCTGTGCCCACTATCACTCAACATTTCATTATTTAAGTCCTAGCAAGTGCAAAACAGAAAAGATGCATAAATATTAGAGAAGGAAAGTTATTTTTTGCAAATGGCGTATTTTTTATCTGGAAATACCAGAGAATCAAGTGAGAAACTTTGAAGAATAAAATAATTCAGTAATGATGCTTCCTACCCTAGGTTAATTAATATAAAGAAGAGTTAAATTCCTATGGCATATTTCTGGTAACAAAAACATCACTAAACTTTTAAATAAAACCCAAAACACTTCTAGTATTAAACATTTAAATGAGCTGGGCGCAGTGGCTCACGCCTGTAATCCCAGCACTTTGGGAGGCCAAGGTGGGCGGATCACAAGGTCAAGAGATGGAGACCATCCTGGACAACATGGTGAAACCCCGTCTCTACTAAAAATACAAAAATTAGTGGGTGTAGTGGCCCGCACCTGTAGTCCCAGCTACTCAGGAGACTGAGGCACGAGAATCGCTTAAACTGAGGAGGCGGAGGTTACAGTGAACCAAGATCGCGCCACTGCACTCCAGTCTGGCGACAGAGCGAGACTCCATCTCAAAAAAAAAAAAAAATTTAAATGATTTCTACTAAAAATTTTAAAAATTAGCATGCCTATGGTCCCAGCTACTCAAAGGCTAAGGTGGGAGGATCCACTTGAGCCTGGGAGGTGGAGGTTGCAGTGAGCTGTGATCACACCACTGCACTCCAGCCTCGGTGACAGAGCAAGACCCTGTCTCAAAAAAAAATTGAATGAATGTGAGCTGTGTATACATTTAAGAAAGATTAATAAAAAGATAATTATTTGCCTCCCTCTTCCAGTTCAGGGTCTCAATGGCTGGAGCCTTTCTTGGCAATTCAGAGTCCAAGTTGGGAACCAGCCCTGAACTGGACGCCATCCCAGCACAGGGTGCTCTCACCTACACCCACGCTCACAGACTGGGCCGCGTAGACACATCCATTCATGTGCATCTTTGGGATATGGGAGGAAACTGGAGTACTTGGAGAAGACCCATAAAGATGGGAGAATGAGCCAGCTTCACACAGACAGTGACCTCAGCTGAGACTTTTTGTTTTTTCTTCTCATCAACATTATAACAAAACAAAGTTGAATGAAACGTCTTTCGAGGACCTGCTATAGACTAAAATTTTAAAACCCTGTCCCATATATGAACGAACAATTAGAAAATACAGTAGAAGAAAAGAGCCTATTTACAACCACAGGGAAAAGTTTAACAGAAATCCCTTAAAAGAAATGTATATAGGAGATCTGATCAAGAAAATAAACTACATGAAAAGGACAGGAACTAAACAGTCCTCTGTGTCTGCATTTGCGGGTAGAAAATATTCAGGGAGCCGGGTGCGGTGGCTCATGCCTGTAATCCCAGCACTTTGGGAGGCTGAGGCGGGCGGATCACGTGAGGCCAGGAGTTCAAGAGCAGCCTGGCCAACGTGGTGAAACCCTGTCTCTATTAAAAATACAAAAAATTAGCCGGGCATGGCGGCGCTTGCCTATAATCCCAGTTACTCAGGAGGCTGAGGCAGGAGAATCTCTTGAACCCAGGAGATGGAGGTTGCAGTGAGCTGACATCATGCTATTGCACTCTAGCCTGGGCAACAGAGTGAGACCCTGTCTCAAAAAAAAAAAAATACTTGGGGGAAACAATAAAAATAACCATAGAAAATATAAGTTAATATAATTATATAGTATTCACACTTTTAAGTATTATAAATAATATAGAGATGATTTATACGGGAAGATGTGCATAGGTTATATGCAAATACTACACCATTTTATATCAGGTACTTGAGCATCCTGGGATTTGAGTATCTATGGGGGTCCTAGAACCAATCTCCCTCAGGTACCGAGGGACTATACTATACCTTGTTCTTGAACGAGATGATTTGACATTTTAAATAGATGTTCCCCTAGATTAATCTGTAAATATAATACATTTCCAACCAGAATGCTAACACATTAATTTTTTTTTTTAACGATCTGGAAAAAATAAAAATACATAGGAAAATCTGAAAAAAAAAAAAAAAAAAAAGACAGTAGGGTGACTCACATTAATGTTTATTTAAAATATATTGTAAAGCTTCTGTAATTAAAATGGAATGGTACAGTTGCAGACCAGTAGAAAAGAATAAAGTCAGCTGGGCACAGTATCTCACGCCTGTAATCCCAAGACTTTGGGAGGCCGAGGCAGGCAGATCACTTGAGCTCCGGAGTTCAAGACCAGCCTGGGCAACATGGTGAAACTCCATCTCTACAAAAAAACTAGCTGGGCAGGATCGATTGAGCCCAGAAGGTCGAGTCTGCAGTGAGCTTATGATGGTGCCACTGCACTCTGGCCAGGGAACAAAGCAAGACTGTTTCAAAAAGAAAAGAATAAAGTCCACAATATCTGTGGGAAATGAAGGAGGCTCTATAGCCTGCTTGTTAAGAGCCTAAGTTCTGGAGTCATACTGGGTTTGAACTGCTTCTCTCCTTGTCATTAGCTCTGGGACCTTAAACAAGTTAACTTGCCAAGCTTCCTCTTCTCCAGCTGTAAACTGGGGGTGAAAATAAAATTTGTATCTGGGTTCTGGAGCTACCAAGTGAGGTGGTGCACAGTACACCACCATGTTCCATGTTTCATGGTAAATATTGGATAGATGCTAGTTATAAATGGCAGCAGTATAGTGTAGTAAAGGTAGCTTGTCCAATTAGCTGAGAAAAGATAGATAGTTGATAATTATTGTTTGGAAGAATTTAAAGGTTTTAAACAAGAAGTTAAACCATAAAAATACTATATGAAAGCAAGGCAGAGTAGGGAAGGCCTTTGTAAATATATCACAAAATCCAGAAGCCACGTATAGGAAAACATTGATAGATTTGATGACATGAAATTTAAAACTTTTGTATAACCAAAATATGCCCTTTAAGAGATCTACAGATAAAAGGAATTTTGGAGAAATTTTTTTTTTTTTTTTTTTTTTTTTTTTTTTTTTTGATATGGAGTAGCCCTCCGTTGCCCAGGCTGGAGTGCAGTGGCGCAATCTCGGCTCACTGCAAGCTCCGCCTCCCAGGTTCATGCCATTCTCCTGCCTCAGCCTCCCAAGTAGCTGGGACTACAGGCACCCGCCACCACACTGGGCTAATCGTTTTTTTGTATTTTTAGTAGAGACGGGGTTTCACCGTGTTAGCCAGGATGGTCTCGATCTCTTGACCTCGTGATCCGCCTGCCTCGGCCTCCCAAAGTGCTGGGATTATAGGCGTGAGCCACTGCACCCGGCCAAAAAATTTTAATCTCATATATGAAAGCTAGTCTGCTTAGTATCTTACAAAGCAGTGAGAGAAAAAGATGTGCTACTGAGTAATAAAATGATCAAAGGCAAAGAGTACCTACAGTCTTTTATTTATATAAAGTCAAAGAACAAGCAAAATTAAGTCAAAAATTGACTGCCATGAGGCAAGGTAGTTGATTGGAAAAGAGCATGAGTAAACTTTCTGGAGTGAGAAATGTTCTGTATCTTGGGGTGGTTATAGGGGCGTATACAATTATCAGAGCTTGTTAATCTGAACACTTAAGATCTCTGCATTTTGTTGAGTGCTAATTACACTTCAATTTAAAAATTGGTAAAAGTACTCCAGGACATCAATAAATTTAAATTTGGGAGTACACACAGTGGCTCATGGCTATAATCCCAATACTTTGGGAGGCTGAGGCAGGAGGGTCCTTTGATCCCAGGAGTTTGAGACCGGGTCTGGGCAACATAGTGAGACACCTGTCTCTGCAATAAATTTTTAAAATTTTAAGAAATTTGCTGGGCATGATGGCACACACCTGTAGTACCGGCTATTAGGGAGACTGAGGCAAGAAGATGACTTGAGCCCAGGAGGTCAAGATTGCAGTGAGCTGTGATCTCTCTCGCCACTGCACTCCAGCCTGGGTGACAGAATGAGACCCTGTCTCCAAAAAAAAGACGAGGAAATGTAAGTTAAAATAAGACGCTAATTTTTAATATCTATTGTCATTATAAACAATAAATTTAATAATATCCAGTGGTAAAAGGAGTTAGAGAAATGAGTGTAAATTGGCATGGACTTTTCAAATGGATTTTAGATAAATTTATCTGTTGACTCTAAATTCCATGTCCAGTGCTTTTTCCTGGTGTTAGATTCTCACACACAAACAAAGAAGTGTTGAGAGATGTTCACTGTATCATACTTAAAACAACTTATACTGCTACAAAAAGAAGGTAAATTAAATTGCAAATCATTTTTGTATGATGTGCAGCCATTAAAAGGGATGAAGTTAATAGAGCTGTATGAACTATTATGGAAAACTTTCCTATGTAAAGAAAAACACATTACATAAATAAGATTCCGCTTAAGTAATAATAATGTATGCATAGAAAGTTCCTTAAGGAATATTTAAGAAATGGTGAACACTGATTTTGAAATTTTTCTTTCTTCCTTCATTTCTTTTCTTTTTTTAGGAAAATGTCTGATGAATTTTCGGTAAGTTGATCAGTTTATCTGTGATAAGTTTTTCATCTCTTAAGAAAAACAACATGGTCCTAACTGGGCTACGTAAATCTTTTCACTTAAAAGAGATGCTTTAACCAGGCATGGTGGTGTGCACCTGTAGTCCTAGCTACTTGGGAGGATCCCTTGACCCCAAGAGTTTCAGGCTGCAGTGAGCCATGATTGTGCCATTGCACTCCTGCCTGGGTGACAGAGTGAGACTCTGTCTATAAATAAATAAAAGAGATGCTTTTTGTGATTCTTGGCTTTGGGGGTAGTAAAGAGATTTTGATAGGTGATTTGCCTTAGTTTACTGAGATAATAGCATGTTTGGAAATGTTTCCTGTATTTATGAAAATATGTATTTCTTTAAATGAAAATTTAAGATGTTACTTCTGTTGTTCTCTTTTACCCTGATAGTATTAATAGCCAACATTTATTAGAAATTATTATATACCAGGCACTCTGTGAAAGTGTACTACATGAAATATCATATTTAAGCCTCAAGTTAACCCTAAAACAGTTTTGAAACTGAAGAGGCTCTATCTCAGAGTATGTAGCTCCTTTGAGGTTAAGCCAGGATTCAAATCCATATCTTGACTGTTAGTTCTATCTTCTTAATTACTGTATTTTGTTGTATTAATACAGCAGAGAAATGAAGCACAATATGATTAGTTGTATTTAGAAAACGAGTTTCTCTGAAGAATTTGCACTGTAAAGTTGATACGCAAAGTAGCATCTCAAGGTTTATGTTAAATAGAGTATTTTTTAAATGACTAGCTTAGCTTTTGAAGATATTCTTGAGGTTTATAATCCCTGCCCCTATAGGTTACTATTCTCTGTGGGTTTATAATGGTGTTCGATGTAACTTTTCCCTAGATAGGAAAGACGTATCTGTTTTGTGTTCCAGTTGGCAGATGCACTACCTGAACACTCCCCTGCCAAAACCTCTGCTGTGAGCAATACAAAACCTGGCCAACCTCCTCAAGGCTGGCCAGGCTCCAACCCTTGGAATAATCCGAGTGCTCCATCTTCAGTGCCATCTGGACTCCCACCAAGTGCAACACCCTCCACTGTGCCTTTTGGACCAGCACCAACAGGAATGTATCCCTCCGTGCCTCCCACCGGACCACCTCCAGGACCCCCAGCACCCTTTCCTCCTTCCGGACCATCATGTCCCCCACCTGGTGGTCCTTATCCAGCCCCAACTGTGCCGGGCCCTGGCCCCACAGGGCCATATCCTACACCAAATATGCCCTTTCCAGAGCTACCCAGACCATATGGTGCACCCACAGATCCAGCTGCAGCTGGTCCTTTAGGTCCATGGGGATCCATGTCTTCTGGACCTTGGGCGCCAGGAATGGGAGGGCAGTATCCTACCCCTAATATGCCATATCCATCTCCAGGCCCATATCCCGCTCCTCCTCCTCCCCAAGCCCCTGGGGCAGCACCACCTGTTCCATGGGGCACCGTTCCACCAGGAGCCTGGGGACCACCAGCACCATATCCTGCCCCTACAGGATCGTATCCCACACCAGGACTCTATCCTACTCCCAGTAATCCTTTCCAAGTGCCTTCAGGACCTTCTGGTGCTCCACCAATGCCTGGTGGCCCCCATGTGAGTGTTCAATTTGTTATTTAAAGTGTACTAATTGTACATAGCACAACTGACATTGTTTCTCCCCAGTTTTGGATGGAAGATTAAGAAGGCTTTTAAGTTTTTAAAAGAGGGTGTGTGTATATTAAATAAGTAAATTTCAAACCTTCAGGTAAAGCATTTAAAAGGATGAAAGCACTGTTTTAAGTATTCCTTGTGCTAAAAAGAAGAATTTTCCAAAGATCCCCAAAGACTTTGTAATGTAGTAAGCAGTGTCCTCAATAGCATCCTTTAGGTAAACTCTGAGATTCATTTCATTGGGCTTTTTGTTTTATTATTATTATTTCTCAGTATTGTTTTATAGCATCACACCAAAGTACAGTTCAGTAAAAGCAGTCTCTACCTGTCTAGCTTGATAGAGGTAGATTTTTAGAGAATCCAAGGCAATGAGTAGGTAATGTTCATCTTTCAAGCAGTTCTCGAGCTCAAGATTACACCCCTATTCTTTATTGTCAGTTACATGTAATGCTTTATGCTTTACTGTCAGACAACCCAGTGTGGGGTTAACATCTTAGTTGAGGAGCCTGCCTTGGTCATATAACCAAATGGAAAAGTACCCCACTTCCCCTGTGAGGTAAGCCAAACGAGTATCCAAACGCAGAGTAAAGATTTTCCTTAGGAAAAAAAATCTGTTAACTCTTTTTTTTTTTTTTTTTTTTTTTTTTTTTTGAGACAGTCTTGCTCTGTCACCCAGGCAAGAGTGCAGTCTCTCGGCTCGCTGCAATCTCTACCTCTCAGGTTCAAGCGATTCTCCTGAGTAGCTGGGATTACAGGCGTGTGCCACCACACCGGCTCATTTTTGTATTTTTAGTAGAGATGGAGTTTCACCATGTTGGCCAGGCTGGTCTTGAACTCCTGACCTCAAGTGATCCGCCTGCTTCAGCCTCCCAAAGTGCTGGGATTACAGGCCTGAGCCACCATGCCCAGCCAGGAAAAAAAAAAAATCTGTTAACTCTTAGTACGAAAATAACTAGCCAGATCTCTGATTAGATTAGTCAAACATCCAATCCAGCTATAAAGGAAAAGAAATCTTTAAAGTACCCCTAAAACTTCCTCCTTGCATTAGTGTAATTTCTTTCTTGCTATATATATTATCTAAAAATATTTGTTTTGCAAAGTGTATGCCAGAGTAAATGATGTGACTTGCTGTTTGGATTTATTAAGCAATAAATTTACTTTAAGCCACAGTAAGGAGTTAATAAACTCCATTTGCAAAATCTAGAAGTTGACTTTTTCTTTTTTCTATTGCAGTCTTACCATTAAGTTAACAATGGACGAAGAGATGACGCTTTGCTTTTTGAAGTACATGTATATGCACATGAATGCATATATAAAAATTGCTGGTTTCACTATTAGAGGGCATTCATGAAAGAACAACTCTTGCACCTCTCAGAGAAGATAACTGCCTCTTGTACTTGGATGCGTAGTACATCATATGTATACAATCAGATAAAAGCATAGAAGTAAATCATTCGGATGTGATTTTTATTTGGTTTTCATGGAAAGTTAAAGTGATAAAGTATATTGAATAGTTCTTTGACAGAATTTGTTTAAACTATGAAACTACACACTTAAAAATCTAAGATGTGGATTATTGTTAGAATCTGCAACTTCATTGGCAAATTATTTCAAGTATTTTTCTATAATCACTTTCCCCTTCTAAATAAATAAACTTCGAGAATAACCCATCATAATCCAAACAAATGATGCCTCAACATTTTGAGCTGCTCTGTCGGACAAATAAACCTGGTCCTCTTGAGGTTATATTTTGGATATACATTTTTAAACTGTCAGTAATTATTGTCAGATGTGGAGTTCAATAGCCAGCCAGTGTTCATTTTTATCCTTGAGCTTTTAGTAAAAACTTCCTGGTTTTATTTTTAGTCATTGGGTCATACAGCACTAAAGTCTGCTATTTATGGAAACTAACTTTTTTGTTTTTAATCCAGGCCAACATGTATGTAAATTAAATTTTTAGATAATTGATTATCTCTTTGTACTACTTGAGATTTGATTATGAGATGTGCATATTGCTTTGGGAAGAGCTCGAGGAAGGAAATAATTCTCTCCTTTGTTTTGAACCTCAAACTAGATAAACCCTAGGAATTGCTTAACTGCAACAAGTAATTTTCATTCCCACAAAAACCTGAGGCAGCTCTTTTGCCCAGAGCGTTCCCTGTAGCCACCCCCACCCCACTTGCCCTTGGTTCTTTAGAAGGAGCACACACATCCCTTGATTCCTCCCTGATGTGGTAAACTGGCACACTCCAGGGGTCTAAAACATAAAACAGTTGTGTTTAGGGAACCTTAAGTCATGCAGACATGACTGTTCTCTTTGTACAAGTGTGAATCAAAATATGTATCTCTTTTTCAGAGTCTGGTTAAGCTATGTCATTGTCTACTGCATAGTTTCCTGAGTCTGTTTGTAAAGTGCTTATGGCTAACAGTTCAGTTCTGTATTTGTTGACAGGTAAATAAGTGGAGTTGAGTGCCATCTTTGAAAAAATTACCCTCTAGCTCTAACACTGAAAATAATAATAAATTGTAGATCTCTGCAACTAAGTTTAAAGCAGTGTGACTGTGTTGCTTAAATATCAAGTATTGTTTATAACCACCAAAAAAAAAAAGCCCTGGTAGTTTTTTGGCACCTTATGTTTAAATCAGATTCTTAGATTTGGAGTAGACCTGACCTTGTTATTTATTAGATAACATTTTGAATGTATCCATTGGATTTCTAAAATGTATTGTGAATTTCTCAGACAAACAGGATTTATGCTGGAGCTCTGTTTTGCTTAGAAATAAAATATTTAGTAGTTTATTTCTGCTCTAATTAAAATGTCAAGAATGCCAAATGCTGCCAGTTTTTTGGTTTGATAGCTACCTCCTTCTAAGAA